>NC_000011.10:57555377-57858407 GCF_000001405.40 Homo sapiens | reverse complement strand
CTCTGTCTCAAAAACAAAACAAAACAAAAAAAGAATGTAAGAATGTGGATACCACCTCACTCACACACACTCATTCTCAGGCTGTAAAAAAATCCCTCACCCTCCTTCTAGCCGGCAAGCATACAGTACCATTTGGCAAAGGTACAGCAAAGGTGGGCTTGAGACCCAGGCTCCATCTTTCTCCTCAGTAGCAAAGGAATAAGGCCCACTAACTGAGTGTTTGCCCCAAGACAGTAAATGAACAGACTGCAATGAATTTATCCATTTCTTTTCTTTTCTTTTCTTTTTTGAGATGGAGTTGCACTCTTGTTGCCCAAGCTGGAGTGCAATGGCACGATCTTGGCTCCCTGCAACCTCCACCTCCCAGGTTCAAGCGATTCTCCTGTCTCAGCCTCCAGAGTAGCTGGGACTACAGGTGCCTGCCACCACATCCGGCTAATTTTTGTATTTTTTTAGTAGAGGCGGCGTTTCACCAATTTGGCCAAGCTAGTTTTGAACTCCTGACGTCAGGGGATCCGCCCACCTCAGCCTCCCAAAGTGCTAGGATTACAGGTGTAAGCCACCGGGTGCCCCGCCGAATTTATCTATTTCTAATGGTCATGCTGCAACTGGATGGACAAAAGCCCATGATAAAAATTGATAAACTACTAGAAGCTTCAGTGGTTTGATCATTTTCATTGCAATATTCTGGAATGGGGGGTGGGTAGGAAAGCTATTTTCCCATTCAGACAGTCCCTGCCTTTAATAATACATAATGCTTTCCTGGAAAATGTTTTGGAAAGTAGAATGCCTGAAATTTGAACTTTATACTTAAATGTTTTATTTGGTGGGGGAAGGAGGAAAGGAGGAAAGGAAGGAATTCAATCCATAGAGCTAGAGAAAAAAATTATGACGTCTCAAACATGATATAAATGCTTAACTTGATTTTACATCTGAATGTTATACACCATATGCAGATATTTAAACTATTAAAAACAGATTGTATTTTATTTAATTTATTTATTTATTTATTTATGTTTTTATTGAGACGGGGTCTCGCTCTGTCACCCAGGCTGGAATGTAGTGGCGCAATCTTGGCTCACTGCAACCTCTGCCTCCCGGGTTCAAGCGATTCTCCTGCCTCAGCCTCCTGAGTAGTTGGCACTACAGGCGTGTGCCACTACACCCAACTAATTTTTGTATTTTTAGTAGAGACGGAGTTTCACCATGTTGATTGGGCAGGATGGTCTCCATCTCTTGACCTCGTGATCTGCCCATCTCAGCCTCCCAAAGTGTTGGGATTACAGGCGTGTATCCTTGCAACTCAAAATCCTTCTGGTGTATCCTTGCAACTCAAAATCCTTCTGGTGTATCCTTGCAACTCAAAATCCTTGTTCATTCAGTTTACTTGAAATGATATTTGGCATATTCCTTCTCTCAGGGTTCACAAAGTACCAAGGAATAAGAATGGGACAGAGAGGGATACCTGCATATTGGCATTTACCATAACATCTTTATTCCCATTTGGTTTCCAACTGCCCAACCACGTTGATCATATTTATGACTCCATGTCCCAGAAGGAAAGCCTCTCCAGGCTCTCAGCTACTCCTTTTTCCCTCTCAGAGGGCAGTGGACACATCCATCCACTGTCCCATGCCACTCTGGGTTCATAGGAATATTGTCTCAGACTCTCTCTGCCTGGCCCTGCCACACGAACATTTCTTCTCAATGTCTACACTTCAAAAGGCACAGAAGCGGCCGAACGTGGTGGCTCACGCCTGTAATCCCAACAGTTTGGAAGGCCGAGGCGGGTGGATCACAAGGTCAAGAGATCGAGACCATCCTGGCCAACATGGTGAAACCCCATCTCTGCTAAAAATACAAAAAAATTAGCTGGGCGTGGTGGTGCATGCCTGTAGTCTCAGCTACTCGGGAGGCTGAGGCAGGAGAATCACTTGAACCCGGGAGGCAGAGGTTGCAGTGAGCCGAGATCGCGCCACTGCACTCAAGCCTGGGTGACAGAGCAAGACTCTTATCTCAAAAAAAAAAAAAGAAAAACGAAAAAAGGTGCAGAAGCTCTAGCAATTTGGGCCACTGGATAGATTCCTCCTTAAAGATTCACCAGACTTAGAGCTCACTTCTCCTCTGACTGTCTTCACTTTACAAGTCTAAGGAATTTTTTTCTAGTCTTTAAGAGAAAAGAAGACACTGGAAAAACTGGCTCTGACTGATCACATATTCTCATGTGCCTGTGGTTAAGGCCTGAGTTTATTCTCTGGGTTATTCTCTGAATTTATTCTCAGGATGGTTCTAGCTTTTGAAGTTCAAAAGCTTTTTAATCACAAAGGTTTTTATCTCTACCTTGAGTTTCCAAAACATATTTTAAACCTCAAAGGCCAAGGATTGACTTCTTTGGTATCTGCACTATGCTGCAACAACCCTATCCCGAGGCATGGCTGCCAAGAGGTCAAGTTTGAACTGGGAAGGACCCCCAGGTTAAAAAATATATATATTATCTGGAAAAAAACCTGATACATCAAAATAATATTCTGCTACACGTAGTTGTAAAGATCCACACATTTGTTCCATGACTGCACCTTATTTTTAGCCACAAGCTTTGCCAACATACTTATAACATTTTGTACATGTGTTTTAAGTTTGACTGTTTTCTTTTATAATTGAACACAGTTGTCAGATCTGCTTAAATTTGATAAGCATCAAAATTTACTGTTTCTGGCATACTAAATAATAGCTTCCTTTGACACAATTGGAAAATCATTAACATCAGCACTTTATTTTTCCAATTCCACTATACTTTTATAAATAAGGGCAAATATGCAACAAAATGTTCAAATCACTGCACAGACATTGCCATATTTAGATGGCAACACTGCTAAAATGAAACTATTGGCTGGCAGACAACAGTAACATAATGTAACTTGAAATAGTTATTTGTCTACTAAAATAAGAAAGTCAAAATTTGGTATAGAAAAGTTTAGAAGTGTTTATGTGTAATATATGGAAATGATAGTCATGTAAAAGCTAATGACTACCTGAATTTTGATTCATTAATTTTTGTTCATCTTCACCTAGCTCCATATCTCTTAAATATAAACAATTATTTTAAAAAATTATTTGTAACAGCTTTATTTAGATACAAGTCACATACCATACATTTCACCCATTTAAAGTATATAATTCAGAGGCCGAGGTGGGTGGATCACTTGAGGTCAGGAGTTCGAGACCAGCCTGGCCAACATGGTGAAACCTCATCTCTACTAAAAATACAAAAATTAGCTGGGCGTGTTGGCGGGTGCCTGTAATCCCAGCTACTCAGGAGGCTGAGCCACGAGAATCGCTTGAACCCAGGAGGTGGAGGTTGCCATGAGCTGAGATCTGCCATTGCTCTGCAGCCTGGGCAACAAGAGCGAAACTCCGTCTCAAAAAATAAAATAAAATAAAACTAAAGCATACAATTCAATGAATTTTAGTGTATTTACAGAACTGTACAACCATCACCACAATCAATTTTAGAAAATTTTCATTATCCCAAAAAGAAGCCCTGTACTCTTTAGCCACCATCTGCCAATCCCTCTATACCCTGCAGTTCTTTGCAATAATTAGTCTACTTTCTGCCACAATAATTTGCCTATTTTGACATTTTATATAAGTGGAATCACAAAAAAATGTGTTAGAGATGGGTTTCTTTCACTTAACAAAATGTTCCTAAGTTTATCCATGAAGTACCTTGTATCAGTACTTCATTCCTTTTTATGGCTGAATAATATTCCATTGTATGGGTATATGGCTAGACTACTCTTTATTTATTTATCAGTTAATAGATATTTGGATTGTTTCTACCTTTCAGCGATTGTGAACAATACCGCTATTAACATTCATGTACAAATTTTTGCATGAACATATATTTTCAATTCTCTTGGTTATATATCTAGGAGAGGAATTGCTAGGCTATAGGGAAACTCTATGTTTAACCTTTTGAGGAATTGTCAGACTGTTCCAAAGTGGCTGCATCATTTTACATTTTCACCAACAGTGCATGAGAGTTTCAATTTCCCCACATCCTCACCAACACTTATTATTTGTCTTTTATTATTATAGCCATCCTAATGAATATGAAGCAGTAGCTCATTGTGGTTTTGATTTGCATGTTCCTGATAACTAAAATCTTGAGCACCTTTTCATGTGCTTACTGGCCATTTTGATATCTTCTTTGGAAACAACTGTCTATTCAGATCCTGTGCTCATTATTAGTTGGATTATTTGTCATTTTATTATTGACTTGTAAGAGTTCTTACACAATCTAGATAAAAATCCTTTAACAAATAACATGATTTTCAAATATTCCTCCCATTGAATATCTTTTCTTTTCATTCTCTCATAATGTCCTTTAATTTTTTTATGTTTTTCTAGGGTTTTTTTTATTATTATACTTTAAGTTATAGGGTACATGTGCACAATGTGCAGGTTTGTTACACATGTATACATATGTGTTGGTTTGCTGCACCCATTAACTCGTCAATTACATTAGGTATTCCTCCTAATGCTATCCCTCCCCCATCCCCCCACCCTATGACAGGCCCCGGTGTGTGATGTTCCCTGCCCCGTGTCCAAGTTTTCTCATTGTTCAATTCCCACTTCTGAGTGAGAACATGCGGTGTTTGGTTTTCTGTCCTTGCGATAGTTTGCTCAGAATTATGGTTTCCAGCTTCATCCATGTCCCTACAAAGGACATGAACTCATCCTTTTTATGGCTGCATAGTATTCCATGGTGTATATATGCCACATTTTCTTAATCCATTCTATCACTGATGGACATTTGGGTTGGTTCCAAGTCTTTGCTATTGTGAATATTGCTGCAATAAACATACATGTGCATGTGTCTTTATAGTAGCATGATTTATAATCCTTTGGGTATATACCCAGTAATGGGATCACTGGATCAAATGGTATTTCTAGTTCTAGATCCTTGAGGAATTGCCACACTGTCTTCCACAATGGTTGAACTAGTTTACACTCCCACCAACAGTGTAAAAGCGTTCCTATTTCTCCACATCCTCTCCAGCACCTGTTGTTTCCTGACTTTTAAATGATCACCATTCTAACTGGTGTGAGATGGTATCTCATTGTGGTTTTGATTTGCATTTCTCTGATGACCAGTGATGATGAGCATTTTTTCATGTGTCTTTTGGTTGCACAAATGTCTTCTTTTGAGAAGTGTCTGTTCATATCCTTTGCCCACTTTTTGATGGGGTTGTTTGATTTTTTCTTGTATATTTGTTTAAGTTCTTTGTAGATTCTGGATATTAGCCCTTTAGATGGGTAGATTGCAAAAATTTTCTCCCATTCTGTTGGTTGCCAGTTCACTCTGATGGTAGTTTCTTTTGCTGGCCAGAAGCTCTTTAGTTTAATTAGACCCCATTTGTCAATTTTGGCTTTTGTTGCCATTGCTTTCGGTGTTTTAGTCATGAAGTCCTTGCCCATGCCTTGTCCTGAATGGTATTGCCTAGGTTTTCTTCTAGGGTTTTTATGGTTTTAGGTCTAATATTTAAGTCTTTAATCTATCTTGAATTAATTTTTGTATAAGGTGTAAGGAAGGGATCCAGTTTCAGCTTTATACATATGGCTAGCCAGTTTTCCCAGCACCATTTATTAAATAGGGAATCCTTTCCCCATTTCTTGTTTTTGTCAGGTTTGTCAAAGATCAGATGGTTGTAGATGTGTGGTGTTATATCTGAGGCCTCTGTTCTGTTCCATTGGTCTATATCTCTGTTTTTGGTACCAGTACCATGCTGTTTTGGTTACTGTAGACTTTAGTATATTTGAAGTCAGGTAGCGTGATGCCTCCAGCTTTGTTCTTTTTGCTAAGGATTGTCTTGGCAATGCAGGCTCTTTTTTGGTTCCATATGAACTTTAAAGTAGTTTTTCCAGTTCTGTGAAGAAAGTCATTGGTAGCTTGATGGAGACGGCATTGAATCTATAAATTACCTTGGGCAGTATGGCCATTTTCATGATATTGATTCTTCCTATCCATGAGTATGGAATGTTCTTCCATTTGTTTGTGTCCTCTTTTATTTCGTTGAGCAGTGGTTTGTAGTTCTCCTTGAAGAGGTCCTTCACATCTGTTGTAAGTTGGATTCCTAGGTATTTTATTCCCTTTGTAGCTATTGTGAATGGGAGTTCACTCATGATTTGGCTCTCTGTTTGTCTGTTATTTGTGTATAAGAATGCTTGTGATTTTTGCACATTGATTTTGTATGCTGAGACTTTGCTGAAGTTGGTTATCAGCTTAAGGAGATTTTGGGCTGAGATGATGGGGTTTTCTAAATATACAATCATGTCTTCTGCAAACAGGGACAATTTGACTTCCTCTTTTCCTAATTGAATACCCTTTATTTATTTCTCTTGCTTGATTGCCCTGGCCAGAACTTCCAACACTATGTTGAATAGGAGTGGTGAGAGAGGGCATCCCTGTCTTGTGCCAGTTTTCAAAGGGAATGCTTCCAGTTTTCGCCCATTTGGTATGATACTGGCTGTGGGTTTGTCATAGATAGCTCTTATTATTTTGAGATATGTTCCATCAATACCTAGTTTATTGAGAGTTTTTAGCATGAAGGGCTGTTGGATTTTGTCAAAGGCATTTTCTGCATCTATTGAGATAATCATGTGGTTTTTCTCTTTGGTTTTGTTTATGTGATGGATTACGTTTATTGATTTGCGTATGTTGAACCAGCCTTGCATCCCAGGGATGAAGCCAATTTCATCTTGGTGGATAAGCTTTTTGATGTGCTGCTGGATTCGGTTTGCCAGTATTTTATTGAGGATTTTCGCTTCGATGTTCATCAGGGATATTGGTCTAAAATTCTCTTTTTTTGCTGTGTTTCTGCCAGGCTTTGGTATCAGGATGATGCTGGCCTCATAAAATGAGTTCGGGAGGATTCCCTCTTTTTCTATTGATTGGAATAGTTTCAGAAAGAATGGTACCAGCTCCTCCTTGTACCGCTGGTAGAATTCGGCTGTGAATCCATCTGGCCCTGGATTTTTTTTTGGTTGGCAGGCTATTAAGTATTGCCTCAATTTCAGAACTTGTTACTGGTCTATTCAGGGATTCGACTTCTTCCTGGTTTAGTCTTGGGAGGGTGTATGTGTCGAGGAATTTATCCATTTCTTCTAGATTTTCTAGTTTATTTGCATAGAGGTGTTCATAGTATTCTCTTATGATAGTTTGTATTTCTGTGGGATCAGTGGTGATATCCCCTTTATCATTTTTTATTGCGTCTGTTTGATTCTTCTCTCTTTTCTTCTTTATTAGTCTTGCTAGCAGTCTATCAATTTTGTTGATCTTTTCAAAAACCCAGCTCCTGGATTCATTTATTTTTTGAAGGGTTTTTTTATGTCTCTATTACCTTCAGTTCTGCTCTGATCTTAGTTATTTCTTGCCTTCTGATAGCTTTTGAATTTGTTTGCTCTTGCTTCTCTAGTTCTTTTAATTGTGATGTTAGGGTGTCGATTTTAGATCTTTCCTGCTTTCTCTTGTGGGCATTTAGTGCTATAAATTTCCCTCTACAGACTGCTTTAAATGTGTCCCAGAGATTCTGGTACGTTGTGTCTTTGTTGTCATTGGTTTCAAAGAACATCTTTATTTCTGCCTTCATTTCGTTATTTACCCAGTAGTCATTCAGGAGCAGGTTGTTCGGTTTCCATGTAGTTGAGCGGTTTCGAGTGAGTTTCTTAATCTTGAGTTCTAATTTGATTGCACTGTGGTCTGAGAGACAGTTTGTTGTGATTTCTGTACTTTTATATTTGCTGAGGAGTGCTTTACTTCCAACTATGTGGTCAATTTTGGAATAAGTACAATGTGGTGCTGAGAAGAATGTATATTCTGTTGATTTGGGGGTTGAGTTCTGTAGATGTCTATTAGGTCTGCTTGGTGCAGAGCTGAGTTCAATTCCTGGATATCCTTGTTAACCTTCTGTCTCATTGATCTGTCTAATATTGACAGTGGGGTGTTAAATTCTCCCATTATTATTGTGTGGGAGTCTAAGTCTGTTTGTAGGTCTCTAAGGACTTGCTTTATGAATCTGGGTGCTCCTGTATTGGGTGCATATATATTTAGGATAATTAGCTCTTCTTGTTGAATTGATCCCTTTACCGTTATGTAATGGCCTTCTTTGTCTCTTTTGATCTTTGTTGGTTTAAAGTCTGTTTTATCAGAGACTAGGATTGCAACCCCTGCTTTTTTTTGCTTTCCATTTGCTTGGTAGATCTTCCTCCATCCCTTTATTTTGAGGCTATGTATGTCTCTGCACGTGAGATGGGTCTGCTGAATACAGCACACTGGTGGGTCTTGACTCTTTATCCAATTTGCCAGTCTGTGTCTTTTAATTGGGGCATTTAGCACATTTACATTTAAGGTTAATATTGTTATGTGTGAATTTGATCCTGTCATTATGATGTTAGCTGGTTATTTTGCCCGTTAGTTGATGCAGTTTCTTCCTAGCATCAATGGTCTTTACAATTTGGTATGTTTTTGCAGTGGCTGGTACCAGCTTTTCCTTTCCATGTTTAGTGCTTCCTTCAGGAGCTCTTTTAGGGCAGGCCTGGTGGTGACAAAATCTGTCAGCATTTGCTTGTCTGTGAAGGATTTTATTTCTCTTTCACTTATGAAGCTTAGTTTGGCTGGATATGAAATTTGGGGTTGAAAATTCTTTTCCTTAAGAATGTTGAATATTGGCCCCCACTCTCTTCTGGCTTGTAGAGTTTCTTCTGAGAGATCTGCTGTTAGTCTGATAGGCTTCCCTATGTGGGTAACCTGACCTTTCTCTCTGGCTGCCCTTAAAATTTTTTCCTTCATTTCAACCTTGGTGAATCTGACAATTACGTGTCTTGGAGTTGCTCTTCTTGAGGAGTATCTTTGTGGTGTTCTCTGTATTTCCTGAATTTGAATGTTGGCCTGCCTTGCTAAGTTGGGGAAGTTCTCCTGGATAATATCCTGAAGCGTGTTTTCCAGCTTGGTTCCATTCTCTCCATCACTTTCAGGTACACCAATCAAATGTAGATTTGGTCTTTTCACATAGTCCCATATTTCTTGGAGGCTTTGTTTGTTTTTTTTAATTCTTTTTTCTCTAAACTTCTCTTCTCACTTTATTTCATTAATTTGATCTTCAATCTCTGATACCCTTTCTTCCACTTGATTGAATCAGCTACTGAAGCTTGTGCATGCGTCACGTAGTTCTTGTGCCATGGTTTTCAGCTCCATCGGGTCATTTAAGGTCTTCTCTACACTGTTTATTCTAGCTAGCTATTTATCTAATCTTTTTTCAACGTTTTTAGCTTTCTTGCGATGGGTTCGAACATCCTCCTTTGGCTCGGAGAAGTTTGTTATTACTGACCTTCTGAAGCCTACTTCTGTTAGCTCATCAAAGTCATTCTCCATCCAGCTTTGTTCCATTGCTGGCGAGGAACTGCAATCCTTTGGAGGAGAAGAGGCTCTCTGGTTTTTAGAATTTTCAGCTTTTCTTCTCTGGTTTCTCCCCATCTTTGTGGTTTCATCTACCTTTGGTCTTTGATGATGGTGACCTACAGATGGGGTTTTGGTGTGGATGGCCTTTTAGTTGATGTTGATGCTATTCCTTTCTGTTTGTTAGTTTTTCTTCTAACAGTCAGGTCCCTCAGCTGCAGCTCTGTTGGAGTTTGCTGGAGGTCCACTCCAGACCCTGTTTGCCTGGGTATCACCAGTGGAGGCTGCAGAACAGTAAATATTGCTGCCTGATCCTTCCTCTGGAAGCTTCATCTCAGAGGGGCACCCATATGTATGAGGTGTCAGTCAGCCCCTACTGGGAGGTGTCTCCAAGTTAGTCTACACAGGGGTCAGGGACCCACTTGAGGAGGCAGTCTGTCCGTTCTCAGAGCTCAAACACCATGCTGGGAGAACCACTGCTCTCTTCAGAGCTGTCAGACAGGGACGTTTAAGTCTGCAGAAGTTTCTGCTGTCTTTTGTTCAGCTATGCCCTGCCCCCAGAGGTGGAGTCTACAGAGGCAGGGGTCCTCATTGAGCTGGGATGGGCTCCACTCAGTTCAAGCTTCCTGGCCACTTTGTTTACCTACTCCAGCCTCAGCAATGGTGGATGCCCCTCCCCCAGCCAGGCTTGCCATCTCGCAGTTCGATCTTGGACTGCTGCATTAGCAGTGAGCAAGGTTCCGTGGGGATGGGACCCGCTGAGCCAGGTGCAGGATAAAATCTCTTGGTGTGCTGTTTGCTAAGACCATTGGAAAAGTGCAGTATTTGGGCGGGAGTGTCCCGATTTTCCTGGTACAGTCTGTCACAGCTTCCCTTGGCTAGGAAAGGGAAATCCCCCAACCCCTTGAGCTTCCCCAGTGAGGCAATGCCCCGCCCTGTTTCAGCTCGCCCTCCATGGGCTGTACCCACTGTCCAACCAGTCCCAATTAGATGAACCAGGTACCTCAGTTGGAAATGCAGAAATCACCCATCTTCTGCATCAATCACACTAGGAGCTGCAGACCGGAGCTGTTCCTATTCGGCCATATTGGAATGCTGCAATGTCCTTTAATTTTTATCTATAAAAATCATCGCAATTTATCTACTGCCATGGACTGAATTGTGTCCCCTGCCTCCAAAATGCATGCGTTGAAACCCTAATCCCCAGCATAATGGTATTTGGAGATGGGGCCTTGGGAGATAATTAGATTTAGATGAGGTCATGAGGGTGGAGCCCTCATGATGGAATTAGTGCCTTTATAAGAAGAGACACCAGAGAACTTGCTCGCTCTCTCTCACTCTCTTCACTGTGTGAGGACACAGTGAGAAGGTAGCTGTTTGCAAGCCAGGAAGAAAACCTTCACAAGAACGCGATCATGCTGACACCTGATCTCAGATTTCTAGCCTCCAGAACTAGAAGCCAATACATTTCTGTTACTTAGGCCACCCAGCCTATGGTATTTTGTCATAGCAGCTCACACTAAGACATCTGTTTTTTTCTTTTGTTTCTAATGCTTTTGATGTCATATCCAAAAATCCATTGCCAAATCTAAGGTCATAAAGATTTACCCCCTGTATTTTCTTCTAACAGTTGTATGGTTTCAGGTCTTACATTTAAGTCTTTGATCCATTTTGAGTTAATGTTTATATACAGTGTGAGGTAGGAATCAAATTTCATTATTTTGCATGTGGATATCCAGGTGTCTCAACACAGTTTGTGGAAGAGATTGTTCTCTCTTCATATCAAAAATCAATTGGGGCCGAGTGTGGTGGCTCCCACCTGTAATCCCAGCACTTTGGGAGGCTGAGGCAGGTGGATCACTTGAGGGCAGGAGTCTGAGACCAGCCTGGCCAATATGGTGAAACCCTGTCTCTACAGAAAATGCAAAAATTAGCTGGGCGTCATGGAACGCGCCTGTAATCCCAACTACTTGGAAGGCAGAAGCAGGAGAATCACTTGAACCTGGGAGGTGGAGATTGCAGTGAGCTGAGGTCATGCCACTGCACTCCAGCCTGGGAGACAGAACAAGACTCCATCTCAAAAAAAAAAAAAAATGAAGAAAAGAAAAGAAAAAAAATCAATTGGCTGTAAATATATGGGCTTATTTTTTGACTCTTAATTGTATTCCATTCTATATATCTATTCTTATGCCACTTCCAAATTGTCCTAATTACTGTAGCTTTGTAGTAAGTTCTGAAATTGGGAAGCATGAGTCCTCCAACTTTCTTTTTCTTTTTCAAGAATGTTGTGGTTACTCTGGATCCTTTGAATTCCCATATGATTTTAGGATTACCTTCTCCATTTCTGCTAAGAAGCCAGCTTGAATTTTGACAGGGACTGTGTTGATCTGAAGATCAGTTTGGGGAGTATTGCCATCTTAAAAATATTAAGCCGGGCATGGTGGCTCACACCTGTAATCCCAGCACTTTGGGAGGCCAAGGCAGGCAGATTGCCTGAGCTCAGGAGTTCAAGACCAGCCTGGGCAACACAGTGAATCCCTGTCTCTACTAAAATACAAAAAATTAGCCAGGCACCACAGGGTGATGGCATGCACCTGTAATCCCAGCTACTTGGGAGGCTGAGGCAGTAGAATCTCTTGAAACTGGGAGCAGAGGTTGCAGTGAGCCGAGATGATGTATGATGTTAGCTGTGGGTTTTTTTGTAGATGTCCTTTATCAGGTTAAGAAAATTATCTTCTATTTCTAGTTTGTTGAGTGTTTTTATCATGAGAGCATGTTAGATTTCTGCAAATTTTTTTTCCTGCATCTATGGGAACACACCTATTATTTTTTGTCCTATTGGTTGATTTTTGGATGTTAAACCAATCTTATAATAGATCGCTAGGGCCAGGTGTGGTGGCTCACGCCTGTAATCCCAACACTTTGGGAGGCCGAGGCAGGCAGATGACCTGAGTTCAGGAGTTTGAGACCAGCCTGGCCAACATGGCAAAACCTAGTCTCTACTAAAAATACAAAACTTAGCTGGGTGCCTGTAATCCCAGCTACTCGGGAGGCTGAGGCATGAGAATCGCTTGAACCCAAGAGGCGGAGGTTGCAGCGAGCCAAGATCATGCCACTGACCTCCAGACTTGGGGATAGAGCAAGGCTTTGTCTCCAAATAAATAAATCACTGGGATACGTTTAACATGCTCATGGTGTACAAGCATTTTTATATGTTGATATACCCTGTTTGCTAGTATTTTTTTGAGGATTTGGGAGTCTGTCTTCTCATTTGGGTTTTTTTGTTTGTCTGTCTTGGAGAGGGTCTTGAGACAGGGTCTTGCTCTGTCACCCAGGCTGGAGTGCAGTAGTGTGATAACAGCTCACTGCAGCCCCTACCTCCCAGGTTCAAAAGATCTTTCCACTTCAGCCTCCCAAGTAGCTGGGACTACTGGTGTTCACCACCACACCCAGCTAATTTTTAATTTTTTTTTGTAGAGATGGGGGTCTCACTATGTTGTGCAGGCTGGCCTTGAACTCCTAGGCTCAAAGCCATTCTCTCACCTCAACTTCTAAAAGGGCTGGGATTATAGGTGTGAGCCACCATACCCAGCCAGGGTCTATATTCATAAAGATATTGGTCTGCAGTTTTATTTTTATGTCCTTGTCTGGTTTTGGTATCAGGATAATACTGACCTCATAGAATAAACTGAAAAGTATTCATCCTTCTTTTTTTTTTAGATAAGTTTGTAAATATTTCTATTAATTCTTCTTTAAATGTTTGCTACAATTTGCCAGAGAAGAAATCTAGGCCTGAATTTTTGTTGTTGTTTTTGTTGTTGTTGTTGTTGTTGGCAATTTTATATTACTTGTCCAATATTTTTACTTGATAAAGATCTATTCAAACTTTCTATATCTTCTTGAGTCACCTTTAGTAATTTGTCTCTTTCCAGGGATTTATTCACTTTATCTAAATTATCTAATTTATTGGCATACTATTGTTCATAGTATTATTTTATAATACTTTTTATTTCTATTAGGTCAGTAGTGATGTCCCTTTTTCATTTCTGATTTTAGCAACTTGAGTCTTCTCTTTTTCTCTTGTTCAGTCTAGCTAAAATGTTTGTTGATTTTGTTGATCTTTTCAAGGAATTGGCTTTTGGTTTTGATTTTTTTTTCTCTATTTTTTAAATTATCTATTTCATTAATTTTCACTCTAGCCTTTATTACTTCCTTTATTCTACTTGCCTGAGGTTTGGTTTGCTCTTCTTTTTCCTTAAGTGTCAGGGTGGAAGTTTAGTTTATTGATTTGAGATTATTCTTCTTTTATAATATAGATGTTTATAGCTAAAAATTTCCTTTAAGTACAGCTTTAGTTGTATCCCATAAGTTATTTTTTTTTCATTCTTTTTTTTTTTTTTTAGACAGGGTCTTACTCTGTTGCCTAGGCTGGAGTGCAGTGGCACAATCATAGCTGCAGCCTCGATCTCCTGGGCTCAAGCAATTCTCCCACCTCAGCCCCCTGAGTAGCTGGGACTACAGGCATGCCCCACCACTGCCCAGCTAAATTTTTTTTTATTTTTGGTGGAAATAAGGTCTTGCTATGTCGCCTAGGCTGGTCTTAAACTCCTGAACTCAAGCAATTCTCCCACCTTGGCTTCCCAAAGTGCTAGGATTACAGGCATGAGCCACCACACCTGGCTATTTTTTCTTAGTTTTTATACATCTCAATGAATTTTCTCTTGTATTTTGTGTGTTTTTTGTTGTTGTTGTTTGTTTTGTGTTTGTTTTTAAGACAGGGTCTCATTATGTTACCCTGGCTGACCTCAAACTCCTCAGCTCCAGTGATTCTCCCAACTCAGCCCCCCGAGTAGCTGGGACTACAGGCACACACTGCACTCAGCTTCTCTTGATACTCTTCTTTAACCCATTGGTTTTCAGTGTGTTAATTTCCATGTATTTGTGAATTTCTCTTATTCAGTTGTTGATTTCTTATTTCATTCCATGTAGTTGAAGAACATACTTTGAAGCATTTCAATCCTTTTAAATGTATTGAGGTTTGTTTTATGGTCTAGCATATGGTCTATCCTGAAGAATGTTTCATATGCACTTGAGAAGAATTTATATTCTGCTACTCCTGGAGTATCTGTTAGGATTAGTTTGTTTATAATGGTCAAGTCTTCTGTTTCCTACCGATCTTCCGCCTATTTGTTCTATCTATTGCTGAAGGTATTGAAGTCTCCAAGGACTATTATCAAATTGTCATCTCTCCTTTCATTTCTGTCAGTTTTTGTTTCATGTATTTTGGGATGCTGTTAATAGGTGCATATATGTTTATAATTGTTATGTCTTCCTGATAGATTGGCCCCTTTATTATTATAAAATGTCCTTCTTTATCTCTATTAACATTTTTATTTTAAATTTTATTTTGTCTGACATTGTTATAGCTGCTTCAGATACCTCTGAGGTTCTGTTCATTTTTCTTCATTCTTCTGTCTTTGGATTTCATAATCTCTGCTGATCTATCTTCAAGTTCAATTCTCTCTTCTGCCAGTTCAAATCTACTGTTGAGCCTCTCTAGTGATTTTATTTCAGTTACTGAACTTTTTAACTTCACAAAGTCTACTTGATTCTTTTTTATAGTTTCTACCACTTTACTGATATTCTCTACATAATAAAATATTGTCATCCTATCTTCTTTTGCTTCCTTAAGCATGGTTTCCTTACTTTCATAATGGCTACTTTGAAGTCTTTGTTAAGTCTGACATCTGTCCCTCTCACAAGTAGTTTCTGTTGACTGATTTTTATCCTGTGTATAGGTCACACTTTCCTGTTTCCTTGACGTTAGCATAATTTCTGTTGAAAACAAATGCTTCAGATGATATATTGTAGAAGTTCTGGATATCACTCCCCTCCCTCTGATGCCAAGGCTTGTTATTGTTGTATGCCTGTTTGTATATTGTCTGGGTGGATTATTTTAGTGAAGTCTATTTCCTTCACACTGTAAAGCCTCTGATGTTGTTCCTCAGAAGGTGCAACATTGGGCATATGCACAGGCACCCTAGGATGTCAGTAATGTTATTTTAGCAGGGCTCTCTTCTACTGCCTCTTCCCTTGATCACTCCCAGCTCTTATGCTTCACTAATTGTCAGCTGATTGCTCTATTGTTTGTGACAATGTCCTGAGACATAAATTGCTCCACAGCTAATCCAATTAAATTAGGACTCCCTTGCAGGGTTCATTTTTGAGATGCATGTTTAAGGTTTGCTCTGTCCCCAGGAGGGCTCTTCTTAGCAATCCTTTTCCCTGATGCTCTCTGGTAAACTAGTTGGTAAGTGGGCTCGCTTGTATCTATCATAAAGCCACCAGCTGCCTCTTAATTGCTTTCTAATGAAACTGCCATTGTTTGAGAGAACCCTTAGACTTGAACTTCCCTACATCCTGTATCAAACTCCATTCCTTATGGGAAGACTTTAGATTTATTTGTTTAGAGTCCGCCTCTCCCCCTAGGAAAGATACCAGAGCCACAGTTCCAGAGCTGAGTAGTGGGGATAGAAATCACTGGTGTGCTTCTCTCTAGGTAACAGCTCTGCTTTAGGCAAACTAATTTTTCCATCCTCTGACCTCCCTCACTCTGCTCCTTGACTATAAGTCCCCATTTGTCCTTGTTGTATTCAGAATTGAGCTCAGTTCTACACTGAAGTCTCTTTCCCCTATTGCAGTAGTACTGAATACAATCTGTCCTTACCACCTCTAGTGTCCTGCTCCATTTAACACTCCTCACATTAATATTCCTCACACAGAAGTGAAACCCCACAAAACAATTTTTTGAACACTCTGTCATATATAGTTTCTAAGTTCATAAATCATGGAATTAAAAATTTAGAAATTGTCAAATGTGTTACTTATCACATTGTATTACCAGTATACTTCTAGGGCATTACATAATGTATTACATTCATTCCAAATCCTCATCCTAAGCCCATCTCTCACAAAAGCTTTTCCCTGCGAGTTTTGTTTTTGGGTTTTTTTGAGATGGAGTCTCACTCTGTTGCCCAGACTGGAGTGCAGTGGAATGATCTCAGCTCACTGCAACATCTGCCTCCCAGGTTCAAGCAATTCTCTTGCCTCAGACTCCCAAGTAGCTGGGAGCAATTTATGTCCCAGGACATTGTCACAATGCACCACCATGCCTGGCTAATTTTTTGTATTTTTTTTAGTAGAGACAGGGTTTCACCATGTTGGCCAGGGTAGTCTAGAACTCCTGACCTCAAGTGATCTGTCTGCCTTGGCCTCCCAAAGTGCTGAGATTAGAGGCATGAGCCACTGTGCCTGGCCGTGATTTTAAAGTCCCTAGAATTTTACATGTCTGCTATTATTATCTCTAAAACTTTTCTGTGGGTCTCTTACCTCTCTTCTCAGCACACTGTCAGCAATTAGAGGCATAGACATGTAGTTCAACTCATGTTAGTGGTTGGCTCAGCAGCACAACAGTGTCAAGTAAATGAAAACACAGCAAGTATCTCAGACTTACCAATGTGCATGGCATAATCCTGCTCAAAGACAACATTCTAGACCCCCTAACTGAGCTCTGCATTCTTCAATAAATGCTAATAATCCTAGGTAAGCACAGAGAATAAAAATGGAAGCATTACCCCATATAACTCATCACAACTAAAAAAAATGCTACTGTGCTTCTCCCACATATATGCAAAATATAGGCAAAATGATTTTCAATGAAACATTATTTGATGGAGCAGAAATCGGAAACAGCAAAAACATCCATCAATAGGGGAAAGATCAAATAAATTTAGTGTGGCCATATAATAGAGTGCTCTGCACAGGGACTGATATGGGCAGATGTTCAAATCATACTGTTGAGTTGCAGAACAATGCACACAGAATCATCATTCTTTATTTAAAGAAGGAAGGAAAGGAAGGAGGAAGGGATGGAGGCAGGGACGAAGGAAGAAAGGGAGGGAATGAGGAAAGAAAGAAGAGAGAAAGGGAAGAAGGGAACTGTGCATGTAAAAGTATCTTTTTATGCCTATAAATATATAGGAGGGGTTTTGAATAAAACTCTTAACAGCAAATATTTTTCTGTGAAAAATGAAAATGGAAGTGGAGATGCAGAGGGAAAGGGAAGGCTTTGATGCTTTATTTACTTCTACGTTGTTTGAATTTCCTATTCATTAAAAAAAAAAGACTAAATAGCAAAGAAAAGCACTGATATCAGGAAGAACTGTGTTGGAAATTCAGCTCTGCCACCATGTGTCCATTACTCTTACAAGTGCTTTACAGGCTTTCTCTCATTTAAACCAGACAATAACCTTATGAGATAGGCAGCATTATTATCCCTATATTATGGATAAAAATAGAGTCAGAATTTATAATCAAGTTTTCTTTTTTTTTTTTTTTTTTTTTTTCTGAGACAAGGTTTCACTCTGTCGCCCAGGCTGGAGTGCACTGGTGTGATCTTGGCTCACTGCAACCTCTGCCACCCGGGTTCAAGTGATTCTCATGCCTCAGCCTCCCCAGTAGCTGGGATTATAGGTATGTGCCACCATGCCCAGCTAATTTTTGTATTTTTAGTAGAGATGAGGTTTCACCATGTTGGCCAGGCTGGTTCAAACTCCTGACCTCAAGTGATCCGCCCTCCTTGACCTCCCAAAGTGTTGGGATTACAGGCGTAAGCCACTGTGCCTGGCCTATAATAAAGTTTTCATGACTCCAAACTTTGCATTCTTAACAACTATGCTTCATTCATTGACATTTTTAAAGACCTTGGCTGGGCACAGTGGTTCATGCCTGTGATCCCAGAACTTTGGGAGGCAGAGGTGGAAGGTTCACTTGAGCCGAGGAGTTCAAGACCAGCCTGGGCAACATAGTGAGACCTGTTTCTACAAAATATAAAAATTAAAAAAATTAGCTGGGCATGGTGGCTCCCACCTGTGGTCTCAGATACTCAGAAGACTGAAGCAGAAAGATTGCTTGGGCCCATGAGGTTGAGGCGGCAGTGAGACACGATTGCACCACTGCTCTCCAGCCTGGGTGACACAGCGAGACCCTTTCTCAAAAAATTTAAAAAATAAATAAAAATAATTTAAAAGACCTCCTGTATCAGCGAATTGCTTTGCCAATTTAGACTCCTCTCAGCCATGTATAAGTAGCTTTTCCAACACATTATTAGACAATAGCATTGAAAATTTTTTGGCTAACTTGATAAGCCCAAAAAGTGGAAATACTTTATTGTTTTATTTGCACTTATTTTATTACTAGCAAGAGTAAACAATTTTCCACATATTTATTTGTTATATAACCACTTTTATTAATTATCTGTTCAAGTCTTCTGGCTACATATATGTATATATATGACATACGTATATGTATATATCAGCTTTTCATATAATGAACACATTTAATGATTTGTCATATCTGCTGAAAATATTTTGCCATTTTTTGAATATCTTATTTTGTTTATGTAGGTAACTTTTAATGCCTGTGTACTCTATCTTTTCCTTCTTGATTTACTCAATCATTTAGAAGTTTGTAAGTTACAAAAATGAAAATACAAGCCACAGACCGAAAGAAAATATTTGTAGAACACTTATCTGATGGGCCAGGTGCTGTGGCTCATGCCCATAATCCTAGCACTTTGTGTTTGTTTTTTTGTTTTGTTTTGTTTTTTCTAAATGAACATTGAGTTTATTTATTTATTGACATTTTTCCCTTTCCAACTTTTATTTTAGGTTTAGGGGATACATGTGCAGGTTTGTTGCATGGGTAAATTGTGTGTTGCAGGGGTTTGGTATATAAATAATCTTGTCACCCATTTAATCAGCATAGTACCCAATAGGTAGTTTTTCAGTCCTCACCCTCCTCTCACTCTCCACCCTCAAGTAGGCTCTGGTGTCTATTGTTCCCTTCTTTGTGTCCACATGTACTCAGTGTTTGGCTTCCACTTGTAAGTAAGGACATGCAGTATTTGGTTTTCTGTTCCTGCATTAATTCTCTCAGGATAATGGCCTCTAGCTCCAGCCATGTTGTCGCAAAAGACATGATTTTGTTCTTTTTTATGGCTGTGTAGTATTCCACAGTGTATATGTACCACATTTTCTTTTTCAAGTCCACTGTTGATGGGCATCTAGATTGATTGCGGCACTATTCACAATAGCAAAGACTTGGAACCAACCCAAATGTCCAACAATGATAGACTGGATTAAGAAAATGTGGCACATATACACCATGGAATACTATGCAGCCATAAAAAATGATGAGTTCATGTCCTTTGTAGGGACATGGATGAAGCTGGAAACCATCATTCTCAGCAAAGTATCGCAAGGTCAAAAAACCAAACACCACATGTTCTCACTCATAGGTGGGAATTGAACAATGAGAACACATGGACACAGGAAGGGGAACATCACACACCCGGGACTGTTGTGTGGTGGGGGTATGGGGGAGGCATAGCATTAGGAGATATACCTAATGCTAAATGACGAGTTAATGGGTGCAGCACAGTATACATATGTAACAAACCTGCACATTGTGCACATGTACCCTAAAACTTAAAGTATAATAATAATAAAATAAAATAAAATAAAAAACTACCATTCAATCCAGCAATCCCGTTACTGGGTACATACCCAAAGGAATAAAAATCATTCTATCATAAAGACACATGCACATGTATGTTCATCTCAGCACTATTCACAATAGCAAAGACATGGAATCCTAGCACTTTGAGAAGCTGAGGCAGCATGATCGCTCAAGCCCAGGAATTCAAGACTAGCCTGGGCAACATAGTGAGACTATAGTCCCAGCTACTCAGGAGGCTGAGACGAGAGGATCCCTTAAGTCCAGGAGGTCAAGGCTGCACTCCAGACTGGTTGACAGAGTGAGACCCTGTCTGGAAAACAGCCGGCCGCATTGGCTCACGCCTCTAATCCCAGCACTTTGGGAGGTCCACGCGGGCAAATCACCTGAGGTCAGGAGTTTGAGACCAGCCTGGACAACATGGTGAAATCCCATCTCTACTACAAATACAAGTTAGCCAGTCATGGTGGCACATACCTGTAATCCCAGCTACTCAGGAGGCTGAGGCATGAGAATCGCTGGAACCTAGGAGGCGGAGGTTGCAGTGAGCCGAGATCACGCCACTGCACTCCAGCCTGGGCAACAGAGCGAGACTCTGTTTAAAAAAAAAAAAAAAAAAAAAAAAATTCCACTTATCTGATAAAGGATTGGTATCCAAAATATATGAACTCTAAAAACTTAATTTAAAAAAATTTAAAAAGGGCAAAAGATCTGAAAACTTTACAAAGAAGATATAAAGATGATAGATATGCAGATGAAAAGATGCTCAGCACCATGCATAATTAGGAGACTGCAAATCAAGGCAATGATGAGAGAGAAAACAACAAGAACGAGATACCACTACATACCTATTAGAACGACTGAAATCCAAAACACAAACATTTACACCAAGTGCTGGAGAGGATGGGAAACGGCAGGAACTCTTCCTCACTGCTGGAGGAAAAGGCAATTTCAGTTTACAAAGCTAAGCACAGGCTGACCATATGATTCAGGAATTGTGCTCTGTACTAGTCTGTTCTCACACTGCTATAAAGAAATACCTGAAACTGGGTAGTTTATAAAGAAAAGAGGTTTAATTGTCTCATGGTTCTGCAGGCTGTACAGGTTTCTGCTTCTGGGAGGCCTCGGGCAACTTAGAATCATGGAGGAAGGCAAAGGGGAAGCTGGCACATGTTACATGGCTGGAGCAGAAGGAAGACAGTGAAGGAAGAGGTGCTACACATTTTTAAACAATGAGATCTCATGAGAACTCACTCATTTTCATGAGAACAGCAAGGGGGAACTCTACCCCCATGAGCCAATCACCATCCACCAAGCCCCTCCTCCAACACTGGGGATTACAATTCGACATGAGATTTGGGTGGGAACACAAATCCATACCATATCATGCTCCTTGGTATTTACTCAAATTAATTGAAAACTTACATCCTCACAAAAACCTGCACGTGAATGTTTACAGCAGCTTTATTCATAATTGCTAAAATTTAGAAGTACCCAAGATGTTTTTGGATTTGTTTATCCAGGTAAATGGATAAACTATGGTACAGCCATACAATGGAATATTATTGAGCAATAAGAAGAAATGAGCTATCAAACCATAACATGACAGGAAAGAGCCTTAAATGCTATTTCTAAGTAAAAGAACCCAATCTGAAAAGGCTACATACTCTAATCTTTCTGGAAAATAATTTAGTACTGTATATCAAGAGTCTTAAAAATGTTCATAATTTCTAACCCAGCAATTCCTCTTCTAAGGAAAAAATCCAGAAGAAAAAGTTTAGGTACTAAGATGTTTATTACAGCATATTTATAATACTATACATAGGTATTACACTTAAGTATCCAACAATTGAGCAAAAGTTACATAATGGTATATTTATTTAATTAAATATCATGCAGCCATGAAAAGAAAATACGATTTTGAAGCATTAATTGGGAAATGTTATAAAACAAGGTTAGGCAAAGAAAAGCAGGTAACTGTGTTGTATATATTGTATAATTTCTATTTTTTAAAAAATAGAAAAACACTAGATGGAAGGATGCCAGAATGTTAATAATGGTTGCCTCTGGATGGCAGGAACTAGGATTATAATTGACTTAGCCTCTACTTAAAAAACTAGGATTATAATTGACTTAGCCTCCACTTAAAAAAAAAAAAAAACATTTGCTGTACTTTCTTATTTATTTATTTAAAGATGGGGTCTCACTCTGTCACCCTAGCTATGCAGCAGGTTCAACCTCCTGGGTTCAAGGGATCCTCCTGCCTCAGTCTGCCAAGTAGCTGGGAGTACAGGTACATGCCACCACACCTGACTAATTTATTTTTCTGTAGAGACAGGGATCTCACTATGTTGCCCAGGCTGGTCTTGAACTCCTAGGCTCAAGTAATCCTCCCACCTCAGCCTCCCAAAGTGCTGAGATAACAGACATGACCCACTGTGCCTGGCCCCTTCTGAACTTTCTAAATTATTTTCAATTATTACATTTTTTAAATTGTTTATAGCTAGTAAAAATAATAAATTAAGTTACTCAATACGACCTTCTCTGCTCTGTCATCAGTTTGTTTGTTTGTTTGTTTTTGAGACAGAGTCTCACTCACTCTGTCACTCAAGTTGGAGTGCAGTGACACAATCTTGGCTCACTGCAACCTCCACCTCCTGAGCCATTCTTCTGCCTCAGCCTCCCAAGTAGCTGGAAATACAAGCATGCACCACCACACCCAGCTAATTTTTGTATTTTTAGTAAAGATGGGATTTCACCATGTTGGCCAGGCTGGTCTCAAACTCCTAACTTCAAGTAATCTGCTCACCTCGGCCTCCCAAAGTGCTGGAATTGTAGGCGTGAGCCACTGCGCCCAGCCCTGTCATCAGTTTTGTACCTCAAAGAAGTACCTGGACCTGCTGGGATGTAAGCTTAACTCTGCAAACCTTTTTACTATATCCTACTTAGAGGCACTTACAAGGCATTCTAAGTCTGCACCGCTGGCTACCACACAGGAATAATAATACACCTGGATGCCAACATGCAGAAGCACAAGACATCTTGTATGGTGGAAAGCAACAACTCCAGAAGAGGGAAAGTTCCAGTCTGAAGTGGGGGAAGGTGAGTACAGAAATAATTGATGAGAGATGGACAGAAAGAAGGAGAGAAGTGCAGCTCTCTGGGACATGACTTGGCTTTCTGAATTCAGAACTATACCTGAAAATGAAGAAGACCTGGGCCCACTGTCAGACTCTAGTGCTTCTCCATGAAGGGGCTTCACTTTAGCCCTACAGGAAGGCAGTTGTTCCCTTTAGATAACAACCAGGACTCCAGAGTTTGAACCCCTGTAGCAGGAGTTAAGTGGCTGGGAGCAGAAGATGAGATAGACTATGAAGACAAGCTGAGTCTTTAGGGCAGAACTTCTCAAATCTTAGTGAACTTTAGAATTACCAGGGAGATTGTTTAAATTGGTGATACTGGCACCAGAAATGCTAGGGTAGGACAAGAAATATCGCATATTTTTAAACCAACCAAACAAGCAGCAATAAAGGAATACTGCATTTTTATCAAGAAACTCTCTGCTGTCAAGTCTTCCTGATGCATTTAAATTGCAACGGCTTTAAAATTCAAGAGACTCTCAAATTGTAGGCAAAATACTATGTGTGTGCATTTCTCTGGAGCAGGTCCGTAACAATCATCAGATTCTCAAGGAGTTCCATAATTCAAGAAGGCTAAGATCTTAATGAGCACAAAAAGTAAGAACTAAAGAGGCTTCACTCAAGCATCAAGTCAGAGGGGCAAAGGCAAGGTTAAGAAACATGCGTCCCGCCCACCAGGACATTGTAGACTGAAAGCCAGAGGGATAGAGACACATAAAGATGTACCTAAATGATTTTCACCAAGTCTGGAATGTTTTTTATTTTTAGACAAGATCTAAATGTTATTTTTATTTTTAGACAAGGTCTCACTTTGTCACCCAGGCTGGAGTGCAGTGGCATGATCATAGCTCACTGCAGCCTCAACCTTCCATGTTCAAATGATCCTTCTCCCTCAGCCTCCTGAGTAGCTGGGACTACAGGCACGTGATCCCACACCCGGCTAATTTTTGGGTTTTTTGTAGAGATGGGGCCTCACTGTGTTGCCCAGGCTGGTCTCAAACTCCTGGGCTCAAGCGATCCTCCCACCTCAGCTTCCCAAAGTGTTAGGATTACAGGCACCTAGCAGAGTCTGGAATGTTAATAGTTCATTTTTATTAGCTGTTAGCAGCTTGATGCATGAGTATGTGTCCGTGTGTTTTAAAGGCGCAGGGCTCAGTGAGACATTACATTTGAGGGAGATTACTAGGAGGGAAAGTCAGTGGATTTGCCTAGTCAGACAGACTCTAAGATTTCACAGAAAAGGGAAGAAGAGATGGCTAGTTGTTGGGGTCTTACACTCTGGAGTTTAAGCTGCTATAAGAAGGTAGAGTACGGTCAAGTAGATGTGGTGGTGCATACTGAAAGCAGCTATAGTTGAAACGGAGCAACAATAATAGAAGTGGTCACTGTAAACCCAAACAGCTGGCATCACTCCCTACCTCACCAAATTATCAGTTATGGTGCACAGGAGGACAGACTGGAGACTCTGATCAAAGAAGATGCTGAGACAGTTGTAAGGGAGACATAGTTCTCCGTGTGCTCTGTCAAGAGCCAGATAGAAGAGAAAGGAGCAGGGTTCCAGCCTATTCCCCAGTGGGTGCTAAGAAGGACTGGCTTTCTTGTTACAAGGAGTAAGCATATTTCCACACCCTCTTTGTTGTCTTCCCTAGGAGTATGGCCTGGGAAATAATAATTACAAATATTGTCTTAAAAGGTTTACCTCCTGGGACCAAATCTTCACTGGCTAAATTCCTCTCAAAACAAATGCTTTATTCATTTGCCTCCCAGCTATATTAAAATAGCCTCCCAGCTGATTTCCCTACCTCCAATCTTCTGCACTATGGCTCAAGTGACGGTCTTTAAAATATTCAACTGTTCTCTCAATGGCTACAGAGAAATTTTTTGAAGCCTCAGAATCCCGTTTTTAAACAAAATATTACCTGGAAGCCCAATTTAATAAAAGTTAGAAGCAAAGCTGTTCTTGTTAAAATATCCTAGTATCCCCTCTGTTCAGCTCCTGTCCCCCATCCTTGCTCCAGAGGCTCCACCTCAGAACGCTAGGTCTCCAGGGTGGTGTGAAACTCATTTGCCTGCATGAAAAGAACTTTATAGCCCAAGCACCACCCCTGAGACCCTAACTCCCTTCATAGTCCCATATCCTGCTGCCCTGTATGTCCCTGTGCCTCAGCCACATGGAGCTACTAGATCCCAAATATACCATTTTTAAAAAACTTATTACAGGGAATTCTAATTTTAAATTTTAAATAATATACAGAAAAATCAAACAAAATACTATAATGAAACTTGGTGTACCCATACCCCAGCTTGAATTACCCATAGCCAATTGTGTCACTTATAGCCTCATCTACTCTTCTCCCATACTACTTAGAAGCAAATTTCCTCATCATAACATTTTATCCATTAAAATTTCAGTACATTGCTCGAATTTACAATGAATTAATCATAACCCATGATACCACTGTCATATCTAAAAATAATAATCCCTGAGTAACATCAAATATCCAGTATTCGAATTTCCAATTGTCTCATAAAATGTCCTCTTTATGTTAGAATCCAAATAAGACGCATGCATTGAGACTGATATTTTTTAATCTATAGGTCTGTCTCCACTTTTTTTCTTCTTGCAATTAATTTATTAAAGAAATTGGGTCATTTGTAATTCCTCCCATGTTGCTAGTTACATCCTTATGGTATAGTTAAACATTGCCCCCATCTTCTGTGTTTCCTATAAAATAGTATTTGGATCTACAAGTTTGATCAGACTCAGGCTTGATATTTTTTTAAACTACTTCATAGGTGATACAGATCTCTTTTTGTGATGTTAGCAGCTGTTGATGCTCAATGCCTAAGATCCCTTTATTAGGGATTGCAAAATGATAATATTATATTTCAATCACACCTTCAATTATGAGATGAAATGTTTCTATAAAGAGAAACTTCCTCTTGCCTATGTGGACACCTAATGAACAGCATTCTTTTTATACCTCTGTACTTTTGCACATTATTCTATCTGACTTGAATGACTTCACACCTTCTCCAACTGATGGAATCCTAATTATCCTTTCAAACGAACCAAAATGTCACCTCAGTGAAGCCTTGCCCTCCTTCCTGGCAGAAGTCAACCATCTTCTAAATGTTAAAAAGAAATCATTATAGTAATGCTTACCTCATTAATGAATTTACTGCCTTCATCCCTGGGATCAGAGCTCCTCAAAGACAGGAATAGCCTTAGGCCCTAGCATCTGTATGAAGTAGTTTCCCATCACTAGTGGCATCATAACGGTTGTAGTATCATAACACAATGCATTACTCATGTATTTGTGGTGATACTGGTGTAAACAAACCTACGGCACTGTCAGCCATATAAAAGTATAGCACATACAATTATGTACAGTACATAATACTTGATAATAATGAATGATTATGTTATTGGTTTATGTATTTACTATATTTTATTATTTTGAGTATATTCCTCCTACTTATTAAAAAAAGTTAACTATGCCAGGCAGGGTGGCTCACGCTTGAAATGCCAGCATTTTGGGAGGCCAAGGCAGGAGGATTGCTTGAGCCCAGGAGTTCAAGACCAGCCTGAGCCTGGGCAACATGGTGAGACCCCGTCTCTCCAAAAAAAATACAAAACTTAGCCTGGCATGGTGGCATGCACCTGTAGTCCAGCTACTTAGGAGGCTGAGATGAGAGGATCGCCTGAGCCTGAGGAGTTCAAGGCTGCGGTGAGCCAAAATCGTGCCATTGCACTCCAGCCTGGGCGAGACAGCAAGACACTGTTTCAAAAATAAAAAAAGGTTAACTGTAAAATAGCCCCAGGCAGGTCTCTTCAGCAGATCTTCCAGAAGAAAGCATTATTGCCATAGATGATAGCTCCATGCACGTTATTGCCCCTGAAGACCTAGTAAGACACAATATGGAGGTGAAAGACAGTGATGATCCTGACCCCATGTAAGCCTAAGCTAACACGTGTGTGTGTGTGTCTTAGTTTTTGGCTTCTTTGTGTGATTGATTCATTTTGAGAGACAGGGTCTTATTCTGTCATCCAGGCTGGAGTGCAGTGGCTCACTGTAACCTGGAACTCCTGGGCTCAGGGGACCCTCCTGCCTCAGCCTCCCAAGAAGCTAGGACTACAGGAGTGCATCATTGCTCCCAGCTAATTTTTTCATTTTTTTTGTAGAGACAGGGTTTGCTATGTTTCCCAACCTTGTCTTGAACTCCTGATCTCAAGCTATCCTGCCACCTTGGCCTCCCAAAGTGCTGGAATTATGTCTTAGTTTTTAACCAAAAAAAAAAAATTTTTAAAGTAAAATAACAAAATTTAAATAGAAAATAGCTATAGAATAAGGATATGGAAGAAGAAAATATTTTTGTACAGCTGTACAATGTGTTTGTCTTAAGCTGTTATTACAAAAGAGTCAAAAGTTTTTTTTTAAATTTTTAAAGTTTGTGAAGAAAAGCTATAGTAAGCTAAGGCTAATTTATTACTGAAGAAAAATGGTTTATAAATTTAGTGTAGCCCAAGCGTACAGTAATGTCCTACGCCTTCACATCCACTCACCACTCACTCACTGACTCACCCAGAGCAATTTTCAGTTCTCAAGCTTCATTCACGTAAGTACCCTATGCAGGTAAACATTCTATGTTTAGACGTGCAAATACTTACCATATTACAATTGCCTACAGTATTCATTATTACTATAATAATGGTACACACATGCTGTACAGGTTTGTAGCCTAGGAGTAGTGGGCTATACCACATAGCCCAGGAGTGTAGTAAATGGTACCATCTAGATTTGCATAAGGACACTCTATGATGTTCCCACAACAATGAAATTGCCTAACGATGCATTTCTTAGAACATATCCTTGTGATTAAGTGATGAGTGACAGTACTGATGGGGTCAGGGTTTCACTTTTTAAGTCAGTTTCATGTAAGCAACACTATGGAATGCAGGTTACAAAGCAACTGGCAATGAGGTACCATCACAAGAATATGAGTTACCAGAATTCAAGACACTCTACAGGAAGTAAAGGCGAAGTCAGAGCTGAGATACTGAATGTCCACAGTCAGACATTAGAGAGGCCCAGAAAGGAGAGTTTGGGACCTGATTTCTCCAAAGTACAGAGAAGACATGATGAGAATCAGGTTGAGCCAGGGTCATTCCTGGGAATTCCATCAGAAACAAGTTAGAAGCAGGCTGTAGCCTTCAAACGGCTGGCTAGGACTCAAAGCCAACTGCATTCCACCTCCTTCCTCTGCACTCATTTCACAGTGTCAGGACTGTAGGCTTTGGGATGGCAGGCAGAGCAATCCCTACCTTCAGATAAGATGCAGGTTTAAAAAGCCAAAAATCCTCTGTGTTATGTTCCGAAGGAAGGGGTGGACAGGATACTTAGCATCTCTGCCCAGGGGCACAGAGCAGTAGGAAGCATATTTCCAAATCCTCTGGGGAAGTGAGTTGGAGGCTGATAAGGCTGAATTGTCCAGAGAGGGGGCAAAGCGGCCATACTGTCTGCTCATCCTAACCACAGGATCATGGGCTCTGGACTGAGGTTCCATACTGGGAAAAATGTCTCCTAAGTGGGCTATAGACTTCCATGTTGGCCACAAAAAGATTGCCCAGAAGCAGGAAGATACCAGGTCTAAAATGGCACAGACTTATAATGGTAAAATAGGCAATCACGAGGAAAACAAGGAAGACTAATATGCACTATGGTAGAAAGATGTCCATGACATGCTTTATGGGAAAAAAACAAAATTGCAGAATATGTACATCATACATTCCATTAGAAATAAATGTTTGTGGCTGGGCATGGTGGCTCACACCTGTAATCCCAACATTTTGGGAGGCTGAGGCAGGTGGATCACTTGAGGTCAGGAGTTCGAGACCAGTCTGGCCAACATGGAGAAACCCCATCTCTACTAAAAACAAACATTAGCCGGGCATGGTGGCCCACACCTGTAATCCCAGCTACTTGGGAGGCTGAGGCAGGAAAATCACTTGAACCTGGGAGGCAGAAGTTGTAGTGAGCGGAAATCAGCCTGGGCGACAGAGCGAGACTCTGTCTCAAAATAAAAAATAAAAAAGAAGTCTTTGTTGAATAAGCACTTGGAGAAAGATATCTGAAAGGATATGTAACAAATGGTTAAGAGTAGTTATTCCTGGGGAGTGACATAAAAGAGAGGCAAGAATTTTAATTCCGTAATCTGCCGTGTTAAATCATGTTATTTTAAAAAGTCATATAGGGTCTTTTAATTTAAACCAAAATATTAAAAATAATCGATCTATGAGGCAGAATGGGGTCAGGGTGAGGCAAGGTGGGGTTGGGGTGTGTGCTGAAGGTCCACTCCACTGTTGCTGGAGGTGGAGACTCCTGGCTGGTGATGGGCTCTGCCAGCAAAGGACACTCATTCATTATCTCAACTATCACTAGTGGTTACTATGTACGCCTATGTTCAGCACCTACTATGCTCTGTACTTGGTATTTTACTGGCCTTATAGGTAGAGAGCTGCTCAATAAGGAGAAATCCCCAGCCCGCACTGGTCCCATCTGACCCCTGAAAGCCTGGGTTTATGTGGCAATGAGTCTGTTGGAATCAGAGTAAGGGACAAAAGCAGACAGAGTAAAGGAGTATATGGGTTCTTAGTCAGTCCTGTCAGTCCTCCAGGACTCAGGACTACCCTAAGTAAGCTGGCAATCTCTGCTCTGCAGGAAGGACTCACCAAGGGGGACCACCTCACATGAAGTAGCTTCCTCCTATAAGTCACAGGGTGGAATATGGCTGTGCCCTATTGGCTATGCTAACCACTCTTTGAGGGACAAACTTTTGAGCAGGAGAAATAAAACCAGATTTGTAATTCTTGATAGGCTGCCTGGTCGTAGAGGTCTGGAGTGGAAGCAACTAGAGAACTAGTGGAAATAAATGAAGAGGAAAGCAAAGAAAGAGAGGGATCAAGGGACAAGCAAGAGAGGAGTAGGGAGAACAGGATGAGGCAGGACAGTCAGACACAGGCCTGATGGTGGGAAGAACTGGAACTATTGCCCATTTTGCCCAATCGGTAAGGTGGCCTTTCTGGATTCTGAATCCTGGTTTTATACCAGAGGGAAGGAGAATTAAATGGAAGACTGAATCCATGCTCTCTAGGGTTCCAGACCCCAAAGATCCAAATATTGTAGGAAGATTGGAAGAAAAATTAAATATCCTCCAACGATGAAACAGATCAAAGCAAACCCTACTTTTTTGTTAGTTACTTTGCAATGGGAAGCAGCATTGGCTTCTTAAAAAAAACAAACAGGCTGGGTGTGGTGGTTCAAGCCTCACTTTGGGAGGCCACAGTGGGCGGATCACCTGAGGCCAGGAATTCAAGACCAGCCTGGCCAACATGGCGAAACCCCGTCTCTACTAAAAATACAAAAATTAGCCAGGTTTGTTGGCACGCACTTGTAATCCCAGCTACTTGGGAGGCCAAGGCAGGAGAATTGTTTGAACCCAGGAGGAGGTTGCAGTGAGTTGAGATCGCGCCACTGCACTCCAGCCTGGGCAACAGAGTGAGACTCTCTCTCAAAAAATAAAAAAAAGAAAGAAAAAAAAGAAAATTTAAAAACAAACAAAAATATTCTCCTAAATCAGACTAGTTCCCTAGTCTTTCAGGGTCTCCTTTCCCTTCTTAAATATTTATGTACCAACAGGGTTCAGATCTAAACTCTCCACTCTTCTCATACTTACACTCCCTGGGCCATCTCATATACTCTTATAGCTTAAAGTACATTGCTTAAAGTAGACCGTCAAATCTGTATTCAGAATCCAGGCCTCTTTTGAGCCCTAGTGTCACATATCCAGCTGCCTATTGGATACTTCCACTTCAGTGTTCCTCAATCACTTCGAACTTTACTTGTAACTAAATTTTTCTCTTCCAACATATCCTTCTACTTGCCACTGTTTCCTGTCTCAATCAGTGGCTGATATCACCCAGATATCAGAAAATCATTCCTTTTTTGTTTTACTTTTTTTAGATGGGGTCTCACTCTGTTACCCAGGCTGGAGTGTAGTGGCATGACCTTGGCTCACTCTAACCTCTGCCTCCCAGGCTTAAGCCATCCTCCCACCTCAGCCTCCCAAGTAGCTGGGACCAGAAGCCCCATGACACCACACCCAGCTAATTTTTTGTATTTTTAGTAGAGAGAGGGTTTCACCATGTTGCCCAGGCAACTCTTCTCCTCACCCTATGTTCTTCTCAACTCTTCTCCTCACCCTATGTTCTACCAATTCTACCTTCTGAAGCAATTTATGTTAGTAGTAAAAGAAAAACCCACAGCATTTCTAATCAAACAAATCTGATCAAAAACAAAAAAATGTTTAACCTTTGTCACTGAGTGTAACCTAAGGCAAGTTACTTAACTGCTATAAGATGGGGAGAATCACAGAGTTGTGGAAAATATTAAACAAGAATAATGCATATATGGCTGGGTGTGGTGGCTAATGCCTGTAATCCCAGCACTTTGGGAGGCCGAGGGAGGCAGATCACCTGAAGTCAGGAGTTCAAGACCAGCCTGGCCAACATGGTAAAACCCCATTTCTACTAAAAATAGAAAAATTAAGCAGATGTGGTGGTACATGCCTGTAATCCCAGCTACTTGGGAGGCTGAGGCAGGAACTGTTTGAATCTGGGAGGTGGAAGTTGCTGTGAGCCAAGATCACAGTCTCTGCACTCCAGCCTGGGTGACAGAGCATGTGAAGCCTAGCACGAAGGTTAGCCCCAAAATATTTGCTACTATTATATATGTTCATGTCATTCCCCTACGTATAGGGTTCGTGTGATTAAATGTCAATATATTCAAAGTACTTAGAAAGTTTCACACAGCGCTAAATATTACCTGTTAACATTACTGAACTGGAAATATTCTTTTCTTTCTATACTATATGACCTAGTCTAAGCCACCATTATCCCTTGCCTAGAATCTTGCAGCTTCCTCTGATCATCCAGTCTTTTCTTCTCCATACTCTTCTCTATAGCTAGTGATCTAAGGACTTCACTGCTTGAAACCCTTTGCCCTTGGAGTAATTTACCAAATGTTCCTTGAGGACATGTGCTCACTACATGTCTGTCTATCACCAGTATAGGGCCTAACATACAACAAAATACTTAATAAATGTATGTAGCTTTTTATTCATTCTTTCATTCAATTAAATCCCTTCATATCTCTCATGGGTTCTCATGCCCAAAGATTACTCCTTTATCTCTTGAGGTTTCAGACACACAGAAAAACCTTGATATCTTGTGAGGATGTCTTTTCTCATCTTGGTTCTGAGAAGTCTATGTGTTGTCACAAGCACTACCAGAATAAACAGATGCTTCCATGTGGGCGTGCCATAGTAATCTCTAAGCCTTTAACATTCACTTTTGCAAGAATCATTCCTAAAGGTCCTAACACTTAAGCACCTACAACAGAGCCTGGACAAAAGAGGTCTAAGTACCCACCAAAAGACTAAGGCTATCTTTTCCTAATCTAGGGTGTGGACATGTATACCACTTGCTTGTCACTTTGAGTTCCCCTTGAAATCATCCCTGAAGTAGTTGGACATAATAACTGAGCAATCGCATAGCTAATTATATGCATATATATGTAAAAGCACCTGGTGACAAATACAATAGTAATAATACACTATGTGCCAGGTACTGTTTTAAGTCCAATTACATTCATTATCTCATTACATCTTCATAATATGTAGATATTATTCTTCCCATGATGAAGGGTACCAAATGCTTTAGAAATTTGCTCAAGGTCACACAGCTAAAGTAGCACAGCAAGGACTTGAACTCAGACAATTTGGTTCCAGAGCCTGAATTTTGTGCTGAGTAGTTTAATATAAATGATCATTCTAAATCATCTCAAAAATCTGAGCTAGATTTCAGAGTCACTAACCTCGATAAAAAGAAATAAAAAGCCGGGCACAGTGGCTCACACCTGTAATCCTAGCACTTTGGGAGGCCAAGGCGGGCAGATCACCTGAGGTCAGGAGTTCGAGACCAGCCTGGCCAACATGGTGAAACCTCATCTCCACTAAAATACAAAAATTAGAGAGGCATGGTGGCGGGCAACTGTAATCCCAGCTACTCGGGAGGCTAAGGCAGGAGAATCGCTTGAACCCAGGAGGTAGAGGTGGCAGTGAGCAGAGATTGCACCACTGCACTCCAGCCTGGGTGACAGAGCAAGACTCCGTCTCAAAAAATAAAAATGATAAATAATAAATAAAAGATTAAAGCAAAAGGCATTTGAATAAGACAGTAGATAGTACATCTTGATCCCATATATAAATCTAAGCTTGTTTCACTAGTATAGATATGCTTTAAGTGCACCATAAGGGACAGAGAAATGTCTGTTGCAAATGTGTGACATTGTAATGCACTACCAATTCAAAATTGAATCAATGCCCCTGAGTAAGCCCTTCTTAGTGCCCAGGAAATGATGACCCAGAGATGAGCTTGAATAGCCCAATGCTTCCCTGTGACCTCTCCTACTCTAAAGCCAGTGGTACCTAAAAATGATAACATCTTCATGTCAAAGGGTAGCCTCCAGCTTCAGTCCAGCCCTACTCTGGGTCAAACCCTTTTAGGATATGGGGAGGATACTCAGACAAGTAAGACTTTGCAATTTTTTTTTTTTTTTTTTTTGAGACAGAGTCTTGCTCTGTCGCCCACGCTGGAGTGCAGTGGCATGATCTCGGCTCACTGCAACTTCCGCCTCCCGGGTTCACGCCATTCTCCTGCCTCAGCCTCCCGAGTAGCTGGGACTACAGGCGCCCACCACCACGCCCAGCTAATTTTTTGTATTTTTAGTAGAGATGGGGTTTCACTGCATTAGCCAGGATGGTCTCGATCTCCTGACCTCGTGATCCGCCCACCTCGGCCTGCCAAAGTGCTGGGATTACAGAAGACTTTGCAATTTCATCAGCAAAATATGAAAGCATTTGTACTGACTGTGTCTTTAAGCCAGGCTGACCAACTCACTTACCAGCCAATTTTTAACTTTGCTTTTATAGAAATTGTCTTGGAGCTATTCCCTTTGTCCCTATTCTTGTTCTTCACTCTGCTCTTTGCTGCACACATCTACTTAACTTGCCACACGCTATACCCAGTGCTGTGATATAAAGGTGGGGGCTTCACCACTACCTACCACCACTGCCCTGCAGGCTCAGCTTGTTCCATCAGATGCAGCACCAGTACTAACCTTGCCCATACTCCTTTTGCTTTCTTCCCTCTCTACTTGTTTGGAAGTTATATGTCCTATATTCATTCTTTAGTGGTTATTCCAGCTAATATGTATTAGGTTGGTGCAAAAGTCATTGCAGTTTTTGCCATTTCAATGCAATTACTTCTGTACCAATCTATTTAGTTTTTCAAGTCTTATCAGTATCTTTACTTTCCTCCTGAAGAACCCGAAAATTAGTGTTGTAATTGCTCCCTCAACTTTACATGCTATTGTTGTCCAGCATTTTAATTCTAGTCTGTATTTCTCTCCCATAAATTACACACTCCTCTTACAGTGAAGGCTTTAGCAATTTCGTTCAGTGTTCCTTCTTGCATCTGATTCTCCATCTGAGATCATTTTCCTTCCACCTCAAGGACATCCTTTTGTAAGTGGAAACTCTGCTTTTGTCGGAAAATGTTTTTAGTAGCTTTTTAAAAAGTGTCACCTCAGGTAAGCTTTCATAATAAGTTCCTTTTTCTCTTAACATGATGAAGATAAATTTCACTGTTTCCTGGCTTTCATTGTTGACACAGAAGTCACCATCTGGCTGGTTTTCTACAGGTAGTCTGTATTTTCTCTCCAGATGCCCACAATCTTTTCTTTGGTTTTCTGCATCTCACCCTGATGTACTAGGTAAGTTGGTTTATCTTGCTTGAGATTCACTGGGCTCCCTAAGTCTGAGGTTTGGTGCCTTTCATCCAACCCTAAAAAATTTCTCTTTGAATATTGCCTCCTCCTATCTCCTGATGTTCCAAATAATGTTTATTAGATCTTATTCCATTGTTGTCTCAACCTCTTGCCTATTTTCCATTCTCTATCTGGAGTGCATTCTGTATAATTTCTTATCTTCCAATTCACAAATCCTCCTTCAATTTGTCTAATCTATTTAATCCATGCATTGACTTCTTACCTCAAATTTGTATTTTTCACTTCTAATTCAAAAAGGTTTTTCCACTAATTCAAAAAGTTCATTAATCGTTATTTCATTATAGTCTGTGCAACAATGCCAACATCTGAAGTATTTAAAAGATCAGCTTCTGTGTCTGTCTTTTCACTCATTGTGCCTTATTTCTTTGTTCAGTTTATAATTTTTGGGCAAGAGCACTCATTTGCCTTGAAAGTATATCTATGGGAATTGTTCTGAGGCCTTAGAGGAATTGCATTTGCTTCTGAAAATCACCTGGAAGCATAAACAAATGAGTACCACTTTAAATTCCCCAGTTAAGCTTTTTGGACCACACAGGTAGCCTAAGTTTGGACTGAAAGCCCATAGAAGGCCATTTGTGGTTATAAATCATCAGGGAAAATATTCTATAGTTTCCATGTGCCACTAAGGTTGAGACAAATGAGTTCCTTGCTGCGCCCTTCTATGGAGTGTTTATTTCTTGTTCACCTTTACACTGAGGGTGTCCAGCTTTATGAGGGAACCTACTAGATTTCTCATTTCCTGTTGCCCATACTTTGTGTAATCACTAAAATAGAAGGTTATGGTCTGCTGAATTTGGCAAAAATTCTGAGGAAAAGCTGGCTTTGGCAGTTACTTCCTAGGATTCCAGCTTTTGCTTCATTTTGAAGAGCCGTAGGTTCCTTACTTTCGTGCCTGCTCAGCAATATGTTTAAAAGTATTTTTTATAAATATATTTACCCAGTATCTTGGTTGCTTCTGCTGAAAGGACTTTTCAGAATTATCTAATCCAGCATACTGCCAAAAACAGAGCCCTGAATTAGTTTCAAATACGCACACCAACGCACTCCCCCTGCCCCGATTCTGCCAACGCGTGAACTGTAAGACCAAAGCTAAGCCTGCCTTTAAGGTGGAAGGAAAAGAAGAATTGAGGTGAGCCAGGCATGGTGGCTCACGCCTGTAATCACTACACTTTGGGAGGCCGAGGCAGGCAGATCACCTGAGGTTGGGAGTTCAAGACCAACCTGACCAACCTGAAGAAACCCCGTCTCTACTACAAATACAAAATTAGCCAGGCGTGGTGGCGCATGCCTGTAATCCCAGCTACTCCAGAGGCTGAGGCAGGAGAATTGCTTGAACCTAAGAGGCGGAGGTTGCAGTGAGCCAAGATTATGCCATTGCACTCCAGCCTGGGCAACAAGAGCGAAACTTCACCTCAAAAAAAAAAAAAAAAAGAATTGAGGTGAAGACAAAAATTGGGTAATTGACTGGAACATCACCACAAATATCCCATATTTCTTTTTCCTCAGGCATAAATGTCTTATGGCACTGTCCATTAGCACTAGAGATACTGGGGGAAAAGACAGCAGGGTAGTAATACTTTTGTGTCCTCAATAAAAGTGGAATAACCTGTCTTTTTTAAAAAATAAAGTAGTATATGGAGATAAGTATAGCACTTTTTCTCAGGTAAAAAAAAATTTTAAAGCTAGTTGCCACATGCTTATAGCTCCTACAATTATAACAAGTGTAAAGCTCTTAGTCCATTCATGGATAGCTATCCATGGTCATTTTACACTGCATAAAAGGAGAAAAATGTCAGGTTAAAATGATGCAGACCAATCAACCTATCTTACCTCCTCCAGCTTTCTCTTCATCCATGTCTGTCTCTAAATCCTGGATGGATCAGTTGAAGAACTAATGCTTTAAGTGACACAGGCAACAGAACAGTCTTAAAGCTGTGTGAAAAAAAATTGTTCCTAACAATTATCTTGTTTCTTTTTTGAGCTTTCCTGAGGTAGCTCTTTCTGGAAGCTACCAGAGTGATTTAAGTTTCCAGATGTGGTCTCCTTGGCTTTAGCCAATGGGGCCACTTGCTCGCCAGTTGAGATACCCTTTGTAGCTAGAAGTGACACTTAAGTCAAAGTCGGCAATTCCAGGGGATTCTCTGTGACCTACAGGACCCCAAATTAAGGGCTAGCTTCCTGCCTCAGCAACCTGAGCATTACCTACATATGATTTTCAGGATGAGAAGCTTCTCCTACCCAGATACCACACACCAACCTATCACTTACCATTATCTCAAACTCTATTGAAAGCAATGCATTCCTTTGAGATAAAGTTTCCTCTATGAATGCTCTCTTAAAATGGTGATCACCACATCATATTGTCTACATTCACCATGCTAGTATTACTGCCAGTGGAGTTGAAGCCAGTAATCCTGGGTTCCACTTTGAGGCTATAACCTTAAGCAAGTCACTAGATCAGTCCCTTAAGTCACAGTTAACTGACCACATACATCAGAATAACCTGGATGGGCCAGGCATGGTGGCTTATGCCTGTAATCCCAGCACTTTGGGAGGCCTAGGTGGATGGATCACCTGAGGTCAGGAGTTCAAGACCAGCCTGGCCAACATGGTGAAACCCCGTCTCTACTAAAAATACAAGTATTAGCTGGATGTGGTGGCGGGTGCCTGTAGTCCCAGCTCATCAAGAGGCTGAGGCAGGAGAATCGCTTTAATCCGGGAGGCAGAGGTTGCACTGAGCTGAGATCGTGGCATTGCACTCCAGCCCGGGTGACAAGAGTGAAATTCCGTCTCAAAAAAAAAAACAAAAACAAAAACAAAAAAAAAGAGGATAACCTGGATGACTTACCATGATTTTAGATTCCTCAGTCCCACCTACTGAATCGATTTTTGGAAATGGAACATGGGACTCTGCATTTTCAACAAGCATACAGGGAATTCTTATGTAACTTGCTCAGATATACAGGGCTAGGTCTAGTCAATTCCATCTATGAAAATATTAAGAACCTTTGCTTCAGATATAAAAATAGACAAAATGAGAAAAAAATGATATGGAAAGACTGGTTCTTAGTTCTTCCTGGGTGAGGTGATTCCAGTTTGTAGCAAAGAAAATTAGTTCAGCAAGAAAAACAAGTGGCCGGCCATGCGCAGTGCCTCACACCTGTAATGCCAGCACTTTGGGAGGCCAAGAAGGGTGGATCACTTGAGGTCAGGAGTTTGAGACCAGCCTGGCCAACATGGTGAAATCCTGTCTCTACTAAAAATACAAAATTAGCCAGGCGTGGTGGTACACACCTGTAATCCCAGCTACTCGGGAGGCTGAGGCAGAAGAATCGCTTGAACCCAGGAGGCTGAGGTTGCAGTGAGCCGAGATTGTGCCCCTGAGTGACAGAGCAAGACTCTGTCTAAAAAAAAAAAAGTGGCCAAGTGAGGTCCCAGCTTTGACCTCTGTCACAAAGTACATCAGTGTCAAGAAACTTGTGAGATAGGGCCTTTACACATCATTCTGTGTAACATCTCATTGTATTTAGATATGGCACAGAGAGAAGTGTTTTTAAGATCATAGATCTTGTCTATGGCCATATCACCCTGAACGCACACGATCTCGTCTGATCATAGATCTTAGCTATAGAGGATTCTCATGGATTGCAATCTATGAGAAAAGATCCATCTGTTTCACTCTCTAATCTAAACCTAACCTTGACACAACGCTTAGCATATAGGAGGTGCTTGGCAAATATTTATTGAATGAGATAAACAAATGGACCAATCCAGAAGGAAGAGAGAAGAGTAGGGTTTGTATCTAGCTCAATGCCAAAGGATAAGAACATAACAGGGAAATAAAGTGTTGCTGACAAGCAGCCAGGCTTTTCTATTTAGATAAAAATCATCTCAAGCAGGGCTATCAAAACTCTTTGGAAAGTAAACTCTTAATAGCTTTTTGGCTTTGTACTTCAACCTCTAATCTAACACTACAATTGTTAGACACAAATCAAGCTTTAAAAGCTAGTTGATTTCCTGGTCTCACTAGCCCATGAAAGTTTTCATACCCAAGTCCTAGTTCAATAAAACAAGACAGGACCATCATCAGGAGCAGCTATATAATTTTAATCTAAAGATTTGGGCATACAGAAAGCATTTCACATAAATTCTCTTGAGTCTTTAATTATATGACAGGACATAAGGACCTCAGAAAAATAAGTATCTTCCCATAGATCTTAACCCTTGATCTCTGCAGCAAAGATAGTCCCTGGTAATCCAGGTAATATGGTCTGTAAAATATTAATAAATAGGCCTATTGACTTCTGACTAAAGGACTGCATATAGCCTGAGAAGCAACATTATGGCCCAGTGGTCAGTACTTATATACATGGGCCTTTTGATCCTACATTTTCCTATTACGTAGTTGGGATTGGTAGTTTCTAATCTTCTAGTCCTAAGTGTTATATTTAAGAGAGCTACGTATTACAGTGGGCCTTATTCAAGGTTAGTTTTGTCAAATGTTGCAGAAGAATTCCAGTAATTAAAGTAAGTCATTAATTCTTTATGCTTCAGTTTCCTATCTCTAAATTAGCAATAAGCTCCCATGTTCAACTTCAGCCACATTCAATTTTTAAGAATCTTCAGAAGAAAAAATGTTTCACATATAGTTAACAAGAATGTTGCTTGATAAAGAGTTGGGGCTGAGCTCAAAATAAATCCTGGTATAACCTCCTTCTGGTTGCTCTGGAAAGGACACTGATACATAAGGAAGTAACAAAGATGCAAAGCAGGGAAGAAATAACAGCTTGAAGTGAAGAAATGACACAGACCCCCCACATACACACTTTAAAAACTTTATTTATATAAAAAACTCATTTGTTTTTAAAAGCATTAACAAGACAGAAAGAAAAGAGAAAAGGTATGGAGCAGAACACAAGCCCCTTAGTAGTGTTCGGTGGGAAGGTGGGATTTTTGGTTCTCTGGAATTGAATGTTTAGTGTTTTTTATAAACAAAAGAGAGAAAAAAAAGTTAAAGGTCCCCAAAAGCCCACGGCTGTTCTATTACCCACACCCCACCGAGAAAAAAGAGCACCAGGAAAAGAGCAGAAGAGGACAAGAGAGATCAAGAGTGGAGCCAGGTCTGGATGGGGCAATTTTCCCTGTGCAGTGTGCTCTTAGGGTCACAGAGAGCAAAAGGCTCCTTTTTGCCAGAAAAGGTAGATGAAAGTGGGAAGAAATGGGAAGGGGGAAAAGGGTAAATAAGAAATTTTAATGCACGAGTAAAGGGGGTGGTGGGTTGTGCACTTTTCTCCTACCCCATAGCCTCAATATATAAGGGAAGGGGAAGAGAGGGATAAGGAACTCCAGTTGCATGGAACAGAGCTTTTAGATTAGATTAAGGGGAGTAGAAGGCAAATAAGGAAAAGGATTAGAAATAATAATAATAATCAACCCGCATAGCAGCTGATTTCTCTAGCCCAACCTGCTAATTAATATATGCTAAAGTGAGAGGGGGCAATACTGGAGGGAGGGGAGAATTGGGGAGACCACTTCCCTGTAACTCCTTCAGAGATGATGGTAAATTCTGGGCACCTAAGGAGTAAGAGTCACACCACTCACTTCTCTTACCAGCCTTACTTTGAGATTCATCAGAATAGGATTTTTGCAAAATCCCACCCATATGCTGTTGAGCAAAAGCTTGCTATGACTGAAATCATGGCTATACCAATCCTCAATGAAGAATCTGAGGTTCTCTCGGTCACTTCTCTTCTTTCTGCTATTTAGGGCCAATAGTAGGTAAGAAAGCAACAAAATATAATTTGCAAAATTATGAGAAATGAGACTGCAGAGGCAAAGAAAGGCACATGGAAGGGCGGGAGGAGATGCACCCCAGGCCAAAGGCACAAAGAAGAGGCAAAGCCAGGGGCAATCCCCACCTTGTAAGGGAAAAGGGACAGGAGTTATGTACATCAAGTCCTTTAGTTTGCCAACCAATCCAGGGCAGAGGCAAGGGACAGGCCTATAAGGATAGGAAAAGGAGAAACGGGGGAGTGGGGAAGCCAGTTTCAGACTAATTGCTTCATGTACATTCCTACTAGCTCCTCCTAGAGGTCTTCTTCTTCCCAAAAACACATCTTTCTGCTCCTTCTCTACCAAAAGTCTTCCTTGACATTCTCCCCTTTCTACAGCCTCTTGGAAATGGCCAGGCCAACTCAGCAGACATATCACAGGGCAGGAGAGGTGGGTTAAGGACAGCCTGTGTTTAAGGGGCAGCAGCAATAGCCCAGGGTTGGCATGAGGCTTGCAGAAGAGATGGAGTCTGTAGGTTCTTGATGGTCCCTGCCTTGGAGATGAGGAGAGCAAGGTTTCTTAATCCCAGTTTTAGGAGACCTTCACTTACTCAAGGGTCCTTTGCCAGGTGGCATGTGCCAATGTTGCTGGCCTTCTTTGCTTCAAAAATAGCCATTAGGAATAAGGGAAGAGCTCACACTTTCCCCTCTCTAAAAGAAAATAAAAGTCCCTTCCCCATCAGGAAAAAAATCTTGATTAAGAATCGTCAGTTTATCAGACTGCTGGACATTGCATATACAGCATGTAACTTCCAATTCTTCCCACGGCTTCTAGTGAAGATTCCTATTCTCTCCATCCCTCCCCTCCACAAAAGGCCAGGAGTTCCAGGGAAAACTGGCAAAAAGAACTAATCTGCAGCAGTTTCTCAAAATATGCAAATAATTGAGTCAGGTTTCTTGGGAGAAAAATGGAGGGAATGGGGGAGGGGGAGGCGTTGAGACAATTAAACTTCACAGGAAGAAGTTGGGAGTTGATGGAAAGAAGGCAGCCACTTAGGGCTGTAAGGGCAGGAGGCAGCCTGGCAGTTGGCACAATAGTCCAGCGAAGAAAAAGGAAAATCATCAGTCAATTTCACCACCAAAAAATAAAAGTACATATAAGCCCAGATGGAACGGAGATAGTGGTGCTAAATCTTCTGCTGTGGAGAAAAAAGAGAAAGAGAGAATGTTAATGGGGTTGGGATTAAGGAGACCCCCCCCAAAAAAGTTGAGCAAATCTGGAGAAAGGAAAGCAGCACATAACGGAGAATCAGATCACCAGCTGCATGTCCCAGACTCGTAAGAGGTAATAATCACAAAAGCAGAACCCCTCGAGCCCCATGTGGCTGAGACTACTTAGTCTCTGGCCTGATCAGATTAGCGTGATTGACAAGTTGCTGGCACTCAGGAGCCTCCTTCCTCAAGAACAATCTTGGGGGTGACTGAAGGACATACCATGGAGGGGTAAGACACTTGGCCCCCCTCATCATCCAAAACCAACACATCCAACTCTTCCTCCAGAGATTCCTGCCCCTCGTCCTGCTGTGAACACATGCAATTTGTTAGTATGAGTAGAGACAGGAACCTCATGAGTGTGTGCCAGAGCTAGGGAAACTCTGAAAATTTGTAAACTCAAACAAAACAAGATATAATAGTAAGAGAAGGGCAAAACATTCATAAACAGGGAGGGAGAGGAAAAAGGTAATGTTTGAAAGTAGATCAGTTAGTGTTAGTCATATCAGTAACACTTTTACAGACATGCTTCCCCCATTTTGACCACTGCAGAATAACGGCCCAAGAAATCCCAACATGAGTCAGAACTCTTACTTTTTCCTGAAAACCCCTACCAGAAAAGGATGCGATCTTTCTCTGTACTTTTTTTTGTGTTTCACAAAACACATAGGCTTCAAAATAGAACTAGCCTTAGACAGATAGCAGTATATAAAGAGAATTTACCATCAAGGGTGTTGTTCCCTTCAATGGCTCCATGTCGCCTAGATCCCCCGATCGATCCAGTGTTCTATTGTGGTCTCCTCTCTCATTTGGTGTGGAATAGTTGTTATCTGGTTAAAAAAAAAAAAGTACACAGAAATATGACATTCCCCTCTAGTGTAAAACGTATATCAAACAGATAGGTGTAATTAGGCATCACTGTTGGGAACTGAGCTTGTCAAATGCTCCACAAAGGCATTAAAGTCTGATGGTCCCCGACTTAAAGAACTTGAATCTGGCTGACCGTGGTGGCTCATGCCTGTAATCCCAGCACTTTGGGAAGCTGAGACGGGCAGATCACTTAAGGCCAGGAGTTCAAGATCAGCCTAGCCAACATGGTGAAACCCCATCTCTACTAAAAATATAAGAATAAGCCAGGTGTGATGGTGTACACTTGTAGTCCCAGCTACTCGGGAGGCTGAGGTATGAGAATCACGCCACTGCACTCCAGCCCAGGTGAACGAGTGAGACTCTGTCTCAAAAAAAGAACTTGAATCTAAGATGGAAGACAATATGTATAAAATACCCAGAATATGACATAATAAAGCTAAACAAGAGGTTTGTCTGAAAAGGTTATGGGAATTAAAAGAAGAGCGAGTGAAATATGCTGCAATCGTTAGGAAGGACCTGACAAGGGAAAACAGGACTTGAGTTAAGCCTTTGGAGATAAAGAGAATTTAGAAAGACAAAAGGGAAGGACATACCAGTAAGAGGTATTACATGAGCAGAATCAAACTATAGAGTGAATAGATAGAATAGCAAGCAGAATAGTTGGGCAGAAACAGATGTATCCATTCACTCCAGAGAAGGAGACTGGGGTAGGAATATAATGGGCTACAAACTTGAATGTGTAGTAATAGGAGAGGCATAGAAAGATTTCTGAAAACCTTTGAGCATGTAGGAATGTAGAAAAAGTAGACGGATCAGATTTTATTAAATTTCCTTACATCCTTCAAAATGGAAATGATCAGCCAATGCTCTCCCAGGATGGTAAATGGTAAGGGTATTAGAAAAAAAACTATAGAGCTAGACAGCTCTCCTTAGCCAGTGAAATATTACTCCACATCCTTAGGCAGGAATTAATCACCTACCTAGTGATTTTGTGTTTGATCCCATATTGCTCATCTGAATTTCTTCCCGATCAGGTTTCTTATCTGTATGAAGTCAGAAAGTTATCCATGTCAAAAACAATTCTTCAAAATCTGTACACATCATGAAAATTGCTCTCTGGTCCTCCTTCCTTCCCTTCATTCACACTTCTACTTAGCACCAACTATGTGCATCACAATGCCTGGATAATTTTTAAGCTTTTTGTAGAGATGAGGTCTCACTATGTTGCTCAGGCTGGTCTGAAACTCCTGGGCTCAAGTGATTCTCCCACCTCAGTCTCCCAAAGTACTGGGATTACAGGTGTGAGCCATCACACCTGGCCCCTACAGACTCTTAAATCAAAAAACAATTCCATCTAAACTAGCAGTTTTCAAATTATTTGGTCTCAAGGCCGTTTTACAGTCTTAAAAATTATAAGGATCTAAAGAACCTTCATTGGTGTGAGTTTTATGTATTAATTGTTACCATACTGACAAGTTTAAAGTATCTATTTCACTTAATGGTAAACTTCTTACATGTTATCATAAATAATCTTTAATAACATCCTTTTCATTTTTGTATATCTCTTTGAAATTTGGCTTAGATTCTCATACCTGCTTCTGCATTCAATCTTTTGTGATATGTTATTGTAGTTAATGTATATCAAGAAAATCCAGCCTCACACAGATAAAAAGTTGGAAAAGAGGATGATTTTAATAGTCTTTTCAGATAATTGTGGTTATTCTTCTTTAATAGTATACTAATTAGTAGTAGTTTCTTAAAGGTTGACAGTAATGTGGAATCTATAATTAACAATCACTTCATATTCTGTTTAGTTAAAATCCATTGGTCCATCTTGCACTTTTAACGGATCAATTACCTATGTACGATTTTGACATATGTATTTGTCACTTGCAAAATACTGCTTCAAGTTATCCAGATATTCAAAATGCTAACACATAGCATTACACAATATTTTGAAATCACATTCGTTAACATCACTGTTTATTTCATTAGAAAAGTCTTTTTTCATTTTAATCATGTATTTTTTGAGACAGGGTCTTGCTCTGTTGCCCAGGCTGGAATGCAGTAGCACAATCACAGCTCACTGCAGCCTTGACCACCTGGGCTCAAGTGATCTCCCTGCCTCAGCCTCCCAAAGTAATTGGGACTACAGGAATGTGCCACCATGCCTGGCTAATTTTTTTGTACAGACATGGTCTCATTATGTTGCTCAGGCTGGTCTCAAACTCCTGGGCTCAAATGATCCTCCTGCCTCAGTCTCCCAAAGTACTGAGATTATAAGCATGAGACACTACACTCAGCCTAGAAAAGTCTTTTCAGTATTGGGAAGTTACCAGGCTCACAGTGGCAAATAAAAGTTTTTCAAAACTACAATTTCCACTTGAAAGCTCAGGCAGCAAACACTGTGTTATTTTCCTCAAAGCAACAAGCTTATCGCATTCGTTTTTGAGAAAATGTCTGCCAAATGCGCACATCTGAATAATCCCTTTGTCTACCACACATTTTTTTCCAAGTAAAAACAGTGTTCCATTAAACAAAGTGGCTAGTGTGGCTGAGCGCCGGATGTAATCCTAACACTTGGCCAAGGCAGGAGGATCGCTTGACCCCAGGAGTTCAAGACCAGCCTGGGTAACATAGGGAGACCCCATCTCAAAATAAATAAATAAACAATTAAAAAGTGGCTAGTCTAACTAGTAACTGAAACAATAACACAAGTACATTTCCTTAAGACAACCATCATGCTTTAATATGCTATTTCATCAGCACAGAATATTAAAAAGATGTATACTCAAGGGTAGAAAAACAATAAAAGTGATTTTTTTTTTCTTTTGATACGGAGTCTCAACTCTGTCGCCCTGGCTGGAATGCAGTGGTGCAATCTCGGCTCACTGCAACCTCCGCCTCCTGGGTTCAAGCGATTCTCCTGCCTCAGCCTCCTGAGTAGCTGGGAATACAGGCGTCTGCCACCACACCCAGCTAATTTTTGTATTTTTAGTAGAGACGGGGTTTCACCATGTTGGCCAGGCTGATCTTGAACTCCTGACCTCAGGTGATCTGCCCGCCTCAGCCTCCCAAAGTGCTAGGATTACAGGCATGAGCTACCACACCTGGCCTGATGTTTTTTCTTCTCCAGTTAAGTGAAAATGGCTCTCTGCTTTTACCTATGTGAGTGGCAATGAAGACTACAATGACTCATTCAGCTTTATGTCACTGCCCTGGTTTGTGCTAAGCCACCAGCAAGAAGCATCACTGCTTTCTGTGCCATCAGTACAAATTGTAACAATCTTGGGACTCTCAGACCACACTTTAAGAACCAATAATCAAGGAAAAAGCCAAGTGTGATTAAGATAATAATGGTCACAATATACACTTTATGTGAAAAAGAAAAAATTTACAAAACAAAATATATAATTCATCTCAGAGGAAAAATGTGTTTACTCACATGATAAAAATGTTTTAAAAGATACAAGTGGTTTTCTCTGGATAAAAGAAACAAGTGATTTTTTGTTATTTTTCTGATTGTTTATATTTTGTAATTTTAAAATAGTAACTATTACAATATTAAGTATTAAATGGAAATTTAAAAGGAGAAAAAATAGACAAAACAGACTAGAGTTCACTTTCCAGTGTTTTAAGTTCACAAGCAATGATAAAGGAATCACATTCAGGCTAATTACCTGTTTTGTTTTGATTTCTAATGCTTAAGACCTACCCATTTCTGCGTTAGGATCCTGGAGTGGAAAATTATTCCCCTCCCACAAAAGGCTAGCTAATTCAGAAATAATATATATCCTATTTCTTAGTAAGCCACCTAGAACAGCAAGAGTGGCTAAAAGGAGAGGGTGTGCCTTCTGGATACTGCACCTGATTTTTGGTTCCGGTCAATGAGAGGGAGAGTACTATCATCATATGAATGACTGCTCTGGCTTCGGGAAGCATTGTTTAGATTCACCTAGAGGCAAACACAAATGCGACAATGTGACAGAATACTGAATTCACCCTATCTTATGCTCTAATGGGCATAAACCTCTAGGTTCCTATTCCCAAATAGAATCATGAAAAAGCAACTTATAAGAGTTGAATAAATACCCTAGACAGTGAGACAAACTAGGATATTATGGCTTCTATTTGTGTTCCAGAACAGGAGATTACAAAGGATCCAAATATTGACACTATCAGAAGAAAATACAGTTTCAGAGAATAGTAAAAATTCCCTCAAAGGGCTACGGTAGATTTGGGCAAAAGTCAAAAAGGCCATCATCCTTCATCATCACCTGCACCTAAAGTATGTTATGACATAGAGGGATACCTGAGCTGTGTCGGCAACAAATGAATTGTAGACACATCATCCTTTTGAGGAGTAAACCAAATCTTTTTTTTTTTCTTTTTTTTTTGAGACAGGGTTTAGCTATGTTGCCCAGGCTGGAGTGCAGCAGTGTGATGTCGGCTCACTGCAACCTCTACCTCCTGGGCTCAAGCAATCCTCCCACCTCAGCCTCCTGAGTTGCTCGGACTACTGGCAAACAACACCACGCCTGGCTACTTTTATTTTTATTTTTGGTAGAGATGGGTTTCGCCATGTTTCCCAGGCTGGTCTCACACTCCTAGGCTCAGGCAATCCACCTGCCTCAGCCTCCCAAAGTGTTGGAATTACAGGTGTGAGCCACCACACCTGGCCAAATAATTCCTAATTAAGAAATATGGGTCAAAAATAGATTTAACATGAGGCCAGGTGTGATGGCTCATGCCTGTAATCCTAGCACTTTGGGAGGCCGAGGCAGGTTGCCTAAGCTCAGAGTTCAAGATTAACCTGGCCAACATGGTGAAACCTCATCTCTGCTAAAAATATAAAAAATTAGCTGGGCATGGTGGCATGTGCCTGTAGTCCCAGCTACTGGGGAGGCTGAGGCACAAGAATCACTTGAACCCGGGAGGCAGAGGTTGCAGTGAGCCGAGATTGCGCCACTTCACTCTAGCCTGGGCAACAGAGTGAGACTCTGTCTCCGAAAAAGAAAAAAAAAATAGGTTTAGCATGATGGTGAAATGGAAGAAACGAAAGAAAACAGAAGCATTATCCTGGGACCAAGAAAAAAAAAGTAAAAGTCTTGGTCTCAAAAGTTACTATACCTGAAAGTCTGATTTCTTCCATCCTTCTTTTTCCAGTGGCTTCCGCAGTTCCTTATATCCCCAGATTGTCTGTAATACAAGTGCTGCTGCTCGAACTTCTTTTTCTGAGCGGTTCCTTTGGAGGAAAGTAACACCATACGGAATTTGGATATAAAATCAGGAAAAAAGCTTAGACCCTATATCCTCTAATAACATAAGAATATAAATGCCAGGGGCAGGGCACAGTGGCTCCTGCCTGTAATCCCAGCACTTTGGGAGGCTGAGGCAGGTGGATCACCTGAGGTCAGGAGATGGAGACCATCTTGGCTAACACGGTGAAACCCCATCTCCACTAAAAGTACAAAAAATTAGCTGGGCATGGTGGCACGCACCTGTAGTCCCAGCTACTCAGGAGGCTGAGCCAGGAGAATCACTTGAACCCGGGAGGTGGAGGTTGCAGAGACTGCGCCACTGCACTCCAGCCTGGGTGACAGAGCGAGACTCTGCCTCAAACAAACAAAAAAGAATATAAATGCCAAAATGGGTTAAATCAAATTTTTACCAAATCCTGTATTCTATCCCAAATAGCGACACAAGAAAAGTTTGACATGAATCTATTATCAATTTATGGATCAACATTAAGACAGATAATAGAGCAATAGCTCTTCACACATTACACGTAAATAAGGGGAAATTTCCTTTCTTAGTAACCAAAAGAGGAAAACAACTCTCCACTCACTCAAATTCTTTTGACTGTAATTTTAGGTGGTAAGCTCACCCTGATTTGTTGATCAACACCAGCTTCTCAATACCCTGTGTCTCTCGAAGCTTTTTGGCAGCCTCCAAGTTCTCAGCGATAACCTCGTTGATAGTGTTCAAAATAGAGATGACAGTGTCCTCAGAGAAATTCCAAGAGGAGTTCTGCTGTCCTCCTGGCAGATTCTTTACCAAGTTAGGAATAGCATGTTTACCTAGTAAGAAAGAATGTATGCAGGGAGAAAAGATCAAGTCAGGTCATGAAGAGCCTTACATTATACTTAACTGCATTAATCATATCAAGTGTAGGTGCTGTCCACATGAATCAACTTCATTATCCTATAGGATTATCATATCAAAAGGGCTAAGGACCTGAAATAGCCATGGATTTACTGTCCTACCTATTCCTTTATTTCTTTTCTACTTCAACCACATTGAAAGTGTAAATACTGTATATTAAATAAGCTACACAGTCCTTTCAGATACTCTAATGAAAATATCTTGAATATTATAATAATTTAATAGAAGAGTTATTATGAATTTAAAATATAAATAAATAACTGGGTTCTGCTACTAACTAGCTACATTAACTCTGGGCAATTTACTTAACTTCCATGAGTTATTTCCTTATCCTATTTAAAAAAATGGACCTTTGTAAAGTGGTGAGGATTAAATGGAAACACAGAAGTGTTTAACAACGCTTAGTAACAAAGTAAGTGCTCAATAAATAATAGCAATTATTATTTTATTTTTGAAGAGTTGTCACTTGTTTTCTTTCCAAGAACCATTAAACTAAAACCCTTACCAACTCTCGCATTCATAAACTATGAAGCGGGGGAGGGTCCTTCCCTTCAGTCATTTCAATAAATTCAATAAATTATTAGGCACCTGCTGGACTACAAACACTGTACTAAATTTTGAGGTAACAGTTAGCATTCAACTCCTCACCAATTAATTCTTTGTTGCGAGCATCCACAGCCAGGTTTCTCAGTGCTCCAGATGCAGCTTTCACCACCCGTTCATGTTCATTAGTCAGGAGGTCAGCTATGGCAGAAAGAGCCTTCTCTTGACGCAGAGCAGAGCGGATGTATCGACCATACTAGAATAGCAAATAGAAAGGGGTGGAACAAATTACAAATGGCAGCAAACTAGTTATCTAAGTTTTCCCATCTCCAAATCCCTTTTCTAAAAGGTACCGTCCAGCGCCCAGCACACAAGTTCTGGATAGCTCCAGCTGAGGCTTCTAGGATGGCAGGAGTCTTGCTCTCCTTAAGAAGTGAGATGTATATCCGAACCACCTCTGGCTGAAATAAGAGCTCATAGCCTGCACAAAAGAGAAATAGAAGCAGAGGGTGCTAATCAGTACCAATAAACCAGGCTCTAGCTGGCTGGAGTCCAGCCTTAGTACTCTCAGTTGATGGATTTATGCTTCTATACCATCAGGTTCCCTAAACTCTCTCACACTCTCTACAGCAAACTTAGAGGCCAAATTCCATGTCTTAAGAATAATGAATCCATGGTAAGAGTAGAACAAATATCAACTCATTATACTCAACTCCTCTCTTTCCTTCCTTCTTGCCTCCTCTCCCATAGCTTTGCCTTTGGTTCTACCATGAGCGCTCAGGGGCTCCATTTAGCTCATTGACAGCACTCAAGGTTAAAAATTCCTCATCTCAAATCAATTATTTCTAACTTAACCCAGTCATTCTTCCCACCTCTGCGATTACTACAAGGGTCCATTATAGATTAAACGTTTACAATTTTTATATCCATGGAGAGCTGTGAACTTTGGACTCACTGTATTGATGAATATAAAGATCCAAATTTCTTTTAGTAAAGTACAAAAAGTATCTTTTCTTTTTTTTTTTTTTTTTTTTTTTTTTGAGACGGAGTTTCTATCTGTCGCCCAGGCTGGAGTGCAGTGGCGCGATCTTGGCTCACTGCAACCTCCGCTTCCCAGATTCAAGCAATTCTCCTGCCTCAGCCTCCAGAGTAGCTGGGATTACAGGCACCCACCATCATGCCCAGCTAATTTTTGCATTTTTAGTAGAGACAGGGTTTCACCATGTTGGCCAGGCTGGTCTCAAACTCCTGATCTCAGGTGATCTGCCCGCCTCGGCCTCCCAAAGTGCTGGGATTGCAGGCATGAGCCACTGTGCCCAGCCTAAAAAGTATCTTTCTTGGTAAAGAAGCCTCTTTTAATAGTGAGGTTTAAGTCTCAGGCACTACAGTGGCCATTTATGGTTCCTAAATTTCTGCTCTATACTACCATCAGGACCTTATTCTATCCTCAAGTAACCTGAATAACTGCCTTAACAAGCAGTCCTTTTTAAGTTACTGCTATAATACTATGCAGCTTCCCAATACTTTCACAATCATTTCAAATCTGTAAGTTGGAAAAGAGAGGACAATAAACGTATTACATAAAGTCTGCTGTTAGGTTACTAAATATCTTATCTTTGTACTATGTTTATGAGACCTTTGGAGACTGAGAAGATAACTTACCTCGAGCTGGACTCGTTCTTTTAGGGAAATCCACTGTATCGTTTGCTGGATCCTCTATAGGTTTTTTCCCTACAAAAATGAAAAAGGGCGGGAAAAGGGGTAAGCCAGTTTAAAAAAGAAAAGATTCCACCTGGCACATTTTTCATCCTTCAGTCAGAACCTTTTGATCACAGATGCACCACGAGGGGAAAAGGGGCAGGTGAGGGCAACTTGTTCCAGCAGGGGACTATTCAGAAACAAGGATAGAAAACAGGCAGCAGATAGGTAAGATGAGGATGACCACTGTTGATGCTATTGTCCTGAGTTCTGATAATGGGGACTGCTGCCCAGAAACAGCATGCCGTGAGCTATTAGCTCCAAAGAGCTAAACTTGTTTCAGTGTCTTCCTCAACTGAACTTTCCTACATGCATAGACAGGGAAAGGTTAGGCAAGGACATACTAGGGAAGCTAAAATCAAAACATGCAAATTAGAAGTAGATAAGCACCTTAAAAGACTCCACTCACCTCTGGAGAACCACTCATCTTCCAGTGCATCACCCAAGGTAGAAAGCAGAGAAGAGAAATGAAATAAGAAAAATGCAGGAGAAAGATGTCAGCAGAATCATGGGCAAATAAGCAGGGAAGCACAGAGAAGAAAAGAAAAACACAGAAAATGCAAAGGACGTATGGGGAAGAAGGTCCCAGATTAGTTGAGTTCTCATTTTCCACTGCCCCACTCATTGATACCACCACCACCACCACCACCACCACCACCAACACATCACAACCACCATCCCATCACCACACCTTGAATGAAGCACACAACACAGGGAAAGCAGCAAACCAAAAAGACATCCATAACCAGGCAGACTCCCATACTGTTGCCAAGTATTTTGTACCTTAAGCTAAAGTGTTCCTTCCTTTCCCTATCCCACATTAAAGACTAAGAAACAGGAACCAAGACTCACCTTTGCCCTTCTTGGCCCCAAAGCAACTGGCAGCATGTGGCCCAGTATTGTTGGCAACATTGGGAGCTGCCTCTTGGTAACGCTCTGCCTGTGGGATCTCCCGGTGAACTTGATATGATAAGTTCCGAAGAAGGCAAACACAGTTCTCTACAAGCTTAGGGACATAAAAGGGCCAATGAGAAAAAAGAATGTCTATTGTGATTTCTCCACAAGTACAGGTTTCCATGACTCAGGTATTAAAATGTTGATCTTCAAATGCATAACCCAATCCATAACTTCTCAGGATGCCTCTTAAGTGCTCCAGGCTTCTTGAAATCCCGGTAGCCTCAGGCTAATGGAAGGTCCAACTATGGACTTATTGGCTTCTGCCACTATTTGGTGTGTGACTGAAATTGGATCATCATTCTTACTACTTAGACAATGTACAATTTTGGAAGACAGCTAAGCAGCTTTAAAATACATAGGTGACAGATTTAAAAAAAAAAGAAAAAAAAGCCGGGCACAGTGGCTCACACCTGTAATCCCAGCACTTTGGGAGGCCGAGGCGGGTGGATCACCTGAGGTCGGGAGTTCAAAACCAGCCTGACCAACCTGGTGAAACCCTGTCTCTACTAAAACACAAAAATTAGCCGGGCATGGTGGCAGGTGCCTGTAATCCCAGCTACTCAGGAGATGAGGCAGAGAATTGCTTGAACCCAGGAGGGAGAGGTCGCAATGAGCCGAGATCACGGGACTGTACTCCAGCCTGGGACAGAGCCAGACTCCATCTCAAAAAAACAAACAAACAAACAAAAAACATGTTTTAAGTTGAATACCCACTTTAAGGAGTAAGGGCTTGGCTGGGCACAGTGGCTCACGCCTGTAATCCCAATGCTTTGGGAGGCTGAGGCAGGGGGATCACGTGAGGTCAAGAGTTTGAGACCAGCCAGGCCAACATGGTGAAACCCCGTCTCTACTAAAAATACAAAAATTAGCTGGGTGTGGTGGCACACGCCTGTAATCCCATCTACTTGGGAGGCTGAGGCATGAGAATCGCTTGAACCCAGGAAGCAGAAGTTGCAGTGAGCTGAGATCACATCACTGCACCCCAGGCTGGGCAACAGAGCAAGACTCTGTCTCAAAAATAAGGGGTAGGGGACAGTATAAATATTTAATGTTACTTGAAAGCCTGAGATGATAGGTCTCTGACCTACAGATACTTCATAGTTGTGGTGAATGAAATTCACTCAGCCATTAAAGGTAAGACAGCACTTACCTTGCTGTCTGAATCCTTCTGCCCAATCTCAGCCTGAACAATGAAAATGAGGGCATCAACTAAACCATCACATTCCCGAAGTTTCCGGCGAGCTTCACTCCTCTCTGAGCTTACATTCCTGAGGGGAAACCAGAAGCTTCAAGATGACTCAAATCCAGAAATCCTCCCTTAAATATCCCTCAACACCTACAAGATTCCTGAATATGTTTTTCTACTCACTGTAATAGTAAATACCTATTATAAGCAAGGTACTGCAGTTGAGAGAAAGTTGATTAACAGTCCCTGCCTTCTGAATGTTTATATCACTGTGGGGTAGGGATTAATGATATGTACCAGATGCAGTAATTCAAGATGGAATATATACTTCTCGTATGGAAGTATATAATACATATGTAGAATGGAACACAGCACACAGAGGTGTATTCCAAAGAGAGAAAGATTATATAGCAGCATTTATAGGATATAAAAAGAATTCAGGAAAACTTTAATAAAATAAAGGCACTTGAGTTTAACCACAAAAAGATAAATAAGAAGAGAAAGGCATCACAGAAAGAACAGACCTTCCTCACCCATGCCCTAACCTCCTAGTACTCTGTACCCCTTTTGCTGAATTTATCACAGCCTGACTTGAAATACAAATAACTAGGGCAAGGACATAGACACACACAAGTCCAGGACTAGACCACCTTACATGTGGTAGATGCTGAACAAAAGCTTACCAAAGTAGATGAACAAAGTCAAAGAGGCATAAAAGTGAAGAGGATGTGTGGGGAACAGCAAGAAAACTGATATAGGTACATGTGGTATACATGAGAGAATAGCAACAAAGATAGAAAGGTTGGAGTTACAGTATGCAATACAGATAGGAATGGAGGCTAAAGAATAGGCTAAAGAATTTTAATTTTTTTTTTTTTTTAGGAAATTTAAGTCAGTCCTCAAAAATTCATCTTCATATTCTCAAAGTCCCTACTGTTACCTAAGGCAGCCAGCTGTGTTGGTGAGCACCGATTCCCACTCAATGTGGCGTGGCTTACAGTCTTCATTAGGTTCCCGCTCCCAACCAGAATGAGGAATGATCACTTCATCTGTCAAGGCATGCAGTGCATGGTCCACAATCTCCATTTTGATTGAGTCATGGGATGAAAGATTCCACAGGGTTCCTGGAAGAGACAATTCATCAGATGGCTCTTGAGCATTCAAGACAATATGTCTGAAGAACGTCAAAGAGAATCCCCCTATCGTATCACTTCTCAGTCTTCCCCAGTGACCAAATACCTTATAGTAATATTCAAGCTTTGTTTGCGACCCTCACCAAGAAACATATTCTACATTATAGCTCAAAATAAACATACAGATCATGAAACAAACAATGTTTAACTATAAGCAACGCTCAGGCTGGGTGTGGTGGCTCACGCCTGTAATCCCAGCAATTTGGGAGGCCAAGGCGGGCGGATCACAAGGTTGGGAGATCAAGACCATCCTGGCTAACACTAAAAATACAAAAAATTAGCCGGGCGTGGTGGCGGGCACCTGTAGTCCCAGCTACTTGGGAGGCTGAGGCAGGAGAATGGCGTGAACCCATGAGGCGGAGCTTGCGGTGAGCTGAGATTGTGCCACTGCACTCCAGCCTGGGTGACAGAGCGAGACTCCATCTCAAAAAAAACAAACAAAACTATAAGCAATGCTCAATGCTCTCCGATCTGTCTATACCAGAGTTTTTCAACCTCAGCACCACTGACATTTTCGGCCAGATGATTCTTTGTTATGAGGAGCTGTCTTGTCTATTGTTGGATGTTTACCAGTACCCCTGGCCTTTACTCACTAGATGCCAGTAGCACTCCCTCTCCCCTGTTCCAAGTTATAACAACCAAAAATATCTCCAACACTGCAAATGTCCAAATGTCCTCAGGGCAGGGCAGGCAAAATGGCCCACAACTGAGAAACAATGGTCTATACTACTTTTTCTTTATTCCTTTCCCTTGGAATGCTGATTATGCTCCACAAAATTTTGTTTTATTCACTAACGGATCACACAAATAGATCACAACCCACAATCTGAAAAACTACTGCTCTAAATAAAGCAAGAACCACAAGCTTAAATGTCTATATGGGTCAAGCCGGTGAGTCAAGAGAGGAAGATAATTAAAAGAAATTACAAGCATGTGAAAAAATAGCAGTTGACAGCTCCATGTTTGGGAAACAACTTCCTAAACAGCTGTAGTTGGTCAGATAATAGAATGTGTTGGAGATTAGTGTAAATTAGAGAGCACATGCTCCAATCAGTTCAGACCAAATACTGCTAAGGAAGAAAAGAGATCCATTGTTAACAACTCTTCCACGTTTTTAATAGAAGCCAAGAATCTGGAATTTTAAGTGAAATCTTCTGAATTTTAAACATCAGCAACCAGTTCTTTAAAATTTCAATAATGCTGTGTGATCCAAACAAATCTGTGAGATGGATTTGACCCACAGCCACCAGTTCACAACCTTTCATCAAAAGTAAAAGGTCTGGAAATCCCTCTAGTTCTCAACATCACTAGAGAGTAACACTGACTTAGCAATTTTCCTTAGGCCTAGAACTCACCGGTAATAACTTCAGTAAGGTCCATATCACGAGCCTTTCGAAGCAATCGCACAAGGGCAGGCACACCATCACAGTTTTTTATGGCAATCTTGTTATCCTGGTCACGTCCAAAAGAGATATTCTTGAGAGCTCCACAGGCTCCAAGGTGCACTTCCTTTTTGGGATGGTCTAACAATCCCACCAGTACTGGGATGCCCTTGAGCTTCCGCACGTCAGTCTTCACCTTGTCATTGCGGTAGCATAAGTGTTGCAGGTATGCAGCTGCATTGGACTTGACAGCATCCAAGCGGAATCCAAGCATGGCGATCACCTCTGGCAGCTCTGGCTGTCTCCAATTAGGAGGTGGAGGCCCTCCTTTGCGCAGGCTATCCAAGCTTGCTAAACTTCCTCGCTCATGCTGGGCCAAAGGAGCCCAGTAGTATTGATCCGATGGCACCTCCTCACCAATCATGTCTTCATAGCTCCTGAGAAGTTTTGGAAGAACCAAGAGAATACATCAAGTCATTATGGCTAGCTTCCTGGACATTCCCATTACCCTCATCTGCAAAGGAGGATTAACTGGAGTTTCAGTGTGCTCATCTTATCTCTCCTTTGCATGAATAATATACTGATCAATTTTCCTCAATGGGTTAGTAAAAATAAAAGGTAATAATTTTAAAAACACCTGCAATTTAATTAAAACTACATTTTTTTCTTTGAAGTCTGCAGGCTTAGAAAGTAACAAGCATTCAGGAAAGGCTAATCAAAAAGAAAGAACCAAATCCTTACTACTTATCATTTATTTGAATGATATCTGACAGTTATTAACTTGTCTAGGTAGAGATCAGGATAAACTCTCAGAGAACAGAATTAACCAAAGCAACTGACTCAATGCCACAGAAGTCTGAGAACAGTTCCTTAACCAAACAGGAAATTAGGCATTTACACACAGGAAACAACTGGTAGGATAAGACCTTTAAATACATTTCATATTTAAGCTTCTCCTTATCCTATTTTGGAAATTATAAAAGATGGATTGATAGAGAAAAACTAATAAAGGGCTTCCTGCTACATCACAGGAGGATCTGGCTTTGGTACTGATGAGGTATAAACTTGAAAAGTAATTTTCACAGTCATTCCAAGGTCATGTCTGCTACTCAACAAATGTGTTAAGAGGTAAGATTCCATCCTCCAATTTCTAAAGACAATACCTCCAGCTCTTTCAAAATGAAGCCTATTCACCAACATCACATTTGGGAAGCCCAGCCACTAGGAACAGAGAAAGCAATTGAAAGTAAGAAAAATCAAACCAGGAGACAATTCTTCCTGTTTCAGTACTACCAACAACCACTAGAGGGTGAGTCTGTCACACTATTATTTATTCGTAACTACCAGGAAGGAAGAAACCCATTATCTGTGAGCTCATCTCTTTCTGGCTCCCACAGGAGAGGATAATCTATTGTGTGGAGCTCTCCAAATAAGCCATTGTTTGTTCTACAAAACCACTCCCACTGTCAACAAATACTCAAGGTTGCCCTGAGCAGAAGGCCTGCCTCACAGGTATCAACATCAACTATGCAACAGTGATTCAGATGGACAAAGCATTTAGTAAACCATGACCAAGATGGTCTTAAAATAACACGGAAACAGGACCAGGCATGGTGGCTCACATCTGTAATCCCAGCACTTTGGGAGGCTGCAGTGGGCGGATTACCTGAGGTCAGAAGTTCGAGACCAGCATGGCCAACATGGAAAAACACCATCTCTACTAAAAATACAAAAATTAGCTGGGCATGGTGGTGGGCACCTGTAATCCCAGCTACTTGGGAGGCGGAGGCAAGAGAATCGCTTGAACCCAAGAGGTGGAGGTTGCAGTGAACTGAGATTGTGCCACTGCACTCCAGCCTAAGTGACAGAGCGAGACTCTATTTCGAAGAAAAAAAAAAAAAGGTCAAGATTAAACCCTTCAAATCAAGAAGGGGGTACTAAAAATGCCCAAACAGCTGGTAAAACAAAATTGGTTGTCTTCTAAACTATTATGTATCACTTTTGCATCCACCCCAACCATAAAAATTTTCTGCTTACTATAAAATTAAGGAAAAGTATTTACTAACATTATAAAATACCATGCATGGAACAAAAAGCCTCCTGGGTATAATACCAGATCGCACCACTGCTCTCCAGCCTGGGTGACAGAGCAAGACTCCATCTCAAAAAAAAAAAAAAAAAAAAAAAAAACACGGAAACAAAATGAATAGCTTAGATAGCTTAAAAGTAGGCTATTAAGCAGTATGTTAAGATTCCATTTTAGTAGAGGGAAAATAGGATATAGTTACATGTATAATTAAAAAAACTCAAAGGATATGCACCAAAATGTTAACAGTGGTTCTTTATCAATAGATGGTAATGCTTTTCTGGGTTTTTCAGGCTCTGTATTGAACATGTTTAACCTCTATTATTAATATACAAAATTATAAGAACAATTACCATAACCAAAATTTCCAGATAACTCTATCCTATATCCTTTTCTATACAAAGGCAGTGGATTGGACATTCTTTCCTTTGTTTTACAAGAAACAAAGCTGTGCCTGGGAAGACCAAATGACTTGCTTGAGGCTACTTAGCTAGTGGCAAAGGCACAACTAGAACCAAGGTCTCAGGGTTCAGTGCTTTTTCCACTAATCACTGCCTCACTGTTTAAGTTTGACCTTGTATTACTCTTCTAGCCTGGAACAGGAAGCAGCAAATATGCTTGCTAGTCAAGCAGGTTTCCAAGTCCAGTGCTACCCTGGAACAAACCCAAGAACCAGGCCCAAAACTCTATGTGAACTAGCACAACTAGGGATGGCAGAGAATGACCTGGCCACCCACACCCATCTGGGTCCAATCACTCTTTACTAATGAGGAAGTCAGAAAAAGCAGACTTGCAGTAGAGCCAACACCCTGGACAGACTGCTTCAATGAAGGCTGTTATCTACCACTGCTCTAGGTTGCACCAGCCGAGGTCTGGTGCTCCTGTAGGAATAAAAATGAGTCACATGGGAGTTGGATTAGCTATCCAAGACACCTGAAAGGTGAGTGACTCAGTCTTAGATAATGGGGCCTCTACCCCTGGGCCCAGCCCTGTTCACTCTTAACCAAAGCTACCTAATATATGAGGAAAATGAGCACCAAGGCATTTGCTTTAAAAGGTCATGACCCCATATAGAGAAATTCAGCAACAGCTGCTAGGATATCCTTACCATCAAGACAACCATAAATCATCCCTTGTTTCTTATCATTTCTCTTTACCTGGAAAACACTGTTTCTAATTTATTCTGAAGCAGCATTGGCAGCCCATGGGCCAAACCTGTTTTTGTACATCCCCATAATGCTATTTTTAAAAGATTGTTTGAAAAAAAGAACAACATACGACAAAGATGATACATGGCCTGCAAAGCCTAAAATAGTTCTACGTGGTCATTTTCAGGGGTCTGTCGACCCCATTCTAAAGCATTCTCTCAATGCAACAAGGCAAACCATGTACCAGTCCAAACATCAATCACTCCTTTTTTCACATCACCAAAGAATCTCCAGGAACAAGTAGTAAAGTCAGAGTAGGCAGCTGCTTAGTGACCTTTCAGAGTGTTGCTAATGTATCCCCCGACCCCCACCCAAGGATGCCACCACAATTTCACTTTACAATCAAATAATAAGACCCTAAGCATAGAATGTCAAGGCCCTTGTGAGGTCAAAGTTTGTTTTTAACTTTGGGATTAAAAACACAAGAAAGTTCTTATACACGTCCTCAACTGTCTCTTTTGGTTCTGAATTCCTAAAACCCTCAACTATGTTTTGTTTTGGGGTTTTTTTGGCTTTTTTTTTTTTTTTTTTGAGACAGTCTCACTATGTCACCCAGGCTGGAGTGCAGTGGCGGGATCTCGGCTCACTACAGCCTCTGCCACCCGGGTTCAAGTGATTCTCCTGCCTCAGCCTCCTGAGTAGCTGAGACTACAGGCACGAGCCACAACACCCGGCTAATTTTTGTATTTTTAGTAGAGACAGGGTTTCACCGTGTTAGCCAGGATGATCTCGATCTCCTGACCTCGTGATCCGCCCAACTCGGCCTCCCAAAGTGCTGGGATTACAAGCGTGAGACACCGTGCCCAATGGACTCTGTTCTTAATACCAAATCAGAAACTAAAGAAATTCCCAGGAAGAAGTGAGCAAGAATTCCATGGCCCCAGACATCAGAATCCTCTGCCTAACACACCAAAAGGGGGTCACATCTTAGCCAGAAACAGCAAAAACTTCAGCATAGAAGCAGAAGCAAAGTTCATTCTTCAGGACACAGACTAATAACAATCACAAGTTGTTTTTTTTTTTTTTTTTTTTTGAGGTGGAGTTTCGCTCTTGTTGCCCAGGCTGGAGTGCAATGGCATGATCTTGGCTCACCACAACCTCTGCCTCCCGGGTTCATATGATTCTCCTGCCTCAGCCTCCCGAGTAGCTGAGATTACAGGCATGCACCACTACGCCCAGCTAATTTTGTATTTTTAGTAGAGGCGGGGTTTCTCCATGTTGGTCAGGCTGGTCTTGAACTCCGGACCTCAGGTGATCCACCCACCTCAGTCTCCAAAAGCGCTGGGATTACAGGCGTGAGCCACCGCGCCTGGCCCATATATTCAATTATAGAAAACAACTTGTGGACCAGGCGCGGTGGCTCACGCCTGTAATCCCAGCACTTTTGGAGGCCAAGGCGGGTGGATCACCAGAGGTCGGGAGTTTGAGACCAGCCTGGCCAACATGGTGAAACCCCATCTCTACTAAAAATATAAAAATTAGCCAGGCGTGATGGTGCTTGCCTGTAGTCCCAACTACTAGGGAGGCTGAGGCATGAGAATCACTTGAACCCAGGAGGCGGAGGTGGCAGTGAGCCAAGATGGCACCCCTGTACTCCAGCATGGGTGAAAGAGCAAGACTCTGTCTCAAAAAAATAAAAAATAAAATTATATTATTTTCATTTAAAAAATTATATATATATTTATATTATATATATATAGCAAGTCAATACTAAGCCAAGTCAGAAAAGGGAAAAACAGGGTAGCTTTTCACCCCAAAAAAAAGCAGAGGGGAGGAGGCCACGAGTATCTCTGATCCCAAAAAGCCCCTAGAAGTTGAAGGAAAAGCTACCCCTTGTCCCTGGTCTTGGAAAGACCCTTTTCTCTTCCCCTATTCTTGCCTACCTGAGGCGCCGACGAGGGTCAGAGGGTGTCCCAGTCCGACGGGCAGTGCCATAATCAGACATCATACCATAATCCAGGTCATCATAGCCCATACTACGCTGGTCATCCTCTAGCCCATAAGGCTCTGGATGAAAGCGATGCAGATCCACGCTGCTCCCACCTACCCGAACCTGGGGTTGGGGCCCATACACATCCTGTCTACTAGGTGCCCGGTAGCCTTCCATGCTGGGCCTATACCGCTCCTCAATGCGGGTCACCCGGGACAGACTGCCATAGTTATCACTGCCACCTGGATAACCATCTTCATAGTGGCGACTATAACCATCAGGAGGGTAGTGGAAGTTCCTAGGAAGGGTAGCAGTGCCAGCTTGCCCCACATAGGGACCAGGTCCCCCATTGCCATTCTTGCGGAAATCACGACCCAAAGTCTGGATATAGTTGTTAGAAACTGATGAAGCATCCACAGGCAACCCGTCTGGTCCCATAGCGACTGGCTGTACTGTCCGTGTTGTCACAGTCTTCACTACTTTCTTGACCTGCAAGTAGGAAACAAGAAAAAGAAAAACTAATTAAGGAAGTGAGCAATTAAATTCTTTTTTTTTTTTTGAGATGGAGTCTTGCACTGTTGCCCTGGCTGGAGTGCAATGGCGTGATCTCGGCTCACCTGCAACCTCTGCCTCCCAGGTTCACGCAATTCTCCTGCCTCAGCCTCCCGAGTAGCTGGTATTACAGGCACACACCACCACACCTGGCTAATTTTTTGTATTTTTAGTAGAGACGGGGTTTCACTATGTTGCCCAGACTGGTCTCAAACTCCTGACCTCGTGATCCGCCCACCTCAGCCTCCCACAGGGCTGGGATTACAAGCGTGACCCACCGCGCCCAGCCATGAACAATTAAATTCTATACCACTCCAAAAGAAACAAATCTTTATATCCCTAGGTCACTTTACCTAGGAATGCCTTAAAGCCTACCATCTATCTTTCTTTCCATCCTATAGGAAGTCCCCAAGCAGGAAAATTGCCCTGACAGTAACTATGCTTATAAGGGAAGCTACTATAGACCCTGATATACCTTCTGTCTTCCCTATCCCATAAGATTTTCCCATCTCTTCATCCTTTCTATCTGGCCAGAGATCACTTCATGCAATCAGATCAATAATGGCATATCAGTCCTCCATCTTAATTAAGTGCTTAACCCCTCCCCTAATAGAGAAGAAAAGACCTCTTATCACTTCCAGATCTTACACACGTCTTAGTTTACCGTGGTCTCTGTGCGCCGAGTGGTCCCATCATCTGAGGTCTCCACAGAGACTACAGACATGGCTCCCTCAGGATCCTCCTCCGTGTAGGTCTCCACAATCTGCCCCGGCTCCTGCATCCTGGGGATGGTGCTATATAGAAGGTGACTGTGATCCTATATGCAAAAGAGAAAAGAGAAGAAACTACTATTAAGTGCTATGTATAACAAGCCATCCTAATAAGAAGCATAAGTGGTAAACCTGGAGACAGGGACTCCTCATGCATCTTCTATAGGCCTCAGGATTTTTAGATGGGTGGCTGTCATCTTTTGAACTTGTACAAAAGGACAGTAGACATAATTTCCCAGTTGTAGTCATTTAACAAACATGAACTAACTATAGCCACATCAACATCCAAGTGACAGACAGTAGATTTAACTTCCCAGCTGTGGTCATCTAAGTGAACATGAACTGTGTTAAATGCAGTTTCATCTATATCTGAGTGATCCCTCAAAAGAGCAGCTCACCCAATAAATAAATAACTTGTATTTATTTACTTGAGATAGGGTCTCACTCTATCACCCAAGCTAGAGTGCAGTGGCATGATCATAGCTCACTGGAGCCCCAACCTCCCAGGCTCAAGCAATCTTGCCATTTCAGCCTCCTGAGTAGCTAGAACTACAGGCTCACGCCACCATGCCTGGCTAATTTTATTTTTTTTGTAGAGACAGGGTCTATGTTGCCCAGGCTGGTCTTGAACTCCTGGGCTCAAGCAATCCTCCAGCCTCAGCCTCCCAAAGTGCTGGAATTACAGGAATGAGCAAACCACGCCTGGCCAAAATAAAGAACTTTGTTTTTTTTTTTTTTTTGAGACGGAGTTTTGCTCTGCCTTGGCCTCCCAAAGTGTTGGATTACAGGCATGAGACACCGTGCCCAGTCTAAAATAAAGAACTTTTTTTTTTTTTTTGAGACAGAGTTTTGCTCTTGTTGCCCAGGCTGGAGTACAATGGCATGATCTCAGCTCACCACAATCTCCGCCACCTGGTTTCAAGCAATTCTCCTGCCTCAGCCTCCCGAGTAGCTGGGATTACAGGCATGTGCCACCACGCCTGACTAATTTTGTATTTTCAGTAGAGACGGGGTTTCTCCATGTTGGTCAGGCTGGTCTCCAACTCCCGACCTGAGGTGATCTGCCCACCTCAGCCTCCCAAAGTGCTGGGATTACAGGCATGAGCCACCATGCCTGGCCAAAAATAAAGAACTTTTAAGACAAACCTGAAAATCCCAGTAAGAGCCATCTTTTGACTGGCTTTATGTTACTCTTCAGATACCGTCTAAAAGGCTCAAGACCAGCCAGATTTTAGGTAGGGTTTTTTGCTGCAAAGTAGAAGCCTACTGTCTCTAGAAAAGAAACGCAGTACTTAGGGATCAAATGGGGTGGCAGTGGGGAGGAGGAATAGTCATAAAGATCAATGGTCATTAAAATTCATTCCAAAACAAAACTGCATATATACTTTGGAGCTCCACTTCTTTGTTTTCGTAAATAAAAGAAACTAATTGACGAGTATGTACAATGTGCCAGGCACCTTACAAGACACAAATATGCTCTTATAGGCTGGGGAAATAAGAAAATATGAATGAAGCAACCCAGGTCTTGAGCCAAAGAATTACCTGGGGTCCGTTGAGTTTCAAATCTGAAAATTTCTGTCTTTCAAGGTCAGCATCGCCCACAAACCGGCCGTTCTGAAACACAGCCCACAAGAAGACAATTCATTTTGTGGCCTTCTTTTGCTCTATCAAATACAAACGATCTTTTTTTCAAACAGGAAAAGGGCTTTCAAGAAGATATGTGTGGCCTGGAGTCCTTGTGTCAGTACTCATAAAAGAACCATTCACTCTTTAGTCTTAGCACTTTCCTCAAAATTGAAAATCAGGCCTGGAACTCTGGCAGACAGGGTCTCTGGAACATAAGAACGTAAACTCCACGAGGGCAGAGGGTTTTTTGGGATAAGTTTAGTTTAGTCTAGTGCCTTGAACAGTGCCTGGCACATAACAGGTGCTCAAAAACTATTTGCTGAATAAACAGCACAGACCTAGATAATTTCCCTTACATGCAACCTTTTTGGAAAGCCATAAAAATGTAAGGAAAGTTGGAAGGGCTAAGTTGGGGGGTTTCCAAAGAGCTTTATAGTCTCATGAATCTTCATGCAGTACTACCACTGGAAACTCCCATTCCAGGCAGCTTTTTAAAGAAAGAAGCAAGATGGCTATCATGTCCTAATGTAAAAAACAGAAATTTAATTAAAGAAAAAAGCAAGAGATACGAGTCTCCCTTTCCAAGTACAAAAACAAGCACCCCAACTCCCCTCAAGAAAACAGAAGGCTCAATATCTTTACCAACAATTATTAGAGCCACAGAATACATTCCAAAATGTCATCCAGAAGTTGCTCTGTCTTAAGCAGCAGGAAATAATCTAATGACATTATACCACATAAAAATATATTTGCCTGCTCCTCTTCCAGTAGAATAGTGAGATCCAACCACCTTGGGAGACTCTTCCTCCACCCCACTCCCATTACATAGAGTGTAATGCTGCAGGGAGAGGAAGTTAAACATTACTTTCAGGAAGAAGGAAGGGTGTGGTTTTACTGCTAAGCAGAAGTTAAAAATAAGAGAGCAACCACATACTGAATCCTGGAATTCCCCATGACCTCCAAACCTGAGCAGTCCAGCTTTCTCCTTTCAATATAATTTCATCCCTAACTTTCTATTGTAGTTCCTGTAAAAATCCTAGGAACACTGCAAGCATGCTGCCTCCCTCAAATTCCTTGATCCTCCAACTGGAATTCTGTTCTCTCTCAACTGCAAGGCTCCTCAGTATGAGGGACTTTCTCTATCTTAAAAAAAAAAAAAAAAAAATCACTCAGCCGGGTGCAGTAGCTCACGCGTAATCCCAGTACTTTGGGAGGCCGAGGCAGGTGGATCACGAGGTCAAGAGATCGAGACCATCCTGGCCAACATGGTGAAACCCCATTTCTACTAAAACTACAAAAATTGGCTGGGTGTGGTGGCACACGCCTGTAGTCCCAGCTACTCAGGAGGCTGAGGCAGGAGAATTGCTTGAACCCGGGAGGCGAACGTTGCAGTGAGCCAAGATTGCACCACTGCACTCCTATTTAAATAAATAAATAAAAATTACTCAATGAAAAGGACTATCAGGGCATGAGTACTGTTCTGGTTCCCACTCAGAGATCTCTCGTAAGATGCAATCTATCAGGCAATGTCTACCACACACACACATGCGCGAGTGCGCGCGCACACACGCACACACACACAGAGGAAGACAGACAAAACCTCAGACAGATTACATCACAGCAAAGTCAGACTAGAAAAACCAGAGGAAACACAAGATACTTCTCATTTCTAACACCAACTCTCCCAAGTCACATCACAGAGTCAGCCAACCCAGAGACCACTGGCTCCTGTGGTTATTTGGGTTAAACAGCAGCATGATGCTCCCTCTCCAACTCTAACCAACAGAATTAACAATGACCCCTTCCTCCAACACATGATTTACACAGCCAACAAAAAGAGCACACAAGGACAATATGGAGCAGGAGTACACAATTTATGGATACTGCCACACCTGGGTACAGACTGTTCCCTCAGGGAGACTGAACTAGGGCTGAGAGCACAAGATGCCCAACCATTAAGTGGGCATTTACTTTCCTGATTTTTTGATACCAAGAAAAAAAAATCAGAAAAGAAAAGTAACTTGAGTACAGCTGCAAACTAAACTATCTACCATTACTAGAATTGTAGCCCACCCCAAAAAACCTACTCCAGCAAAACAGGAAGTCAGATGGATGCTTCTAGAGATAGTAACTGCACCCAGCTCAGTCCAGCAGCAATATTCCTTGTCTCTTATCAGCATTTAACACCCCTGGAAAAAAATCCCTGGAAGAACGGGCACTGGACAGCCCATCACCAAAAGGAGAGTAGCTTCCCAAAAAGGATCATAGCCTCTCTGTGACCATGCCAAAGTCCTACCTGCACGTCTGATGGAGAGAGGGGTTACCTGATGCCGGCGGGTGAGTGTGCCGTTGGCCATGAGTGGGTTGGCATCTTGTGGTGAGACCCGGACGCGTTCCAGCTGCGCCGAGACGTGGCGCCGTTCCTCCTCCAGCGCCCGGGTCAGCTTCTCAAACTGGGCCTCTTGTTCCTTCACAGAGGCCAAGATGCTGGCGGTCGACTCCACCTCTGAGTCGTCCATGAAGGTAAGGGGCGGAGCCGCCGCAGGGCAGGGTAAAAAGGAAGGTGAATCACAGAGGAAGGAGAAGGAGGGAGAGAGACCCCCTCACTTCACACTACCGGGAAAGGGTAAGAGAAAGGAGAGAAAAGGTCACAGGTCAGAGAAGACAGATGAATTATTAATCCCAGAGCCAAAGATGCCCTCTCGTGGTTTTACTGCAGTGCAGAAAGCAAGCCACCGCCAAGCCTGGGAGCCCATCACCAGTGTCTGTTCAAGCGGAATCCTTTGCCCACTAGCTTTCTTCAACATCCCACCAGAAATAACTATTGAAAGGAAAGGTGCAATTAAATCTAAGTCTCTACACTGTTAGGAGAGGGAGAATGTGGTGAGGTGCTGTAGTTATGAGATTGGATTATTTTTCCCTGAAAAAAATCTGCTGGTATCAACTCAATGAAATGTGTAACTCCAATGGTACAGACAAGCATTCACTATCCTGCAGGGACAAGCCACTTTTAGAGATAATAGGGCAATACAGATCTTACTTAACCTCTCCCACATCTAAACACTAAAACTGCTGAAGTGGCAGCAAATTAAAAAAAAAAAATTACTATGCTAAACTAAATGCCAATTAAGAAATGAAAAGGCCGGGCACTGTGGCTTACACCTGTAATCCCAGCACTTTGGGAGGCCGAAGCAGGCGGATCACGAGGTCAGAAGTTCGAGACCAGTCTGGCCAACATAGTGAAACCCTGTCTCTACTAAAAAAATACAAAAAAAGGCCGGGCGTGGTGGCGGGAGCCTGTAATTCCAGCTACTCGGGAGGCTGAGACAGGAGAATGGCGTGAACGCCGGAGGTGGAGCTTACAGTGAGCCAAGATCGCACTATTGCACTCCAGCCTAGGCGACAGTGCAAGACTCCGTCTCAAAAAAAAAAAAAAAAAAAAAAACACACACACAGACAAAATTAGCCGGGTGTGGTGGCGTACTCCTATAATCCCAGCAACTCGGGAGGCTGAGGCAGGAGAATAGCGGAGGTTGCAGTGAGCCAAGATCGCGCCATTGCACTCCAGCTGGGGCGACAATGCAAGACTCCGTCTCAAAAAAAAAAAAAAAAGAAAGAAAGAAATGAAAGTAGGTGGCTCACACCTGTAATCCCAGCACTTTACGAGGCCGAGGTGGGTGGATCACTTGAGGTCAGGTTCAGTTGGTCAAGACCAGCCTGGCCAACATGGGGAAACCTTATCTCTACTAAAAATACAAAAATTAGCCAGGCATGGTGGTAGGCACCTGTAATCCCAGCCGAGGCATGAGAATTGCGTGAACCCAGGAGACGGAGAGTGTAGTGAGCCGAGATGGCACCGCTGCACTCCAGGCTGGACAACAGAGTGAGACTCTGCCTCCAAAAATATAATAATACATTCATAAAAGGGCGTTTCTACTTTCCAAACTATACTACTATAGTTTGTTAAATATTATATTGATGGCAAAACGTGTTCCTTGACTAATGGAGACAACAGAGTAACAGAACCACAAAAAACTCTACATGTAAAAAAGCACTGTCTTCAGGAAACTTCACCTCCTTGGGAAGTAGGAAAAGGAGTATTAGCCTCAACCTCTGAAAGTGCACCTCACAGTAGTTCATATCCTAACCTCCACACGTCAATGGCTGGAAGTTCCCACATCTCTGTAATCCTGCAGAAACCTCTAACTCAAGCTTGTCCAACCCTTGGCCCGCGGGACGCATGCAGCCCAGGACAGCTTTGAATGCGGCCCAACACAAATTTGTAAACTTTCTTGAAACATTATGAGATTTTTTTTTTTGCAATTCTTTTTTAGCTCATTGGCTATCCTTAGCGTACATTATGTATGGCCCAACACAATTCTTCTTCCACTGTAGCCCAGGGAAGCCAAAAGATTGGACACTCTTGTTTTAAATAGACTATCTTTTTACCCTTTTATTTGTTCCAACTCAGGATAAATATCCAAGTATCTAGAGGGTCTATGTGTGCTATCTATACAATAAAAGATAGTTATATAAAAATGAAGAGTTCTCCATACCATTATATAAACAGGAGGTTTTACAGGCATTAGTGATACTCTGTTGGACTCAATGGGTTTTTTTCTCTCTTATAGCTATGAAAGACTTTATGCCAGTCCAAAATATACAATGTTGAAAGACAGGTTTTGAAATAAATATTCTCCCCAATTCCCACCCTCTCACCAACCCATAAAGAAAAAAGGTATTTAAAAAGATTTTTTTCTGCTATGACATGAAAGGAATAAAAATACATATTTCTTAAAAAGTAAGATTTTTCCTTCTTAATAAACATATTTCCATACACACCTGTTAAGAGAAGGTCGCAACTGATTGGTTTAACACAGAGAACAGCCCAGTCTAGATTCAAAAAATCATGGAAGAAGCATCCCAGCCACCACAGCAAGGAGGAAGCAGGAAGGAGAGAGCTGCAGAAATATTTGAAGGAAAAATGGGAATGAGAGGAAAATAAAATATACCCAATACATAAAAACAAGAAGAGCAAGGGGCAATATTAGGAATGAAAGGAAGTAATTTAAAATATGACTTGGAATTGCTTAATGTGACAAGTGCCCTTTAGACCTTGTTGTGTTCAGATACCTAGGCCTTGGATGTCATTTTCATTAAAACCTGGATTCTACTGTCAAGTGAGAGCTCCTCTATTTGTATTTCCATATATAACCAGGAACAGGTTATAATATGTATAAAAATCCATTTACCCTGTTTCCAGCAACCAAATTGGGGAAAAAGAAAAAAACTGCTGTTGGAATGCCCTTCCCCCTCCCTTCCCACCCCTAAGGCAGAAACCTCAAAGCCCAGTCCCAGCATGCCCACAAAGACATTGAGAAACCAATGCAAAAGTTGTGTGGGGAAGACATGTGGGGACTAGCCTAGGCTGAGCCTTTTGCTTCAGTTCCCTTTCCCACGCTCCCCAGAGCCCCACCAAGCACAAATGCCCGGGCCTGTTTGGCTTAGAGTGTATGCAGAAGTCAGCAAGCAAGAGTACCCAAAGGAACTGATAAGTAAGTGTCCAATAAACTCCTGAATCAATCCAGTCCCTAAGTTTAAAGAACGTGGTTGCCCTTCCCTAAATTCCTCCTACCCCAGCTCGAAGTTCCCATAATCGCCTATCAACTCTTCTTCCTTTCAGTCCAAAACCCATTGCCACTTTCTCATATTCCCACCCTACATTCCAACAGGCCACTCAAAGGTCTTTCTTGAATAAGCACCCTTATTTTAAAAAAAAAGGTGCTCCCCTTTCATCTCCATTTCTTAAGTACTTGCCCTTATCCACTATGTACAATGACCTATGAACCTTCCACACCAAGAGGACTCTGAGCTCAAAAAGAGATTCTTCCAGTTACTGAATTTCAACAGGGTCTGAAGTGCAATTACCACTCCAGCAGCATCCACCCTATAATCTTCTTTGCTAATAAAAGCCCAAATTACTGCTACCACGGGGGATACAGTGACATTCCCTGCTGCAAAGAGAAAGTGTATAGATGGCCATAAATGGCCCTGCAACTTAAATTCAGTGAAGAAGGTTAGGAAGGGAGATAGGAAAAATACTCAGGGCTCTAGGTCAGAAAGCAGTATCTGGAGAAACATTAGCTTCCACCATCTTCACAGCTTTAAAGCTGACCACCTGGCTCTAATTTGGAAAAGAAGACAGCACAATTACACAAAAAGATCAGATTCCTAGGTCTAAAAGCATGGGGAGATATTCTGCCTGAAAAAGGACAGAAGCAGAGGCCATATGGGATAGAACACAACTCAAGAAGACTGGTCCCAGTTCTGGCTCTACTACTACCCAACAATGGCAGTAAACCCTGTCATATTCTCACTTGTAAGATGCCAAATCCATTTGCCCCGTTTCCAGGAACCAAATTGGGGAAAAAGAAAAAAAATTGCTGCTTCCCAGGAGTTAGGAAATTAGCCCGGTCTAACTCAGAGTTGTTGTGAGGATTAGGTGAGACAATGTATGTTATATACAAATGTCAGGTATTAAGTTGTTTCAAAAGTTGGTTTAACACTTCCAATTACATTACTTCACCGTAATGTCTCAGCCTCAAACTATTTTGTGAACTAGTAGATGAAATCAACTGGATCAAAAACATAACTAGGTTCTAAGGAGTGAATGGGCTGGTTTCCCTACTCCTAATCTATTTACTAGAACGTCCCACCTATACCAGTGTTTCTGGGACAAAGGACACTTCTCTAGTGCCTGGAAGTCATCACATCATTACACATCTGTCATAATAAGTTCTTGATTCTGTATTTGAGGCCTTAACAATTTATTACCTTGGAGAAAGGGAATGTGAAACTAATGATTACTGAATGTTTTACATTTACTATCTTGGCAATCCTTACAACAACCCTAAGGAAGTTTTATTGCAAATAAGACTCATGGGTGAAGAAACTACCCAAGGTCTCACAGTTAATAGCAAATTTTGAATTTAAACCCAGGTCTATGCCATTCCAAAGCCTGTGTTCTCTTTCTATGCCATGGTGTCAAGTCCAAATAGAAGTGCAGTCAGTACCAGATGGATGGTCCAGAGCCTCTCCTCTACAACCTTTGAGAGCTTTCTTCTCAACTATCACAGGAAAACAGGGAAAGAAAAGGGTTCTACTTTGTTTTTTTAGGCTCAAGAGTTACCCATAATATCTACATAGAAGTGAGAAAACAGAAAAAAAATGGGAGGAAAAGGAATGTATGAGTGGGGAAAGAATGAAGCTGTTAGGCAGGCTACAGTAAATGGTCTCATCGCTTGGAGACTTAAGGAAAAAAGATTCTTCTCATGCCATATGCATCAAAAAGATCACACTACAAACCTTCAGCTGACTTTGGCAGACAGTCAGGAGTCGTAATTACAAGTCCAGCCCAATGCCTTTCCAGCTTTGCCACTTACATTTTTTATTTATTTATTTTTTTGAGATGGAGTCTCGCTTAGTGGCCCAGGCTGGAGTGCTGTGGTGCAATCTCAGCTCACTGCAACCTCCACCTCCTGGGTTCAGGCGATTCTCCTGCCTCAGCCTCCCGAATAGCTGGGATTACAGGTGCATGACACCACACCGGGCTAATTTTTTGTATTTTTAGTGGAGACGGGGTTTCACCGTGTCAGCCAGGATGGTCTCGATCTCCTGACCTCATGATCCGCCTGCCTCAGCCTCCCATAGTGCTGGGATTACAGGCGTGAGCCACGGCAGCCGGCCTCCACTTACTTAGATTTTTAAATAGACTACATTTCCTCTCACCAAAAAAAAAAAAAAAAAATCAAAGAATTCCTGAAGTCAGGGGGTTGAGGAAACATAAAGTGAAACTTGTTATTCCCCCTTAAGACTAGATTTTCTGAGAATACCTAGTTTTACTCTCAATAAGCCATTAAGTCCTACATTACTGGATCCCACCCACACTAGAAAGATATTCCTGCTATTACCCAGAGTCCATAGTCCATAGTAAAGATCCTTCATCCAAGCAATGATAATGATAAAAACTCAGTCTCGTCTGTAAGAACTCCCAACCAAAAGAAGTTAAATTAAATCAAATACCCAGAAGGACCAAACAACTAGACAGTGCTAACCAGATAGGAGGTCCAAAAAACAAAAAAATCACTTACCGGCCGGGCGTGGTGGCTCAAGCCTGTAATCCCAGCACTTTGGGAGGCCGAGGTGAGCGGATCACAAGGTCAGGGGTTTGAGACCGGCCTGACCAACATGGTGAAACCCCGTCTCTACTAAAAATAAAAAATTAGCCAGGCTTGGTGGTGCACACCTGTAATCCCAGCTACTCAGGAGGCTGAGGCAGGAGAATCACTTGAACCCGGGAGGCGGAGGTTGCAGTGAGCCGAGATCATGCCGCTGCACTCCAGCATGGGTGACAGAGCTAGACTCAGTACCCCACACACACACACACACAAAAAAATCACCTACCAATAGCACAGTCCCTGGAATGATTTCTTCTACTGTAAACTGACTAAAGAAATACAATTTGGAATTATGATTCTTAAGAGGTTAAGTGTATAGGCTTTGTTATCTGCCTGGGTTTAAGTATAAGATCTATCCTTATTAGCTATATGACTTTGGGCAAAGTATCAACCACTCGAAACTGCAGCTTCCTTTTTTGTAAAATGGAGGAATAAAAATACACAGGGTGGTTGTGAAGATTAAATGAGGCATTTCATGTAAAGTGCTTAGAAAAATGTCTTGACGCACAGAAAGCCAGTAATATTGTTACTACTACAGGGACTAGAGCTTGGGTGTGGTTGGTGGAGTTTTTGAAGTTTGTAAACCAGCCTCCCCAGGCTCCCCTCTTTCATTTGCAGCAGACCTGAAAACTACAGGAATTATTCACTTTTAGAGGGAAAAACAAAATAAAACTCCAGATTAGGGGTCAAAAGACTGGGGGTCCAAGTCTTGGCTCCTCCAAAAACTAGCTAGGAGACCTTGGAAAAGTTATAACCCCTGTAAGCTTCCATTTCTATTACTCTTCATGGTTTAGTTTTAATGAGCTAATATATATAAAACCATAGCCTATGTGAACTCTGAAGTTCACCAATCTTTGGGTTTTTGCAAAAATAATTTTGTCTTCAGAGCCAGTCTCAAAGGCAGCTCTCCTCCTTTCTTCCTATTTATTCATTATAAAATCAAAACCAATGTCATGGCCGGGCACCACGGCTCATGCCTGTAATCACAGCACTTTAGGAGGCTGAGATGGGAGGATCACTTGAGTTCAGGAGTTCGAAACCAGCCTGGTCAACATGGTGAAACCCCATCTCTACTTAAAATACAAAAAAATTAGCCGGGCATGTTGGCACACACCTGTAATCCCAGCTATTCAGGAGGCTGAGGCAGGAGAATCACTTGAACTCAAGAGACAAAAGTTTCAGTGTGCCGAGATTGTGCCACTGCACTCCAGCCTGGATGACAGAGTAAGACTCTGTCTCAAAAACAACAACAACAAAACGAGTGTCACAAATTTATGCTCTCCATCTAAAAACAATGACAGGCAAAACTCCATTTCCATGTCGTTCTAGGGAATTTTTTTTTTTTTTTTTTGAGACAGGATCTAGCTCTTGTCGCCCTGGCTAGAGTGCAGTGGTGTGATCACAGCTCACTACAGCATGGACCTCGTGGGCTCAAGCAATCCTCTTGCCTTGGCCTCCCAAAGTGCAGGGATTACTGGCATGAGCCACTGTGCCCAGCCATTCTAGGGAATGCAAAGGGCTTTTTTCAAAAGCACACTGGGCTGGGCAAAGTGGCTCACACCTGTAATCCCAGCACTTTGGGAGGCCAAGGTGGGCAGATCACTTGAGCCCAGGAGTTTAAAGATCAGCCTGGGCAACATGGCAAAACCCCACCTCTACAAAAAAATTACAAAAATTAACTGGGCATGGTGGTGCACACTGTAGTCCCAGCTACTCAGGAGGCTGAGGTGGGAGAATTGCTTGAGTCTAGGAGGTCCAGACCACAGTGAGCCACAATCACTACATTGCCACCTGGGCGACAGAGTAAGACCCTGTCTCAAAAATAAATACGTAAATAAATAAATAAATAGCATACCAAGCCTCCTACTGCAGAATACTAATCAACAAAATATAGCACCTGTAACACTACAGAACTGTATTACATAACATTCAAGCCAGAAAGGGGCCCTTCAGATACCTAAAAGGCATTTATTTGCCTTAACTGGCACCTGACCCCAAATTTGAAGAAATATTCCGGTTCAACCACAAACAAACTTGCCATTTTGTTTCTAAATCAAAGAAATATATTTTGTCAAGATTTTCTATGGCTTTTTTTTTATTTTGAGATGGAGTCTCGCTCTGTCACCCAGGATGGAGTGCAGTGGCGCGATCTCGGCTCACTGCAAGCTCCGCCTCCCGGGTTCACAGCATTCTCCTGCCTCAGCCTCCCCAGTAGCTGGGACCACAGGCGCCCGCCAACACGCCCGGCTAATTTTTTGTATTTTTAGTAGAGACGGGGTTTCACCGTGTTAGCCAGGATGGTCTCGATCTCCTGACCTCGTGATCCACCCGCCGCGGCCTTCCAAAGTGCTGGGATTACAGGCGTGAGCCCGGCCTTTCTATGGCTTCTTATCAGTGCTTATACCAGAGTCCAAAGTCTAAGTACCCCGCCCTACCTCCACTTGATGTTCCACGTTTTTTTTTGTTTGTTTGTTTGTTTTTGAGATGGAGTCTTGCTCTGTCGCCCAGATGCAATGCCGTCATCTCGGCTCACTGCAACCTCCACCTCCCAGGTTCAAGCAATTCTCCTGCTTCAGCCTCCCAAGTAGCTGGGACTATAGGCATGTGCCACTATGCCTGGCTAATTTTTGTATTTTTAGTAGAGACACGGTTTCACCACGTTGGCCAGGCTGGTCTTGAACTCCCGACCTCAAGTGACCCACCAGCCTTGGCCTCCCAAAGTGCTGGGATTACAGGCGTGAGCCACCATGCCCAACCATGTTCCACCTTCATGCTCAGTCAGAACAGTTCTAGTATTTCTCACTTCACTGGGAAGACTCATCTTCTGTTAATTCCAAGTCCCTGAAGCTGATTTGCGTTAAGATTAAAAGGACTGTGCTCACTTCACAATCTCAACTGAGCACTACTCAAGTCACAAAACCTGTATTATTCTGGATATGGCCTTCTCCTAGTGTTCACTCTTTCTATGCTTCCTCATGGATCTGCTTCCTGCTAGGCCCAACTTCTCCATTTAGAAGTGTTAAATCAAGTTTAGCCTAGGCAAGTTTATGCCTCCTTACATCTTTTAAGTTTGGCCTAAAGATTTATCTGTACATAATGAACTATAACCTAAATGGTGGTAGAAATAGACTGTAACCTACTCTTGTGCCAATCACTGAGTTTTGGCCACTCAAAGGGGGCCAACTGTTCCAGCTGAGCCATAACCAATCCAGCTGTTTCTGTACCTCACTTCCATTTTTTGTTCATCACTTTCCTTTTTCTGTCCATAAATCTTCTACCACGTCTGCACTGGAGTCTCTGAGCCTACTGTGGCTCAGAAGGCTCCCCAATTAGTGAACTGTTCTTTGTTCAATTAAACACTGTTAAATTTAATTTAGTTAAGGATTTTATTTTAAAAGAGGGTAAAAGGCTGACCAAAGAAGTCTTATTTTCATGAGGAAAAACTAGGTGTCCACCAGGAATCTCTCTGATGAATTAAGGAAGGCTCTGGGCAGACCACCCTCCTCTTAGGAAAGAGTGATACATTCTCTCTGATTGGAACGTCAGAGAAAAGAATTTTTTAAAAAACAAAGATATAAACAAGATAATACTCCTTGTTAAAAGGAATTTGAGCTGGCAACCTCTATACATCAACAGGGTACCTTAAACTCCCTTTAGTCTTATAATCCTTACCCAAAGCTACCTGTCAATATTTAAAGTTTTTACTGCAACTTAAAAAAAAAAAAATCACCTCCACCATCATGACCTCCTAAATTCTGAGACCAAATAAAACATTCTTCTTTTTCTCTCTTTTCCCCTCCCAAGTATTCTGAGAACCCCCTCTAAACCATAACATACTAAAATGGCTTAGTGCTGGGCTGGCTTTGAAGCCAAGGAAGGGTGTGGCTCTCAGCTAGTGAGGGGGCCCAGGACTGAAAGGGTACAGAAAGAAAAAAACCTGCTTCTCTGTGGAGCATGCATGACGCACACACAGGACTGGTCTAACAAGTCCTGATCTCTCAGGCCAGGCCGCCTCCTTCTCCTCCCCCATTATCCATGTGCCTCTCCAAGGCCCTCCACTGGGACAGTTCACACTGAGTTTTCTCTAATCCTGAGAAGAGACTGAGTTACTTACCTGGATCCCTGTGCAACCTTGCCAAAGACACCTCACCTAGCCTTAAAAGGAGAAAGCAGGGCTTTAGGGAGAGGCCGATAAGGAAACAAAGATAAGAGGGAGGGGCAAAAAAACAGAGGAAGGTGTTAGACTAAAGGAAGGGGAGAGGCCAAATGCCTTTCTCCTTCCTACAAGAGGAGAGAGATCAGGTACACTATGAAAAATAAGAAAAAGCCTCATTGAAATGCAAAGGTATTGATTAGGTCTCATGTCATAAAAGAGAAATCCTAAAATTAACTAAGACACCTTATATCCTTCCATACCCTAGACTCGGAAAAAAAAAATATTCATGGAAAAGCTTAACCTTAGAGTTTACTAGGGGTCACCCAACTGTTTGAGCTCACATTCCTTTTTTAAAATAGCAGCTTCTCGGCCAGGTGCGGTTGCTCACGCCTGTAATCCCAGCACTTTGGGAGGCTGAGGCGGGTGGATCACCAGGTCAGGAGTTTGAGACTAGCCTGGTCAACATGGTGAAACGCTGTCTCTGCTGAAAATACAAAAATTAGCCTGGCGTGGTGGCAGATGCCTGTAATCCTAGCTACCCGGGAGGCTGAGGCAGGAGAATCGCTTGAACCCAGGAGGTGGAGGTTGCAGTGAGCAGAGATTGCGCCATTGCACTCCAGCCTGGGCAATAAGAGTGAAACTCCATCTTGAAAAAGAAAGAAAGAAAGAAAATAGCAGCTTCTCACCAAACTTTCAATCTATGGCATTCCCCCACCTCTTTGCCCATCATTTGAAAATAACTTGGAAAAGGTGGAAGCATGTAATTGAGCCAGATTTACACAGTCCCAATTCCTCAAAACCCTGAAAAGACCAATAAGGCATTCTTTTCATCAAGTTTGGAGTATGTCTTCCTTTTGAGATAAGCAACAGGGAGACAGAGCATGTCAATCTATAAATAAATCAATCAGAAGTGTTAAGGTCCTTTCTTGGCTTTAGGACAGATAGCAGGAGGAAATGTTTCTCCTTATCTGAAAGAAGAAAATCCCATCTTGAAGGGGAAGAAAGTTGTGCATTATTGCTCTTCCCCTTGAAGTTATCATATAATCCTTTCAACACCTGCTGAGGTAATGGCCTCTTTTTATAAATAAGTATACTACCTATATACCAGAAGTATTTAGTATCTTGCCCAAGCTCATCAACTAGTAGTAAGTAGTGAAAACTCCTATTTTATTCCAAGTCCATGCTCCTTCTTGATAAAGTGGAAAGAGTATGAATTTTCTATGTTTCCTGGGGTTAAAAGTCATTCTTCGGGCCAGGAGAGGTGGTTCAAGCCTGTAATCCCAGCACTTTGGGAGGCTGAGGCAGGCAGACTGCTTGAGCTCAGGAGTTTGAGACCAGCCTGGGCAAAATGGCAAGACACCATCTCTACAAAAAATACAAAAAATTAGCTGGGGGTGGTGGCATGTGCCTGTAGTTCCAGCTACTCGGGAGGCTGAGGTGGGAGGATCACTTGAGCCTGGTGGTTCCAGGCTGCAGTCAGCCAAGATTGTGCCACTGTACTCCAGCCTCAGTGACAGAGTAAGACCCTGTCTCAAAAAAAAAAAAAAAGTCATTCTAGTTCCAATTAAGAAGTTAACCCAAAGTTGACATTTTTTTTACGGAGAGGGGAAGGAGGCAAGAGAAGGTGGAATGGAGCCAGCTAGACTTTTGGGTCTTATCTTCACTTTAAAGAACAAAACCTTACTCAATTTGGGAAGAGTAGCTTGCAGCCTACTTCAGATTTACCTTCCCTTTTATAAGAACCTAGTACTCAGGAGGAAAGGTGCTAAGAACAAAAGAGGCACTACTCTGTAAAAATTACCTACCTTACCACTGGCAAGCCTGCTCTAGAAAGCTGGCTACATGTCACATTCTCTGATCACCCCCTCAACCCTACCACAAGAAAAAAAATCCAATCCCTACTCTCATTTTTAATGTGACATCTCACTAAGCCAAAAGCAAAGATCAGAGATGGGGTGGGAAACAGAAGGAACTAGAGGCAGTAAAGATTGTGCTAGCCAGCATAAGAACAGAGAAGAAGGATTGTTCTAGTGGTATGTTAGCAATCTGCCTCTAGGGCAGCTGTCCTCCTGGACAATCAAAGGCGGGTTTGTGTGTGTGCTCAGGAACCAGCCAGCTTGGCTCAAAGTTAAGGACTCAGCCATCCAATCCACAAAGTGAGAAAAGATGCCTGTTTCACAGCTGGAATGGAAGGCAGGGAAAACACAAAACAAGAGAGAAAAGAGGGCAGAAAAGAGAGAGGGTATTACAGGTGCTATTTCAGTCTAGACATAGGGAAGAAAAATCCCAGGAAACTACCAACCATTCTCTAGTTATGATCAAACATTAGAGAATTGCTAGTAACTCTTAATACTAAGCGGGTAGGTTTCTCCTGATCTGTATGCAGTAGGGTGCCAATTGGAAGGATGAGATATAAAATGTAAAGGACCTCAGCATTACCTGTTTCCTTCTGTCCCTTTTAAACCCAACAAGGTACCTGCAACATATACAGCAAATGAACATTACTTAACATTTATTTCCTTCTAGAATTCCTTTCTTAATTAAATCCTAGAGATCCACAAAGAATAGCAGCACACACAAAACTCAGTAAGCTTCCCAGTGCTAAGAGATCAGGACCATTTATATAACTTAAGTGCTAAAACGCAAAAGGCCACAGTCAGAATTCACACTCTCTAATCCCTCGGAGTAGCTAGATGCTCCGAGACCCATTAGACACACAAAGGCTGCTCTCTTCTCAGCAGAGCTCTGTAGCAGAGCTGCTCTCCAGGGACAAAGAGATTTCACAGGAGAACCACAAAGACATCGACCCTCTCTGTTCCCCCACTCCCAGCTTTCTCACTTCCTGTCACAGTAGCACCAGACCACAGTCTCCCAGAAACAAACAAATACAAAGTGCTGGATTCTGGGCTGCAGGCCAACTGCATTCCAGGGCATCCTGTCTACCAATCACGGGCCAGAGCCCCCACTTTGCCCTGCTCAGCTCCTTATCATGTTCAGGGAAAACAACCCTCCTCTCTGCCCCAAGCCAACACTACGTAGGACAAAGCTCAGGCCTTTAAGAATCAGCAGAAAGACTGTGTGTGGATCTAAAAGTTTGAAGGGGGTGAGGGAATTTTTAAGATTCCTACTTGGCAAGTTTCTTCACTTTGGAGGCACTGCATTAGGGATTTTAAAGCTACTGATGCTGTTAATTCAGCTCAGCTACATGTGACACATCCCATTATGGCAATTTGATTACCAATCTGGATTCAGTCAATGGAATATTCCCATTTGGAGAACTACTTTAGGAACTTCACCTTCCCTATCATCCACCTCTGTTTTCAGCCTTTCAAACTTTCTCCCTACAAGCATAGAGTTGATTACTAAGACAGGCTCCACAGAGAACAAACAAAGGCAGCGGACTCCACCCTACAAAGAGGCAGTTTAATCAGGTGCTGGGAGCAAAGTTCCCCGTTTCCCTAGAGAATGAGAGGACAACCACTAGGAATTGCACAGAAGCCAAATCCTGGCGGCAAAGAGGTCAAGACAGCAACATCAGCTTTTCCTGCTCACAACCCCCTGAAGTGGGTCAGGGGCTGTAAATTTGGAGCCTAGTCAGAAAAGAAAGCCTCCTCTCCTAATAAAGGTCCTCCACTAACTGCAAGAATGAGATAAATGATACATTTTTCTATTATCTTGTACAACCCATTGGAAATTAGCCCTAAATCACAGAAGCAAAAATGCAAACAGAGGTTAAGCTCTATTAGCTAGAGATTCTTGAAATCCAAAGAAGCAACACCCTTTGCCCAAAGGGCTCAATTCCCTTTGCATAAAATGAGCAAGATGCTCAGCAGAGTCCTCCAACCAGAGGGGCACACCAGGAACTAACTGGTAATATGCTATCACTTCTTGTCTTGTCTTCTCCCTTTATTTTTCCTAGATTCCTTTCATCTTCTTAGATCTGCTAGAAGTAGTATGGGCCGAACCCTGGTCTAAAGCAGCACATGATACAAAGGAACTAAGTCTAAACAGACAACTTAGAAGGATTTAGTCCTTGGCCTGGCACAGTGGCTCAAGCCTGTAATCCCAGCACTTTGGGAGGCCGAAGCAGGCAAACCACTGGAGGTCAGGAGTTCGAGACCAGGCTGGCCAACATGGTGAAACCCCATCTCTACTAAAAATAAAAAAATTTGCCGGGCATGGTGGAGCACACCTGTAATCCAAGCTACTCCAGGTGGCTAAGGCAGGGGAATCACTTGAGCCCGGGAGGCAGAGGTTGCAGTGAGCTGAGATCATGCCACTACACTCCAGCCTGGGTGACCAAAAAAAGAAGGATTTAGTCCTTATCTGGATCTGGTATGACCAGGTGGCAAGGGTAGGGCAGTAATATACACAATAGCCATTCTAGGGTTGAATAGAAAAGAATATTTAGCAACACTATGGAACTTCAGCAGCAGAGCCCAGCCATTGCAAACTCTATCACTGAAGCATACACAAAAAAAGTTAACAGTCTCTTACTTGGCATGGTATCAGACTAACTCCCTTTATCTCTCAAGAATACTGAACAATTAGTTATGACTGTTAGTATTCTTATCCAATTCTTCCTTATGCATAGCCCAGACCAAATAAATGAGTTAATTAAGTACCACGGTGTGAAGTAGATATACTAAAGTAGATAAAAATAGTAGCTTTTAGTAGGGGAGAGTTTTCTGAGATACCAAAAAAAAAGTTGTAAAAGACACACCCCAGACAGAGAACTGAACACACCCACATCAATGCTGCTAATCCAAAAGGATGCTTGGCAAGTTCTCTGCATCAAATTGAGCAGGTGAGATAGAAAAGGAGTGCTGACTCAGAAATACAGTAATCCTGGGGTGTGAGGGAGGGAAGACGACAAGTATAGCCAACTGATTACAATTCAACTTAACTTCACCAGAGGTCCCAGTTCTAATTGTATCTCAGACTCTTTGCAGACATATTTAGAAAGCCCAACTAAAGGAATAATGAATGGATATGAAGAAAGCCTCTGGAGGGCCCAAGACCTAAGCTGAATACTCAATGGGTAGGAAGGATGAATCTGTTTTGCTGTCTAACTTCCCACACCCCTCTTTCTCCAAAGCAGGCCCAATGCTGAAAGAATTACAGGGAGGCGAGGCAGAAGAATGTGACTGGGAAAGGTTTAGCTACATTCCAACTAGCCAACATCCCACATAGCATTAAGAGTGCCTGAGAATTCAAACCCACTACATAAGAGTTGCTGAGACTCTGCTAACACACATCTAATTCCTGTGCCACCAACCCCCACCCCCAAACACTCTGAAGAGTAATTGAGATAGCTTGATGAAGGCACCAGCTGTTTCCACCACCACCCTCCCTCGCTCCCTCCCCTCCTGAGACCTCAGTTCAAACTCACATCAAACACTTAATACAATTGACTGGTCAGTAGGAAGGAGAAGCCTGAACTAAAATAGCAGTAACAGTGCCAACTGGCCCCACTTAGAAGGAATGCTTTCTTGGCTCAATTCAAAAATAAGAAACCTCTGTCATCCACTCCCCTCTGCCCAATTATGTTCTCCTTTCCACAACTTACCCCGCTCCGTGTCAAATGAGTTTCAGTTTCTTCCCTCCAACTCTTTGGTGTATTTTCAAATGTCAGAAAATACAAGGGAGGTGTATATAAGGTTGAATGTAAAAGTAACGTCTGAGAGATTAGGCTTCCCAGACTAAACTCAAACCTAGTACAGGGCTCCCATATAAGAACAAGGAAACAGGAGCACACACAGCACCCATCTACATGTTTCAAGTAAGGAAAAGAGTAAACCTTAAGCGGCTATACACGAACATTAGTGGTAACACGATTACTAACATAACCAGCCCCTCCCCCACCCATATTCCAAGTTGGCCAGAGTTAACCAAGGAGGAAGGGAAGGAAGCCAGCGCTTCCTTTTCAGACAGGAAGTAACATTGGCCCTTCCTGTCCAGTTTTAAACAAATTGTCCAGCTAAATTTCAATGCTAACATCCTCTCCTGAATTTGTTCCACAATTTAAAACCACAGATACAGTCTAAAGTTTTCCCTTCCTCCCAATAGGCGAGTCCTCCATACCATGCTAAGTGTTGGCATAACCCCCAAATCAAGAGGTAACATCTTTAATTCCAAAACAATACAGGACACAGAGGTAAATCACTTCACTTCAAATTAACGACCTTCTCGTCATGTCTACTACAATAAACCATCTTCTGTACTTCTCTTGTTTTGTGTGTGTGTGTGTGTGTGTTGTTTTTTTTTTTTTTCGAGACGGGGTCTCCCTATATTGCCAAAGCTGGTGTCAAACTCCTGGGCTCAAGTCTCTCCTTAGCTTCCTAAGTAGCTGAGACCAAAGGCACAGGCCACCGTGCCTGGCTCTACTTCTCACCTTAACTAAATAACCATCCACCTGAGAAATAACATATACATGTAAGCTTAATTCAAATATTCAGGTTTTGTGATCCTCAAACGTGAATGATCAGAATCACCTAGGGAGCTTTTTGAAAAAATTAAATCCCCCCTCTACATCAGTTTCTACAGGGAAGTCTGGGAATTCATGTCTTAAAAAAAAAAAAAAACCCTCATAGGCTGGGCATGGTGGCTCACACCTGTAATCCCAGCACTTTGGGAGGCTGAGGCAGGCAGATCACCTGAGGTCAGGAGTTTGAGACCAGCCTGGCCAACATGGCAAAACCCCACCTCTACTAAAAATACAAAAATTAAGCAGGTATGGTGGCGCATGCCTTAATCCCAGCTACTCAGGAGGCTAAGGCACGAGAATCACTTGAACCTGGGAGGCGGAGGTTGCAGCGAGCCAAGATCACGCCACTGCACTCCAGCCTAGGCAACAGAGTAAGACTCCATCTCAAAATAAATAAATAAATAAATAAATAAATAAATAAATAAACCCTCATAGACTCTTATGGCCTGTTGTGAACCACTGTAGTGGCCTATCCCTAACAACCCACTGACTTTCTTGCTAAAAGGGCACTGGTTATAAAATACATTATTTGGGCCAGTTTTACTGCTCACCAGACAGCTCAGATCATTATTCAGTCTAGATTAGAGGCTCTTTGAAAGCATGAATCTAAATATAAGGATGGCTGGAATGGCACAGTCCTAACTCCTGTACTGCAGACTTAGAACCTAGAAGGAAGAACTGTCTCACTTGCCAGCACCATCTTCTCTGGAATCCCGAGTTGCTACATTGTAGGATATCCCTCTGTACACTGCAGATTGGAGAACACAATTATGTTTAAAACATCTTAGATGGCCTTCAAGGAACAAAGAGCTATGCCAAATTTTCAAAACCTGGTTGCATATTCTATCCCAAAAGAACTCCAAAGTCTTAAATCTACCATTAAAGACCCTAGATAATTCTAAACCACTTGACAACAGAGAGAGAACCAGAAACTCTGGATCCAAGTGGTTACCTCTGACACTTATGCAAGCCACTTTAACTTCTGGTTTGAGTAAGAGCAAGCGAATAGCAAAAGGTCTTTAAAAGAACTAAAAAGTGAAATATTCCCACAAGTAAACATGTGTCACCGAAGACTCAAGAAAGAAGAATGGCATTAAAAGACATACTCTCTCCCAGATCCCAAAGTCAAACAATAAAGGTACATTTAAAACAAAACCAAAAATAAAATTGTTTTGTTTTTTGAGACGGAGTCTCACTCTGTTGCCCAGGCTGGAATGCAATAGTGCAATCTCAATGCAACCTCCGCCTCCAGGGTTCAAGCCATTCTCCTGCCTCGGCCTCCTGAGTATATGGAACTACAAGTACCCACCACCACGCCCGGCTAATTTTTATATTTTTTTTTTAGTAGAGATGAGGTTTTGCTATGTTGGCCAGGCTGGTCTCTAACTCCTGACCTCAAGCGATCCGCCCACCTCAGCTTCCCAAAGTGCTGGGATTACAGATGTAAGCCACTGCACCCAGCCAAAAAAATTTTTTAATTTAAAAAAAAAAAAAAAGACATAGCCAGGCGTGGTGGCATGCACCCATAATCCCAGCTACTCAGGAGGCTGAGACAGGAGAATCACTTGAACCCAGGAGGTGGAGGTTGCAGTGAGCCGAGGTCGTGCCATTGCACTCCAGCCTGGGCAACAAGAGCTTAAACTCCGTCTCAAAAAAAAAAAAAAACATAATCTCAGGTACTCTCAGGCTGGCCACAGTGACTCATGCCTGTAATTACTGCACTTTGGGAGGCCAAAGGAGGAGGATCACTTGAGCCCAGGAGTTCGAGACCAGCCTGGGCAACATATAGAGACCATGTCTCTACAAAAAACACAAAAAGTAGCCAGATGTGATGGAGGCTGAGATGGGAGGATCATTTGAGCCTGGGAAGTCAAGGCTGCAATAAATTATGATCATGTCACTGCACTCCAGCCTGGATGACAGAGCAAAGCTCTATCTCAAAAAACTCTCAAGACAACCACAAACATCTCACACCATCTATATATGATGAAGTAATACATATAAACCAGTTGTTTAAAACAATTTCAAAATTTTGGGTAATCTCTGATTGCCTGGATTATTTCCCATGCAAGACGATACAGTTACCTGAACAAAGGAGGAGATGGGAAGAAAAAAAGTTTCTTGGTTGAGGGCATCCCTAATATTAAGTAACCAGATGACAACCAGATAAGCATAATTAAAGGAAAGAACAGAGGGTAACCAGGTTAAGAGCCAGGGCTAAAAACTCCAAAGAGAGAGGAGGAGACGGGTGAGAGAAAGAGAGAGAAAGAGGGAGAGGGAGAGAGAGAGAGGAGACAGAGCGAGACAGAGAGAGAGAGAGAGAACGAGACAGAGACTCTCACTGAGGGACAGACCAGCTAAACCAGAAATCTTAAGAGGGAAAGTAACAGTGTGTGATTCAAGACATAGGTATTCAATCAAATATCCTTTTACTTTCGTATATGCATGGAACATCAAATCACTAAATAGTTGGTGCTTCTTCCTCAACTCCAAAGTCAACTAGGTAAAGTGGCTCAGGATGTGCTTTAATAACCTCTAATGCCTAAACAAACATAAGGAAAGTTAGTTTCAGGGATAATCATCTCTCCCAATGTGCAAGACAGAAATACGGATATGGTGACCTATAAAGGGGTCCTCAAAGCCATGAATTCTCAACAATCAGGGCATGGGGAAACAGGAGCTTTTTGGTCAAATGAGCAAAAGGAGAAGCAGCAGACAAGTGGGGCAAGCCTATTTGGTCAAAAGCACATAAACCAAACCAATAAATTTTGTCCTCAAAAGGAAACTGTACAGGTCTAGGCTGTCACTCCTGCTTATAGAAAACTGACTAGTTAGATAAGAAGATGGAGAAATATACAGTATTTCTCTTGGAAAGAAAAATTTGGGGGCTGGGCACAGTAGCTCACACCTGTAATCCCAGCACTTTGGGAGGGCGAGGCAGGCAGATCACTTGAGCTCAGAAGTTTGAGACCAGCCTGGGCAACAGGGAAAAACCCTGTCTCTACAAAAAAAAAAAAAAAATACAAAAATTAGCTGGGTGTAGTAGTGCATGCCTATAGTCCCAGCTACTCAGGAGGCTGAGGTGGGAGGATGGCTTGAGCGTGGGAGGCGGAGGCTGCACTGAGCTGAGATTGTTAACACTGCCGAGACAGACCTTGTATCAAAAAAGAAAAAAAAAAAAGAAAAAGAAAAATTTTGATCCCACTTCCCAAAAACATATCAGCTTATTCTAAGTAGCTGCCTTATTATCATTCTCTAAGACAAAGGTAATCAACCTATGCAAAATCTGCTACTATGCAAATTATCTGCTAACTATACTTTCATGGAGATTCCACAATGGGAGAAATATGGAGGTTGGGTCAGGTGCTACCTCAAGTTACAAGAAAGACACAAAAATTCGGTAACAGCCGTTGTCTCTGGGGTTTGAAGTGGAGATAATTTTTCTTTGTACAATATAGTATACAACAAGACCCTACATTATTCCCCTTCCCCCAAAATACATTCCCATTGGTCCTCTCTGGACAGGTCTCTTACTTCTCCTTCCCTCCCCTCAATCTCTTTTGTTCATTGGCAATAACCAGCCTCAGGGCCTTTGCACTTCCTACTCCTCATATCTACATGACTCCATCCTCCATTTCTCTTGGTCTCTCTCAAACATACCTTACACATGAGACCCTCCCTGACCACTCTATATAAAATAACCTCACCCCCACCCTGAGACGTTCTTTCCTCCATACTACTCATTCTACTTTACTTTTTTCTCAATAATATTACCACACTCTGACATACTACATATTTACTCGCTTATTATTTGTCTCTCACAACTAGAATGTAAGCTCTTTGAGAACAAACAGTAGGTCTATTTTGTTTATTGTTGTACTTCAGTGTATGGCATAAACAGACTCTCAAATTTCTTTTGAATGGAGATGTTTTACTTCCTTCTTCAATGAATACAAAAAGTTAAATTTTAGAAAAAAAAAACAACTTTCTTTTCTTTTTCTATACTTTTTTTTTTCCAACTGTGATCTTAGTTAGGCCTATGAAGAGGCCTAGGTAGTCTTACCTGCCTATTTGGCTGACCTTCAGCACGGTAGACATCCAAGAGGCCAACTGTGCCCCAGTTAACAAAGTAGTCAATAGAGAGCAGAACAGCAATGAGGTTACAGAACTTCCCCCATTCCAACAAAGCAGGAAATAAATCAGATTGGCACCAATTTCTCTTTTAAAATAGGCTATTTTAAAAGTGTACTGAATATACACCAGCTACTTTATTTCAATGAGATTTACTTCACTTGCAATGAAATGGGAACTGCAGGTGCTTTGATAAAGGTATTGAGAAGTTGACCTAGTTTCTATAACAATGTCTTATGTCCTCAACCATGAGAATATATTTTAGTTTCTTAAAATATGAGCTTCCTAAAACAAAAATCTTTTCTTTTCTTTTTTTTTATTTTTTTATTTTTTTTGAGATGGAGTCTCACTCTCTCGCCAGGCTAGAGTGCAGTGGCGCGATTTCGGCTCATTGCAACCTCTGCCTCCTGGGTTCAAGGGATTCTTCTGCCTCAGCCTCCTGAGGAGCTGGGACTACAGGCATGTGCCACCACGCCCAGCTAATTTTTGAAATTTTAGTAGACACAGGGTTTCACCACGTTGGCCAGGATGGTCTCAATCTCTTGACCTCGTGATCCGCCTGCCTCGGCCTCCCAAAGTGCTAGGATTACAGGTGTGAGCCACCGAGCCCAACCGTGTAACAAAAATCTTTCTTTTTTTTTTTTATTTTTTATTTTTGAGACGGAGTCTCACTCTGTTGCCCAGGCTGGAGTGCAGTGGTGCGATCTCCACTCGCCGCAACCTCCACCTCACAGATTCAAGCAATTCTCCTGCCTCAGCTTCCCGAGTAGCTGGGATTACAGGCGCCCGCCACCACGCCCGGCTAATTTTTGTATTTTTAGTAGAGACAGGGTTTCACCATTTTGGCCAGGCTGGTCTCAAACTCCTGACCTCAGGTGAACCACCTGCCTTCGGCCTCCCAAAGTGCTGGGATTACAGGCATGAACCACCACCGCGCCCAGCCACAAAAATCTTTTCACTCCACAAAGATACCTCCTAATGTGCTACTGCACTACAACATAGAACAACATAGAAAGCATAAATAAAACAGATGATTTACTCCGGAGAAAGTAATTTTTTTTTTGCTCAACTGTCAACTAAACCAAAATGAGTAATTAATCAAGAAATGCAGATGAAATCTAAAAATCAAAGATAAAACCAATCTGAATCACTAGAAGAGATCAGTCTTCTTGGATTACAATTGTATGCCTAAACTAGATCTAACTGAAATGAAGTGGTATCCTAACAGTTGTACCTTTAGCACATGGGTACAAGAAACAGAAATACGTCTTTATGTTAACTGTTAGTGAGGCAAAGCAACGCCCATGAAGACCTAAGGGAAAACCTAAAGGGAAAAAAAGGAAACCCAACCTAAAAGAAAAAAAAGATAGGGGAGGCAAGAGGAGGCAAAGAGAGACAAAGGAAGACACCACAGAGAACAGGAAAGCAAAAGAAAAGGAGAAAATACAGGAGAATTGGTAGAAGAAATTATAGGTAAAATAAATGTGAGGAACTGAATGTGGGAGGCTACAGAGTGCCAAAAGAAATTAGCTTAAATAGCCAGGCAAGGTGGTGTGTGCCTGTAGTCCCAGCTACTCCAGGGGCTGAAGTAGGAGAATCACTTGAGCCCAGGAGTTGGAGACAGGGCAACATACCAAGACTCTGTCTCTCTGTTTTTTTTTTTTTGAGACGGAGTCTCGCCCTGTCGCCCAGGCTGGGGTGCAATGACATGATATCGGCTCACTGCAACCTCCACCTCCCGGGTCCCGGGTTCAAGCGATTCTCCTGCCTCAGCCTCCCGAGTAGCTCAGATTACAGGCATGCACCACCATGCCCAGCTAATTTTTTTTTTTTTGTATCTTTAGTAGAGACAGGTTTTCACCATGTTGGCCAGGCTGGTCTCAAACTCCTGACCTCAAGTGATGCGCCTGCCTCAGCCTCCCAAAGTGCTGGGATTACAGGTGTGAGCCACCGCGCCCAGCCTCTGTCTCATTTTTAAAATAAAAATGTAAAAAAAAAAAATTATTCAAAGAAATTGGCTTAAGTACTATTTAGAACACTAGTTTCATGGGTTCTTAAGTATGAAGAAAAGGGAGGAAAAGAGAAGGAAAATTCCTAGGCTGGAATAAACCCGCAAGTTTCTAGGCAAGGTTGTATCTAACACATATGTATTTCCCACAGACCACAGCTTGGCTTTTCCACATATAAAAGCTGACTCCTTTCTTAGAAGCACACTTCTCACAGGAAGCATTCATGAACTCATGTCAGTTTTATAAATGTCCACAAATAAGGGTTGCAAATACAGAATGATGTCTGGCTGGGCTTGGTGGCTCACGCCTGTAATCCCAGCACTTTGGGAGGTCGAGGTGGGCGGATCACGAGGTCAGGAGATCAAGATCATCCTGGCTAACACAGTGAAACCCCGTCTCTACTAAAAATACAAAAAATTAGCCAGGCGTGGTGGCGGGCGCCTGTAGTCCCAGCTACTCGGGAGGCTGAGGCAGGAGAATGGCGTGAACCCGGGAGGCAGAGCTTGCAGTGAGCCGAGATCGCGCCACTGCACTCCAGCCTGGGCGACAGAGCAAGACTCTGTCTAAAAAAAAAAAAAAAAAAAAAAAAAAGGATGATGTCCACAAATCATACAAATCATTCTGTTTATCTTCCTCCCACTGACACTTCACTTTACTAAAGTTATCCATTCTCATACTACCGTTGTTTTGAACCTCACCCACACAACTCTCCAATATTACCTATTACTAATTTTTTCCCATTAAAAAAATTTAAAAGTTAGCTTTACCCACTCAGGAAGCCCATATATTCTGTAATGCAAGCACCTACATCTACCACAGATTCTCAGGTTTTAAGAGACCTTCGGACGGGCATGGTGGCTCACGCCTGTAATCCCAGCACTTTGGAAGGCCGAGGTGGGTGGATCATTTGAGGTCAGGAGTTCGAGACCAGCCTGGCCAATATGGTGAAACCCCCTCCTCTACTAAAAATACAAAAATCAGCCGGGCGTGGTGGCGGGCACCTGTAGTCCCAGCTACTCGGGAGGCTGAGGCAGGAGAATTGCTTGAACCCGGGAGGCAGAGGTTGCAGCAAGCAAAGATTGCACTACTACACTCTAGCCTGGGAGACAGAGCAAGACTCCGTCTCAAAAAAAAAAAAAAAGACCTTCAAGGGCATTAGTTCAACAAACGAAATTTGAGTTCTTTGAAGCATCCATTCTAATAGCAAACACAAGACATTACTAGGAGCTCTGCATTACTCTATAAAGTTCACATACATTAAATAACTTAAGTGTCACAACAATCTATAAGATGGTTAATATTATCCCCATTTTACAGACAAGGAGGCCAAGGCAGAGAGAGATTAAGCAATTTGCCCTAGGTTACATGTTTCCTCCGTGGCAGTCTAGCTCCCCATCCATACTCTTAATCATTATGTTATGCTGCCTTGCCTCACCATATTATGGAAGTCTCAGATTGGAAATTCCCTTTTTGGTTAGCATATTTACCAAAAAATATAGAATAAAGCATTTGTGGCAACATGTTAACAAATGATACCTAGGCAAATGAAGAGTATACCAGTTACTGTGCTAGAGCAACTTTCCTGCAAGTTTGAAATAAAAAGTTGAGAAGTGCTTTTGTCATCACATCACATCAACCAACCTGGGACATGTTTTGTGAAAGTCATGACCAAATTACCTACTGCTGACCAGCAAGGAAGGCTTTAAGATAAAATTCTGGCCGGGCGCAGTGGCTCAAGACTGTAATCTGGGAGGCCAAGGCAGGCGGATCATGAAGTCAGGAGTTTGAGACCAACCTGGCAAAAATGGTAAAACCCATCCCTACTAAATATACAAAAAATTAGCAGGGCGTGGTGGCGCGCACCTGTAGTCCCAGCTACTTGGGAGGCTGAGGCAGGAGAATCGCTTGAAACCGGGAGGCGGAGGTTGCAGTGAGCTGAGATCGTGCCACTGCACTCCAGCCTGGACAACAGAGCAAGACTCCATCTCAAAAAAAAAAAAAAAGATAAGAAAATTCTTTGCCTCTTTATAATTCCCCCACTATATGCCTGATCTAAATTGTCCACACCACACCAATCAAACTGAAGGGCTCACTGGAGAAGAAGTGGCCCTAAAAACAGGGAACACGATCCCTGAATAAAGTGGTAAATTCAGGCCCCATTCTCAATGCTTAATATTTAATAATAACATGCAATTCCAAGTAGAATTAGGGAAAAAAATTACTTCCGAAAAATACATTAAACAATTAAATACAAATCAATCCATACCCTAATTTCCCCCTCATTAGTTCTAACCAGAACAGTTGTTCTTGCCTTCTTACAATCTCCCTGCCAGGCTACATCAATGCTCTATTGGAAACCTTGGAGGCAGCTGCATAATTTAGGCAGAGCAATCCCTACTTCAGCTTTGTGTGTCATTTAACCCTTCTTTGAGGGAAGAGAACATGAAAGAATATTTGTACTTATTCACATCCTTATTACCTACAGTTCACTCCTGTAGGCAAGTTCCTTGTTAATACCTTTTAAATTACCCAAGAAAACTAATTTCGGTTCTTAAACTCATAAGCTTCCCAATACATGAACAAAATCTAAAGTTTTGTGGCTAAAACAGTGATTTAAAAAATACACTGATATCCAAACATACTTTCTTTGAAACACTGATGTTCAAAACTATCATCCCAAGCTCTTAACGTTTTTATTAACAAGCACAGAAACCATTCACCTCCAACCAGGGCTGAAAGCAGTACTTTTCTGCTGATGTCTTAATATACTCTCCCCTAGAAAATGGCAACATTTAAGGTTTTCAGTGTTGAAGTTCATTATGAAATGAACGGACTAGGATACTTATTATTTATTTATTTATTATTATTATTTTTTGAGATAGGATCTGGCTCTGCAAGCCCAGTCTGGAGGGCAGTGGCATGATCTCGGCTTGCTGCAACCAGTAGCTAGGACTACGGGTACATGCCACCACGCCCAGCTAATTTTTGTATTTTTTGTAAAGAGGAGTCTTCACCATGTTGCCCAGCGATCCACCCACCTGGACCTCCCAAACTGCCGGGATCACAGGCGTGAGCCACCGCACCAGGCCAGATCCTTACTTTTTATACTATTCTTTGTACCACTTGCCAAGAAAGGAACAGGATTAAAGAAAAGCTAAAATTTTAAATCCTCCATTATCTCTAGAAACTTTGCTTAAAAATATAAGGGAGGGCCAGGTGTGGTGGGGCACACCTATAATCCCAGCACTTTAGGAGGCCGAGGTAGGAGGATGGCTTGAGCCCAGGTGTTTGAGACCAGCCTGGACTACATAGAGAGACCCCATCTCCACAAAAATACACAAAAATTAGCCAAGCATAGTGGTGTGCACCCATAGTCCTAGCTACTCAGAAGACTGAGGTGGGAGCACCACTTGAGCCCAGGAGTTTGAGGCTGCAGTGAGCCATGATTTCACCACTGCACTCCAGCCTGGATGACAAGAGCAAGACCCTGTCTCAAAAAAAAAAAAAAAAAAAAAAATTAAGGGAGGAGACGCATAAAAGGTTAAAACTACAGACTACAGTAAAAGTTGCAAAAGTACATTGCAATTTGATTAATCTATGTTGTTTTGCTTCCTTTCAAGCCTTCCCCACAAATCAGTCCCTCACTGATTCTCATCAAATGCCTTATTTAACCAAGGCTTACTGAGCACCTCAGTATGTACCAAACACTAAGACAGGTGCTAAAAAGATACAGAGATAAGACAGTACCTACACCCAAGCTGCTCATAGTCTAGAGGGAAAGACAAGAATATCTGAACTACCTCCTACAAGCCTGTCCCTGCAAGTTGATGATATCCTATCATTCCAAACCACATACCTAACAAATTCTCTGGAAGAAGAAATTTTACTGATAAACAACGTGTGACACAATTCCAGGAAGTTTAAGAAATTAGGACAGCAATGGTGGGCATATGGATATGGAAAGATTCTCGTTCTAAAGATTAAAATAATATCCATTCTAGCACATCCAGCTCCCCATGGGCTCTATGGAAAATAGATCTTTTGCATACATTATCCCAACAAGGGTAGTGGGGAGTTGGAGGGAGTTGGAAATTTAAGTGAGTACTGCCCCTGTGCCAAGATGAAACACTCCTGCCTCTAGCAAGGGCTCGTTTTAGTTCGAGCTGTTGTTTCCATTCTCTCTGGAGAATGGCAGTATATTAGTGGTTAAGTCCATGGACTTTGTAGTTAGTCAGACCAGGGTTAATCCTGGCCTCAACCATTTACAGGCAGTGAGATTTTCACCAAACCTCAGCTTCTCTGAGGGTCAAATTCCTTAAAAAACAAAACAAACAAAAAAACCAGTGGTGGGAAATTAATAGTTTATGCAAAATGCTTAGAATACACTAAAAACAAGGTGTGGGGAGGTAGGGGGGAATGAGGGCCTTGGCAGTTACTAACAGGGTACCAAAATAGAAGGAGATAAATTATACAAAGCTAATCATTTTGTTATTCCAATTGATAGTGATCTATGCTTAATTTATTTGCATCCATCCTATCTCATTCATCCCTGGAGAGCAGCTACTTCATAAACCTAAGGCTGGATTGTAATTACTTAGTGCTTTTCTTTTTGTTAATATCACCAATAGTCTCAATTTTACCCTAGCTCAGAGAACATGTTGGAGCTTCTCTGACTGTCCATGCTGGAACCCTGAGAAAGGTACTAGAACTCCAACCACCTAAAAGAGAACCGCCCCCCCGCCCCGCAATCTGGAACACAGACCACTACCTTACTCACATAACAAAGAAACCAACCGTACATAGGAGGCAAACAAGGAAAGAAATATCTGAACAGCTCATACTTACCTATCATCATTTTTTACCCCAAAACCAAGACAATGAGCAAAACAAAAAATTTAAAAAATAAAAGATTTACTTATCTGCATCCCTTATAATTCCTGAAAGAACCAGTGGAGGTGAGGTAAAAGACAAATCTTCCATCTTATCACCCCAAAGGCTCTGTACTACACACCAGTCAAAACAACCCTTAGTTCGTGGAAATAGTCCTGGACACTAGGTTAACTAGGATGCTCACTTCAGCTACACAAAGCCCACTATTTAAAGCTAGACCCAAATCACCACCACTCAGTCATCCAGAACCTATTTTCAAACTGCCTTTGTACTCCTCCTTCAGATTCCCTCATCCCTCCCCCTAAAGGTTGAGTGGGAAACAGACACTCTGGAAGCAACATGACCAACACTCTAAAGATCCAAGAAACCTCCCCAGGCTGGAGTCAAGGCAGAGAGAACATTTGAAAGAAAATTTGGAAAATATTAAACAAGAACTACAGTTCAACAGCCTATACACATTGTATTTTTTCTTTCTTTTTAACTGTACTTGTTATAATTATGAGATTCAGACATCAAAAATTTCCTGCAGCCTTTGCCTAGGTTGTATTTGAAGGAGGAACAAAGTTCTGTTTCCTCCTGAAGCCACAACTTCACAAGGATGAAATCGTCTTTCAAGAAATACCCTCATTCTAGAAAAGAAATTCAAGGAAGTCTAGTCTTAAAAAAATTTGTGGCAGGGGGGTGAGGGGAGAACGAAATCAGATTATTAAAGATCCATACCAGTTTAAAGCTAATGAGCAGCTTACACACTAAAGCCCATCTTGTTACAATTAGGACAGCATCTATAATTTTCAGGCGGATTCACATTTTCAAAAAGAGAAGAGAATACCCTAGTTTTTCAGCTACTGATGAGTTGGCTATATAATTATCTAGAATCCGTACTTTTGCAAGAATGTATTTGCAAAAACAAAACAAATCTTAAGATTAAATATAAGATATGAAAGCACAGTCATGGGCCTTCAGCTCTAAGAGATTTCAGATTTCATGGTAAATTAACTAAACAATAAATTCAACTCCAAAAAACAACTTTCAGGTTGGTTTAAAAATAAAAATCTCCCTTGTTTTCTGAAATGTATTTTAAACACTAAACTTTGTATAAATGGTTTTTCTAAACCTAATTTTATTCCACCCTTGGCCCTTTCAGAGTGCAAAAAGCTGAAAATATTTTCAGGTATGTTGCCACTTTACTCAGGTGAAATAAAAAGCATGATTAGAATTTCCTTATCCCTTTAAACACATAAACCAAACGTTATCGTATTTGCAGATTTAACAAACACCTCCACAAATCTTTGCTATCAAAGGTAGTTTAGAAGGAAGAAGGAGATGGCAATTCAGTTAACATGGTTCCATTTGTTTTCTTTTATAAGCCAAAGAAGGGAGACTACATCTAGCAGGAGAATGAGGCTCCCACCCACCGCACCTGGAAAAGTAAGAGGGATCCACCCAGGAACAGCAGGGCTGAAACCGATACGGGCCGTTCAAACTCTCTGGGGGAAAAACAATACCATTTACACTGCAAAGCTCCCTGCAACTTTCCACTTCCACAAATCCAATGATAAAAGAAAAAAAAAGTTTTAAACATATGAAGAACCATCGGTATAACTGGGTTCCGACACGGACAAATTTCTTTCCCAACCCACATGCAACATGCCAAAAAACCAACTTTTGATTTGGGCTCTGAAAACAGAAATATGTTAGCTTAATCCAGAAAAATAAATAAATAAAATCAAAGAACACACCAAAATGTAAATTTTCAAACCTGCTCTTACCCCTCTGGATCTATTCAGCTTCCTGTATTAAAGAGACCTAGAAGTTTGTTTCTAGGTCTTGTATATTTTACCTTTTTAAATATAATAAAATACCAAAATCTCCCCCGCCAAAGTACTGAAAGTAGAAAAGAAAAATAATTGCTTAAAAGTTACTCATCAGCATAACAGACTCTCCCGTTTTTTAATTCCCTCCGGTTACCGTAAGACAAAAATTCGACTTGCTTATCCTCCTTTTCCCGTCAGTACATACATTTTCTTCAAAAGCCACACACCTCAAATGTGGAGTTCTAAAAATCAGTCCTTTAAGAAAGAAACCCAAGGCTTCGCCAAGGTGCTGAGAAAGACAAATCCAGCAGGGCAGTTGATTTTTCGCCACCTCTTCCTCCTTTCGGGATCTTTCCTGCTCTTCTTTCTCTCTCTCTCCCTCTCTCTTTTTTTTCCCCCTCAGATCCAACACCTAAAATGGAAGTTGCACCCAGCCAAAGGCAAGGGAGCCTGGGTGGTGACAAACTGATCTGGCAGCCCTACCCCCTTCGCTTTCCTAAGTGATGTCAGCCCCTGTGAGCTTCCAATAGGAACCAGGCATAAATCAGGGAGCTGACCTTATCCAATAGGAAACTTTATTATAGAAAATTAAAAAAAAGAGAGGAGAGAAAGACAGGGGGAAGTTTATACATATATATATTTATATTTATATATTTATATTTAAAGTGGAGAGACTGTACAATCTCTGAGGAATTACTGCAGAGCTGAGGGGGGCGGAAGAGGCAAGGGAGACAAGGAACAAGGGCTTTTTAGAATGGTACGCCTAAGTCTCAGTTCTCTTTGATGATGAGTTCTTGCTCCCTCTTCTGTACTATCCCAGTGGGGAAATAGAAAAGAGCTGATTTTACTTGCCTGCTGCTGTTTGGTTTGTTGCTTCCTACCCCAAAGCATTTCCCTAAAGGAAGACGGGAAAGAAAGGAGAGAGAAATCCTAAAAACAGGACTACTATATGTTGACTGGGATGGTAGGGGATATCTGAGGTAAACTCAGTTTCACTGTTTTGGATTAATTGCATTAGAGCTATTTTTTTTTTTTTTTTTTGAGATGGAGTTTCGAGCCCAGGCTGGAGTACAATGGTGCGATCTCAGCTCACCGCAACATCCGCCTCCCAGGTTCAAGCGATTCTCCTGCCTCAGCCTCCCGAGTAGCTGGGATTACAGGCATGTGCCACCATGCCCAGCTAATTTTGTATTTTTAGTAGAGACGGGGTTTCTCTATGTTGGTCAGGCTGGTCTCGAACTCCTGACCTCAGGTGATCCACCCGCCTCGGCCTCCCAAAGTGCTGGGATTACAGGCGTGAGCCACCACGCCCCATCTAGAGCTATTTTTTTTTTTAATGCCTAGACTTGTTAACAGTTTTAATCTCCATACTTTGAATTAGAAGGAAGCAGAATCCACTGGGCTGTTAAAGAAAATCACTGTCTTCCCAATTTGTCCCCAAATCAAAATAATGTGGGTTTGTTGGAAAGAGGAAATGAAATCCAATAAACAAGCAATATATTTAGAGGGAATAACAGCATAGGTAAAGAAAGTAAATCTCATGTCAAGAACATTTTATGCCGGGCGCGGTGGCTCACGCCTGTAATCCCAGCACTTTGGGAGGCCAAGGTGGGCGGATCACCTGAGGTCAGGAGTTCGAGACCAGCCTGATCAACATGGAGAAACCCTGTCTCTACTAAAAATACAAAATTAGCTGGGCGTGGTGGTGCATGCCTGTAATCCCAGCTACTCGGAAAGCTGAGGCAGGAGAATTGCTTGAACCGGGGAGGCAGAGGTTGCGGTGAGCTGAGATTGTGCCATTGCACTACAGCCTGGGCAACAAGAGCGAAACTCCTGTCTCAAAAAAAAAAAAAAGAACATTTTATTTCTTTGTGAACTTCAAGCTTAAGATGATCTAGCTTATACATTCTCTTTTTACATTTGACCTAAATAAAGGATTATTGGGGTATTATTTTTCTGAGTTAGGACATATTTTTAAACTGTTAGACCATGATGGACAGAGGCTGGATTTTTTTTTTAACATGCTTGACAAAGATTAGCATTTTATGGTTATTCCCTGATTACTAAAACAAAGACAATGATGAATCAAAGATTTCCTTCTTCTTTCTTACTAATCTAAAACTTACCCTATAGACTGCTGCCAAATGAGTCTTCATCAAGTTATCAAAATCTAGAATAGAAATACGAAACCTTGGCTGGGCACAGTGGCTCACACCTGTAATCCCAGAGCTTTGGGAGGCCGAGGTGGGTGGATCACCTGAGGTCAAAAGTTCGAGACCAGCCTGACCCAACATGGCGAAACCCCGTCTCTACGAAAAATACAAAAATTAGCCGAGTATGGTGGTGGGTGCCTGTAATCCCAACTACTCGGGAGGCTGAGGCAGGAGAATCGCTTGAACCCAGGAAGTGGAGGTTGCAGTGAGCCGAGATCATGCCATTGCACTCTAGTGTAGGTGACAAAGCAAAACTCCGTCTCAAAAAAAAAAAAGAAAGAAATATGAAACTTTAAGAGTATAGGTTTTCACAAACTGCCTAGCTTCAAACTCCACCTCTGTAAGTAAGTACACTTACTCAAATATATGTACTATTATGTGACCTTGACCCAAATTAAATAATCTGAACCTCAGTTTCCTTAACTATAAAATGGAGATAACTATATCTCTCTCACAAGACTGTTGTGGGAATTAAAATACACAAAAAGTTCTTTGGGCCAGGCACCGTAGTTTAAGCCTGTAATCCTGGCACTTTAGGAGGCCGAGGCAGGCGGATCACCTGAGCTCCGGAGTTCCAGACCAGCCTAGCCAACAGGGCAAAATCCCGTCTCTACTAAAAATACAAAAATTAGCCAAGCGTGGTGGCGCACACCTGTAGTCCCAGCTACCCAGGATGCTGAGGTGGGAAAATCGCTTGAACCCGGGAGGCAGTGAGCTGAGCTCGTGTCACTGCACTACAGCCTGGGCAACAGAGCGAGACTCCGGTTCAAAACAAAAGTTCTTAATGTATGGCATGTAGTATAAACTCACTAAGAATGCATTATCATTATTTTTATTATTCAGTAACTACCCTGCCCAAAAACTTGCAGTGGTGAGCCACTGCCCAATAATAGCAACCAATGATGAAGTGTCTACCATGTAAGAGGTATTTTGAGCTCAGTACTTCAAACTTCTAAAACATGACCACAGAAATAGTACTACAACCATTCTACAGATGAGGAAATCAAGGTCCAATAAGGTGAAGAAATTTGCCTGATCTCATCTGGCTAAGTGAACCCTCACCAGTCTCACTCCACAGCCCATGCTCTTTCTATTACGTTACACTATGGTCAAGATAAAGGTCAAGAGAAATCCTAGAAACAGGACTACTGTATGTTGACTGGGATGGTAGGGGACTATCATCTGCTTTGAAGGCACCACATTTATTCATTCAGTACATTAAAGTAACACATTATCAACCATAATCTGACCTTTCTTTACCTAGATAAACTAGAATTCAACAACTCAGCATGAATGTGCTTTTAATCATGCTGATGTAGTCATTATCCACTCCCTTATATATATGGTCTATAGTCTCATAGACCTATATTTGGTCTATAGTGGCCAAAAAGGACTTTCCTCAGAAGTGTTGAAAAACCAAACATGCATTACAGCACTTGTTTGATGGGCTTTAAATAAACTACAGCTGAAAATGAATACATTATAACAAAGATATGAACAGCCTTTAAGCCTCATTACCTAAAAATCTTCTCCTTTTATCACATTTTCTACCTCTATTCCCCATCAATTCCTAGTCCTCCATAGCAAGTTCAAAAGCCAAAGATAATCACCAAAGGAAAACAACCAGCCCAAAAATGTTTGTTGATTCATTGATTCCGAGATCAAAGCCACATACTAGAATGTTACATGATTTTCTACAGACAGATTGGTCTTGTTTGTTGAAGACATCACTACTCACAACTTGCAAGTATTTTGTCTTCCTTTTTCTTTTGTTTTCATTTGTGTGTATGTATACTTCTGTCTCCCCCATCAGAAGATAAGCTCCATGGGCTGGGCGCAGTGGCTCAACGCCTGTAATCCCAGCACTTTGGGAGGCCAAGGCAGGCAGATCACGAGTTCAGAAGTTCAAGACCAGCCTGGTCAACATGGTGAAACCCCGTCTCTACTAAAGATACAAAAAATTAGCCGGGCTTGGTGGCACACCACCTGTAATCCCAGCTACTCGGGAGCCTGAGGCAGGAGAATCGCTTGAACCCAGGAGGCAGAGGTTGCAGTGGGCTGAGATTGTGCCATTGCACTCCAGCCTGGGTGACAGGGTGAGACTCTGTCTCAAAAAAAAAAAAAGTTCCATGAATAGTGTCTTTTTTGCTCATGGTCTATCCCCAGAGCTCAACCTTGTAACTCATATTTAGCAACAACTAAATGAGTGAATAAAGTCTCTTAGCTTGCTAGTTATATATGCCTGGTCAAGGTATTTAAAATTAATGAACATTTAAAATAGGCCGGGTGTGATGGCTCATGCTTGTAATCCCAGCACTTTGGGAGGCCAAGGCAGGTGGATCACTTCAGGTCAGGAGTTCGAGACCAACATGGCCAACATGGTGAAACCCCTTCTCTACTAAAAATACACGCGGGGCATAGTGGTGCATACCTGTGGTCCCAGCTAATTTGGGAGGCTGAGGTAGGAGGATTGCTTAAGCCCAGGAGTTCAAGGCTGCAGTGAGCTGTGTTTGTGCCACTGCACTCCAGCCTAGGTGACCACAAAGTGAGACCCTGTCTCAAAAATAAAATAAGGCTGGGTGCAGTAGCTCACACCTCTAATCCCAGCACTTTGGGAGGTCAAGGCAGGTGGATCACCAGAGATCAGGAGTTCCCAACCAGCCTGACCAATGTGCTGAAACTTCATCTCTACTAAAAAAACAAAAATTAGCCAGGTGTGGTGTTGCACCTGTAGTCCCAGCTACTCGGGAGGCTGAGACAGGAGAATTGCTTGAACCCAGGAGGTGGAGGTTGCAGTGAGCCAAGATTGCGCCTGCACTCCAGCCTGGGCGACAGAGTGAGACGCTGTCTCAAAAATAAATAAAATAATAAATAATAAAATAAAATAGGCTAAAACTATAAATGCCAAGAAGAAATTTTAAAAATTCAACTCCAAAAACCCCACTGGTTATCCATACAAAGAAAAACAAAATATTTTTACTCCTTTCCACCCTCTGGTGGTTACACATTACAATCAAAGTTTGTCATTTTTGAAGCCCTGGATAGGATGGCCATTTATCAATCCCTTTAGAAGTTCTTTTTATCTTTTTTTTTTTTTTGCTCTGTTGCCTAGGCTGGAGTGCAGTGGTGTGATGTCAGCTCACTGCAACCTCCGCCTACTGGGCTCATGCCAATTCTCCTGCCTCAGCCTCCCGAGTAGCTGGGATTATAGGTGCCCACCACCATGTCTGGCTAATTTTTGTATTTTTAGTAAAGACAGGGTTTTGCCATGTTGGCCAGGCTGGTCCCAAACTCCTGACCTCAAGTGATCTGCCTGCCTCAGCCTCCCAAAGTGCTGGGATTACCAGCCTGAGCCACCTTGACTGCATTAAGAAATTCTACCAACACAAGATTTAACTAAAATGATGTTAGATTAAAAAAATAAGAAGTCCTCTCCACTTCTTGAAAATTAATTTAATCATCATGGCAATATATTAATGAGAAGACATACATTTATAATTTCCTTACACCTCCACAGAATCATCTATACTGGTACTCTACCTGCCCAATCAAGTCCTGATTCTATAGTAACAGATGCCATAAACAAGGGTTGTTCTGCCTTCTCTTTTGTTTTCCTTGCTTGTTTACGTGTGTGTGTGTGTGTGTGTGTGGTGCTGTTGTTGCTGCTACTGACAACATCTAAAATCTGTTCTCCTTCTGCTAAGTTTTATGTCTTTCACTAATTGCTTCTTCTTCAAAGTAAGACAACGGCAACCAAAAATGTTTTCTGTTCTTTGTTTCTTTCTCCATCTCAACATCACAGGCCTCAGCATAGGGGAAATAGTACTTGACTTGGAAATGCACTCCCCACACCACCATTTCCACCAACAACCTCAAATCCTTTTTGAAAAGGTGTTAGATATCAATAAAGACATTTGGGCACACTGTACCCTCACCCCTCTATGTTTTGTCCCTTTGCACGTTCCCCTTGTCTTAGGCATTTTTCTTCCTTTCTACCTCCAGTTGGCCTCAGTGGGAGCTGGTTCATTTCAATTCACCCCACTTTGTCACCAGCGGCTTTGGATTCAGCCATTCTCACCCAGAGCTAGACATCACAGAGCATCTACTGAGGGGCAATAACTGAAGCCACGGCCCAGGTCCTAACATACACAGGGGAAAGAACTGCTGTCCAGAATTATACCATGGGTTGGCATTCTCTGTAAATATTTAATCTTGAGATAATTAGGCCAGGCACAGTAGCTCATGCCTGTAATCCTAGCACTTTGGGAAGCCAAGGCGGACGGATCACCTGATGTCAGGAGTTTGAGACCAGCCTGGCCAACATGGTGAAACCCTATCTCTACTAAAAATACAAAAATTAGCTGGGCATGGTGGTGAATGCCTGTAATCCCAGCTACTTGGAGGCTGGAGAATTGCTTGAACCCAGGAGGCGGAAGTTGCAGTGAGCCAAGATGGTGCCACTGCACTCCAGCCTGGGCAACAGAGGGAGTCTCTGTCTCAAAAAAAAAAAAAAAAAAAAATCTTGAGATAATTTAATTTTTAGTATCATCCCTGAAAACAGCTGATTCCAGTCAGGAACTAGGCTAAATAAATTGTCTCTGGTCTGGGCTCGGTGGCTTATGCCTGTAATGACAGCAGTTTGGGAGGCCAAGGTGGGAGGATCGAGTGAGCCCAGGAGTTTGAGACCAGCCCGGGCAACATAGGGAGACGCTGTCTCTATTTTTTTTTTTTTTTTTTTTTGAGACGGAGTCTTGCTCTGTCACCCAGGCTGGAGTGCAGTGGCATGATCTCAGCTCATTCCAACCTCTGCCTCCTGGGTTCAAGCCATTCTCCTGGCTCAGCCGCCCCAGTAGCCACCCCAATGTGTGCCACCATGCTCAGCTAATTTTTTTATTTTTAGTAGAGACAGGGTTTCATCATGTTGGCCAGGCTAGTCTCAAACCCCTGACCTCGTGATCCACCTGCCTCGGCCTCCCAAAGTGCTGGGATTACAGGCGTGAGCCACCGCGCCTGGCCGACCCTGTCTCTCTTTTAAAAAAGAAAAAAAAGAACAAAAACAGCTAAAGAATGAAAGAAAGAATGAACGAAAGAAAGAACACACAGAAGAAAGAAGAAAAAAAAGAAGGAAGGGAGGGAGGGGGCAGAGGAGGGGAGGGGAGGGAGGGAAAAGAAAAAGAAAGGAAAGAAAGCGAACAAGAGAAAGACAGAAGGAAGGGAGGGAGGGAGGGAGGAGGAGGGGAGGGGAAGGGAGAGAGGGAAAAGAAAAAAAAAGGAAAGAAAGCGAACAAGAGAAAGACAGAAGGAAGGAAGGGAGCGAGGGAGGGAGGGAGGGGGAGGGGAGGGGAAGGGAGGGAGGAAAAAGAAAGGAAACAAAGCAAACAAAAGAAAGACAGAAAGAAGGAAGGGAGGAAGGGAGGGAGGGAAGGAGGGAAGGGAAAAGAAAAGAAAGAGAAGAGAACAAGAGAAAGAAAGGAGGAAGGAAACAAGGGAGGGAGGGAGGGAAGGGGAAAAAGAAAGAGAAGAAGAAAAAGAAAATCAGTCCAAGTGCGGTAGCTCACGCCTGTAATGCCAGCACTTTGGGAGGCCAGGGTGGGTGGATCACCTGAGGTCAGGAGTTCGAGACCAGCCTGGCCAACATGGTGTAACCCTGGCTCTACTAAAAATACAAAACTTAGCTGGGCATGGTGGCATATGCCTGTAATCCCAGCTACTCAGGAGGCTGAGGCAGGAGAATTGCTTGAACCCTGAGGTGGAGGTTGCAGTGAGCCAAGATCACGCCTTGCACTCCAGCGTGGACAAGAAGAGCGGAACTCTGTTTCCAAAAAATAAATAAATAAATAAATAAAAGAAAAACAATTAAATCAGCCAGGCATGGTGGCACTTGCCTATAGCCCCAGCTACTCGGGAGGCTGAGGTGGAAGGATTGCTGGAGCTCCAGAGGTCGAGGCTGCAGTGAGCCGGGATCGCGTCACATCCTGGGCAACATTAATTACCTTTTTTTTTTTTTTCTGAGACTGAGTCTTGCTCTGTCACCCAGGCTGGAGTGCAGTGGCGTCATCTCGGCTCAGTGAAACCTCTGCCTCCCGGGTTCAAACGATTCTCCTGCCTCAGCCTCCCGAGTTGCTGGGATTACAGCACGCGCCACCAGGCCCGGCTAATTTTTTGTATTTTTGTAGAGACGGGGTTTCACCATGTTGGCCAGGCTGGTCTCTAACTCCTGACCTCGTGATCCGCCCCCCTCAGCCTCCCAAAGTCCTGGGATTACAAGCGTGAACCACCGCGCCAGGCCTAATTAACATTTTTTTAAAAAATCATCTCTGTAACGATAATGGAGACCGTTCGCGGGGGCGGGGGGGGGGATTTTCTGCAAAACCCCTGGGTCATTAGTTCTCCAAGATTTGGGGTTGGAGTGGAATCAGTGAAGAAACTGAATTCAGAAACTGCCCAAGGACCTTATTCCATAACATCTCTGGTCTTAGGAGATTTCTAAATTAGCCATATGGGGGACCCGGTGTTACCAGAGCCATCCAGAGACTTCCATCACGAAACATGGAGCGCTCCAGGCAGAGCCAAGGGCATCTACTGCCTCTTCAAAGGGAAGACGGACATGACCCTTAACCGCCTTGGCGCCTGCTCTACTACAGCATCCCTACCCTCTTTTTCGGTGTGTTTTCATCAAGTGCTGAGGCAGACGACGGCTTTCACAAGAATTCCTCCCTGACGGGCCCATCCCCCTGCCTCTTGCAGCCCAGCCATCTTCCCTCAGCCCTCAAGTCCCTCGAGACTTAGCCTCCCGCCCAAAGCGCTCCTCCTGTTCTGATTGGTTCTCCCGGGAGCCTTCGGCCAATGGGGATGACGTATGCCGGACGACGTAGGCCCGAGGACTCGGGAGGAGGAGGGGCGTAGGGCTCTGCGACGCGCAGCGCGCTAGGACGGTGGCACGAGGTGTGTGGCGCTGGCCGCGTGGCCTTACAACCCTCGCTATCACTACCACCCAGTGCATGTGGGTGCTGAAGCCCGCAGGGATACAAGGGCGCCAGGGGCTGCCTGCAAAGTCTATGCTGGCGGAGGTGGCCGTGACGGGAAGTCCTGACTTTGGGCCTCCCGGATCCCCACGGTCCATTCCCAGAAACCCTCGCGCCTAGGAGTCTTTCTTCAAAGGAGTTGGGCCAGGGCGCCCAAGCGTGCGGGCCACCCCGCTTTGCAGGGCTCTCCCTGAAGCCCTGCTTTCTCCGCCAACACCGATTCCCTTGCTTCTGGATGGGGAGGTGAAGCACTCAGCCGTTGGCCCACCTGCGCATCTTTGCTCAGCCTCCTGACTCAACGCTGAACATTGAGAGGAAGCAAGGCAGGCTGGACAGAGGACAAGCACAGAGAAGGCAACAGGAGCAAAGTCTACCGAAAAGCTATTTCAAGTTGGGTCTGGAGGCAAGGCCAGGCGATCGTGGATTGAGAAGCTTCCCCAGGGCCCTTGCAACAGCTGCCATCCTCCATCCACATCTCTCTCACTGGGATGGGAATTTTTTTTTTTTTTTTGAGACGGAGTCTCGCTCTGTCGCCCAGGCTGGAGTGCAGTGGCTCTATCTACAACCTCTGCCTCCCAGGTTCAAGCGATTCTCCCACCTCAGCCTCCTGAGTAGCTGAGATTACAGGCGCCTGCCACCATGCCCGGCTAATTTTCGTATTTTTGTAGAGACGGGGAGTCACCATGTTGGCCAGGCTGGTCTCAAACTCCTAACCTCAGGTGATCCACCCGCCTCGGCCTCCCAAAGTGCTGGGATTACAGGCGTGAGCCACCCCGCCCAGCCAAGCCCGCCTTCTCTTAATTTACCTTTTCATTCTTCTTTCCTGATAGTTTTGACGTGAACTGTTCGGACCCTCAGTGCTACCTGATAGAAAACTGCATTCCAGGAAAGGAACACAGCTGTGCAGTGAGTGGGGGGGTTTCGGAGCTAAAAAGCTGGACATAAGCCTGAAGTCAGAATACTCAGTTTGTTTTGGGAGGGGTAAAATGCTTTACTATCCTTGCTGCATTGTTAGCCTGGTAATTAACTATACAAACGTAAAGGCCAAATTCTTTGCCTACTACCAGGGTCAGTCAGGCTCGCTTTGGTCAAGTACACCCAGCCAAGGGTGGCAACGTCCTTGGTTCTGTGAGAGACCTTCCCGCAGAGTCAGAGGCTTCTCTTCTTTATTGTGCACCCTCTGCTGGTTAGTGTGATACAGTGAGCTCAGAGAAAAGGCGCATACGACTTACTAGAGATAATTTTATACCCAGTAATGTTTCCTTAAAAGTGTTAACTTGAAGATTATACCTGTGGAGCTGGGATGTGGTGCTCAGGAAGAATATAAGTAGTCAGCATTGTAGCAGTTGAGTCTCAGTGGTAATGGAAATGAGGAAGGTTGAAGGATAATAATAGTTACCATTTGGGGCTTGGTAGTTATTTTGTGCCAGGCACTCACTGTGCTAAGCAACTTTACCTTCACTGACTCATTTAATCTTTAAAACAACCCTACAAGGTAAGTACTATTATTCTATTTCATGGATAGGAAAGTGAGACTCAGAGAAGTTAGGTCACCTGTGTGAGATTATACAGCCAGGCTAATAAATAGAGCCAAGACCCAAACCTAGGCTTATCTCTGAGCTCCCACATGTAACCACTATGATAATTTTCTTTCTTGAGATATCCTTGGCACAATTTCTGGGCTGATGTTTCCTCAACTCATACTATTATCTCTCACTTTCAAAATTCCCCTGCCATTTCAAAGACAAAAAACAAATTAGATGTAACCATGCCTCTGAAATGTATTATCTCACCTACAGGAGTCTGATCTGTGAAAACCTAGAAGGTTTGTTAAGACTCTTGCCAACATGTGCTCTCCTGCCAGTCCCAAAATCCTATACAGGAACCCCCGGTTCCTCAGGTTAGCTTTTCTGCAGCTTCATCACCAGCAGCAGAGTGATGTGTTCTGTGATGTCCTTCTGCAGGCAGAAGGTAAGAGAGTGGTCGGAATTCAACTGAAAACTCACCATAGAATAAGATAAAATGAGTTCAGAGCCAGAGGGTAAAGGACAAAATCAGCAAAATATTACTGCCTATGACCACTGTAAACTATTTGGTAAAGGGCTGTTTGTTTCTAGGACAATTACTACTGTTTTCAAGAGTGAAATTGTGACTTTGCTTCTTTCTCTTAAATAATGAATCTAATTGTAAAGTTTTATAAGCAGATACATTCTATATAACATGGATAATATTCCAATGGGATGGTTGTGAAGATTAAGAGTTAATGTGGGTAAGCACTTAGAATAGTGCTTTTAATATACTAACCACAATATGTGTTAGATGATACTATTATGTTTTCTTTTTGAGAGTCTCACTCTCTTGCCCAGGCAGGAGTGTGGTGGCACAATCACAGCTACCTGCAACCTCCACCTCCTGGGTTCAAGTGATTCTCATGCCTTAGCTTTCTCAAGTAGCTGAGATTACAGGCATGCGCCACTACGCCCAGCTAACTTTTGTATTTTTAGTAGAGATGAGGTTTTGCCATGATGGCCAGGCTGGTCTCAAACTCCTGGCCTCAAGTGATCCACCCGCCTGGGCTTGCCAAAGTGCTGGGATTATAGGCGTGAGCCACCACGTCCGACCCTTTTCCCATTTTCTTTTTTGTTGTTGTTTTGTTTTTGAGACAGAGTCTCTCTCTGTCTCCCAGGCTGGAGTGCAATGGCACGGTCTCAGCTCACTGCAACCTCCACCTCCCGCGTTCAAGCGATTCTGCCGCCTCAGCCTCCCGAGTAGCTGGGACTACAGGTGCGTGCCACCACACCCGGAAAATTTTTTGTATTTTTAGTAGAGATGGGGTTTCACTATGTTGGCCAGACTGGTCTCGAACTCCTGACCTCATGATTCACCTGCCTCAGCCTCCCAAAGTGCTGGGATTACAGGCGTGAGCCACGTTGCCCGGCCTGCTTAATTTATTTAATCTTCAAATTGATGACTTTTGTTGTTTGTTGCTAGAACTAAAAATGTATAGGTTATTTCCACCCCTTCACTTCACACTGGAAATGTTAATTCAGCATAAAGTAGACCCTGATATATAATGTACAAGGCCCAAGATTAGGAGTCAGAGTTACTAAGTAGATCCTGATATATAAAGGCCCAAGAAATGGGCAGGTAACTTCATCTCTCTGGGGCTCAATGTCTTCATTTATAAAAAATAATTATGATAACCAATATTGTATACCACTCTACAGTTTGTGGATTACATACAGTATAGTGTCTCATTTGATTTTTTTTTTTTTTTTTTTTTTTTTTTTGAGATTCTTGCGCTGTCGCCCAGGCTGAAGTGCAATTGCGCGGTCTCAGCTCACTGCTGTCTCCGCCTTCTGGGTTCAAGCGATTCTCCTCCCTCAGTCTCCTGAGTAGCTGGGATTACAGGGATATGCCACCACACCTGGCTAATTTTTGTATTTTTTAGTAGAGACCGGGTTTCACCATGTTGGCCAGGCTGGTCTTGAACTCCTGACCTCAGGTGATCCACCTGCCTTGGCCTCTCAAAGTGCTGGGATTACAGGTGTGAGCCACACACCCGGCCATGTCTCATCTGATTCTAACAGTCTTGTAAGAGAAGCCTTAGCTATATGGTTCCAATTCTACATATGAATGAGTTGAGGACTACAGTTAAGTGATTTGCCTGCTGCTTCTCTTAGTAAGTGCAGAGTTGAGATTGACTATTTAATTCCAAATAAAGAAAAAAGTATCAGTTGCCTGTTGTATGCTAAACACTGCTACCGTGGTCATACAAAAGTTCCTCTTCTTAAGGAAATCTTATAAGGGGAAGACATTCAAAAATCCAGTGCATTCAAGTAACTGTGCAATATATTAAAAATATAATTGGGTAAGTCATAGGCAGACTTAGGAGGATAAAAAAGAAACATCCTTCACAGACTTGAGGAGACTGGGAGACAAGGGTTAGGGAACTTTTCTTGGAATAACCCCTTAGGTGAGATCTGAAAGACAAACAAGTGGGAGGAAGCAGGGATTTTTCCTGGCAGACAGCAGCACGTATACAGGTTCAGAGATGTGACCACGGGTTTGTTCGTTATTATTAGAGCAGACTATAAAACATGTATTGACCAGAGAGGAAAAGAGAAATTAGTAAACATGTGAGGTCTGAAGTGTCATACAAAGGAAGTAGGTATCTCAGGACACTGGGAGACATACTGAACAGTTTTACGCAGGAGGTTATAATCTAATACCTGCTTTAGAAACAACATTCAGCTTGTTGTTTAGAAACAACATTCAGCCATTATTGGTTACTGAGCCTAGATAGGCAGCTGTTTCATAATCCAGGAGAGAGGGGATGATGATGACCTGAATTAAGGCATTGAGAAGATAAAAATATGAGCTATTAAAGAGAGTTTACAAAAGTTGCTGAAGTGGTTAAGGGCATAGACTCTGTAGCCAGACTTTCTGGCTCAAATTCTTTTTTTTTTTTCTTTTTTTTCTTTTTAGAGACAAGGTCTCACTGTTTTGCCCAGGTTAGTCTCAAACTCTTGTGCTCAAGTGATCCTCCCGCCTCAGTCTCCCAAAGTGCTAGGATTACAGGTTTGAGCCACTGTGCCCGGCCTTGAATTCAAATCTTGTCCCTGCTACTTTGCAGTTGTAAGCATGTTACTTAACTATGCCTCAGTTTACTCATTTATAATAACAGTAGCTACTTTACAGAGTTACAGTGAAGATTAAATAAATTAATATTGGTAAAACACTTAGAACAATGCCTGATGGAACATAATGACTCAACAAATATTAGCTTTAAAAAAACCTGATACTTAATTAGAGGCTGGGCACAGTTGCTCATGCCTATAATCTCAGCACTTTGGGAGGCCAAGGAAGGAGGATCACTTGAGGCAAGGAGTTCAAGACCAGCCTAGGCAATGTACTGAGACCTTGTCTCTAAAAAATAAAAACAGCCGGGTGCAGTTGCAATCCCAGCACTTTGGGAGGCCAAGGCAGACAGATTGTTTTAGCCCAGGAGTTTGAGACCAGCCTAGGCAATATGGTAAAACCCTGTTTCTATTAAAAAATACAAACAATTAGCTGGCTGAGGTGGTATATGCTTGTAGTCCCAGCTACTCAAGAGGCTGAGGTAAGATAATCACCAGAGCCCGGGAGGTTGAGGTTGCAGTGAGCTATGATTGTGTCACTGTGCTCCAGCCTGGTTGGCAGAGCAAGACCCTGTCTCAAAAAAACAAAACAACCCTGGCCAGGCGTGGTGGCTCATGCCTGTAATCCCAGCACTTTTGGAGGCCGAGGCAGGTGGATCACCTGAGGTCAGGAGTTCAAGATCAGCCTGGCCAACATGGTGAAACCCTGTCTCTACTAAAAATACAAAAATTAGCCAGGCGCGGTGGCAGGCAACTGGGAGGCTGAGGCAGGAGAATCACTTGAACCCAGGAGGCGGAGGTTGCAGTAACCTGAGATCGCACCATTGCACTCCAGCCTGGGCCACAGAGTGAGACTCCGCCTCAAAAAACAAAAACAAAAACAAAAACAAAAAACCCTGATACTTAATTAGATGTGATGGGTAAAGGAGGGAAAATTAAAAATGACTTCTGGTTTTCAAGCTCAGGCAACTGGGTGAATATGATGCCTTACTTTGAAGTAGAAAATGAGAGAGGTTTTTTGGGGTGGGGAATAAGTTCATTTTCTGGAAAAGTTGCATTGAAGGTGCTTGTGAGGCATATATGTAGACATGCCAGCTGTGGTATGTTTACTCCCTCAGGAAAGAGATCTAGGCAGAGGTATGGATCTGGGAATCATCAGCAAGCCTTTTGTAATTAAAGCCATGGAAGAAACAAAGTGAGATTGCCTGGGAAGTACCCATTAAATGAGGTGGCTCAGAACAGACCACTGCCTGGTAGGCAGTGGGTAGAGCACAGCAGATCATCCACCTCCATAGCTCTTTCTGTTAGACCACAAGTTGCTTCTATAAAAGTTTTTGAACTCTTGTGTGAGTCAATAAAATTAAATTCAGCAAGAATGATGATCCTTTATTTTGTGTCAGGCACTGAATATATCTCAGTGAGAAAGACAGACGTGGTCCTTGTCCTCACAGAGTTACAGCCTAGTGAAGGAGATGGATAATTACAATACAGATAGCTAAGTGCCATGATAGCTACAGAGTACCTCTGCCCAGGAACACCTAACTCAGACTTGTGGTGGGGTGGAGGAAGGCTTTTTTTTTTTTTTTTTTTGGAGACAAGGTATAACTGTGTTCCCCAGGCTAGCCTCAAAGCCCTGGACTCAAGCAATTCTCCTGCTTCAGCCTACCTAACAGTTGGGATTTCAAGCATGTGGCACTGCACTCAGCCCCAGGAGGCTTTCTGAAGGAAGTGATGACAAAGGTAGATTTTGAGAATAAAGAAACAAGGTAGCGGGCTGGACACGGTGGCTCACGCCTGTAATCTCAGCACTCTGGGAGGCCGAGGCGGGTGGATCACCTGAGGTCAGGAGACCGGCCTGACCAACAAGGTGAAACCCCGTCTCTACTAAAAATACAAAAATTAGCCGGGTGTGGCAGCATGCGCCTGTAATCCCAGCTACTCGGGAGGCTAAGACAGGAGAATTGCTTGAACCCGGGAGGCAGAGGTTGCAGTGAGCTGAGATTGCACCACTGCACTCCAGCCTGGGCAACCAAGCGAGACTGTCTCAAAAAAAAAAAAAAAAAATAGCTAGGCAAAAGGTAATGGCAGAAGGTTCCAGGCAGGCAGAAGAATAATTTTTTTCTTTTACTTGAAGTCCCATGGAAGGAAAATAAAAGAAGGGGCAGTACATTTGGGTAGTAATGTCTATGCTTAGCCCATGAACATGCCAGTCTACCTGATAACAAAAGTATTTGGGTTTCCCTTCAGGTGAGGCAGTTCCAGCTCACTGCTGCATCCTGTCAGCTTGTAGCCCCTTCTTCACAGAGCGCCTGGAGCGGGAGAGGCCAGCTCAGGGTGGGAAGGTGGTGCTAGAGCTGGGTGGCCTGAAGATCAGCACACTTAGGAAGCTGGTGGACTTCTTGTATACCTCAGAAATGGAAGTATCTCAAGAAGAAGCCCAGGATGTGCTATCTGCTGCCCGTCAGCTCCGTGTGTCTGAGCTGGAATCCCTTCAGCTTGAGGGTGGAAAGTTGGTGAAGGCCCCACAGGGCCGAAGGCTGAACCGAGAGTGCTTACAACCAACAAGTGCTGCACCAATCTCTGCCAGAGTGGTGACACCCAGCCACCACCCTCACACCCCACTGCCCACTAATCAAACTCCTTGTCCTCTTGGGGCAATAAGATTGAAGTCCTTGGGGAAGGAAGAGGGGCCCCAGGAAAACAACCGACAGAATGCAGACAATTTGTCTGGCACTCTTCTGCTCAAGAGGAAGGCCAGAGCCTGCCCAACTCCACAAGAAAAAAACTCTTCACCATCAAGCCATAGTCAAGAGCCTAGAGAGAACAAGAATGACACTGCCCTTGATCCTACAGTGCTCTCCCCACCCAGCTTGTACCCCTCTGTGGACAAACACCTGTTGCCCAGAAAGATCAGGCTCAGTCGCTCAAAGCCATCTCCTGGTATCTGTACATCAAAGCCTTCCAGCATTTTAAGTGGATCTAGCTCAGTGCCTGCAACCCCTGGCCGGCGTCTTTGGCGGCAGAGGAGTGTAAATAAAGAAACACCAGAGGACAAGCCAAAACCAGGCAGAGCTAGTCCTCTGCAGAGCACCCCAAACCCATCTGGTCTGGGAAAGACAGGTGGGAGCAGGAAGCGGAGCCCTGAAGTCAGGGCACCTAACTCAGACTCTGCAGAGGAGGGGCAGGTTGGGAGAGTTAAACTTAGGAAGATTGTCAATGGGACTTGCTGGGAAGTGGTACAAGAGACTCCTCTCAAAAACACTCAAGATAGCCCCCAGATCCCAGATCCCGGAGGAGACTTCCAAGAGCCTTCAGGAACTCAGCCATTCTCCAGTAATGAGCAGGAAATGTCACCTACTAGAACAGAACTGTGTCAGGACTCCCCCATGTGCACTAAGCTACAAGACATTCTGGTCTCTGCTAGCCACTCCCCAGACCACCCAGTGGTGAAGTCAGAGTTTGAGTCCAGTCCAGAACTGGTAGAGAAGGAACCTATGTTGGCTATTGACTGCAGAGAACCCTATGCATTTGACACAGCTCTGCTGGAGCAGCCCTGTGAGGCTGAGGAGTACCGAATCACAAGTGCTGCTGCCACCAGTGAGCTGGAGGAGATCCTGGACTTCATGCTCTGTGGCTCAGACATTGAACCACCTATAGGGTCTCTGGAGAGTCCAGGGGCTGAGGGCTGCAGAACGCCTACCTACCATCTGACAGAAACAGGAAAGAACTGGATTGAAGGGGAAGAATGGTGTCTACCAGACATGGAACTCTGGCCCAGGGAGCTCACAGAATTGGAAAAGGAACCTGCTGGTGAGAACAGAGGGCCAACTGAGCTCCTTAGCCCCCTTGTCATGCCCTCTGAGGTGAGTGAAGTGCTTTCAGTAGGAGGCCGTTGGACACCAGACCTTGAAATTACCAGCTCCCAGCCACTGGATGGTCAGGAAGACAAACTTCTCCATGTCAGCTCCCTTGATACTCCCCAGAGGTCTTATGGGGACCTCTCACCTCCCTGCTCAAACTGGGTGGAGACTGGGCTGGAAGTCTCCTTGACTACAGATGAGTTATTATACCCTTCTCCCAAGGCAGGCAAGGAGGTATCTGGTCACTCTGAACTACTAGGCTCACTTCCTGCCAGCTCTGAAGAGGAAGAGATTGATGTGGTGGACTGGACAGCAGAGGGGAGGCTGGTACCCACTACTGTTCCCTCCGTGTGGCCTGACCCTTCCTCAGAGTCAGAAACAGAGGTAGATATACTAACATAGTGGAGAGGGGAGGGCAGGTTAGGGGCCTTGGGAGGGTGGGAAATGTTAGCTAGCAAAAGGCTTACTGGCAGAGAAGCTGGCACGTGCCCTCAGCACAAGAGGCAGGTGTACCCTGGCTCTTTGTAGGTCCCTTCCTCCCTTCCCTAAGCCTCAGAAGCCAGGCAGAAGCCAAGGGTACCATAGATAGAAAATTATGAACTTGTACCATCTTATTTGTAATCTATTTTCCGGTTAGTGACAACTGAAACAAACTGTGTGCTCCCCAATTCTGGTGGGTCATAGGTAACAGCCAAGGCCAGATCTCTCAGGTCATAAGGCATCCAGTCACTGGTAATTTAGGAAAAGCTGAGAAAGAACACCCTCCTCTGTGGTGGGGTATTGTTTAAGAAAATGTTCCAGAGGAAGGTGTGAAGCAGTGTTGGGTGGAATACTAAGTGGGTGGGAGTGATGGATGCTGTCCAGCACCCAACGTGGGGCTTATTCACTGCCAGTATTAGGAAGTCTAGCTAAAACCTCTGCAGGGGCCAAGAAGATGTACTTCCATCATTACTTCCAAAAAGTAAGTTGAAAAAGATACAGTTGCTTTTTTAAAAAATAAATTATTTACTTTGCTCCCATAATTTTTACAAGTATTTCTCATGTTTTACCAGAGATCATAAAAGTTGCAGGTCAGGCCAGGTGCGGTGGCTCATCATGCCTGTAACCCCAGCACTTTGGGAGGTCAAGGCAGGCATATCACTTGAGGTCAGGAGTTTGAGACCAGCCTGGCCAACATGGTGAAACCCCGCCTTTACTAAAAATAAAAATAAAAAAATTAGCCAGGCGTGGTGGTGTGCACCTGTGATCCCAGCTACTCAGGAGACTGAGGCAGGAGTATCGCTTGAACCTGGGAGACAATGGTTGCAGTGAGCCGAGATAGCACCACTATACTCCAGCATGGGTGACAAAGTGAGACTCTGGCTCTTAAAAAAAAATTTTTTTTTAAAAGTTCCAGGTCACATGGCTATCTTGGGCTATGAAAAACACAAGGACTACCAACTCCACAAGGCTGGCTTTGTCCATCCCTTAAGATTAAGTTTTACTCTATTACTCAAATACTTTATTTCAACTTTTATTAAACCAAATCCAGTAACTTTTACAATGCCTTACTAGAGGGTTGCCTCATAACTGAACCTTCATTTCTGGCAGGGAAGAAACCATGGCTTCAGGATCATGACTGAAGTTTGGCCATGTTCCATCATTAATGTTCCAACATCACCAGGGACACAAAGCTGCAAAAATGAGAAGGGAAATAAGGTTAGAGAAAGGATCTGGGCAATCTTAAGGACTGAGGAAGACATGTTCCCCAACCCTTGAACTCACAAACCCTGAAGCTCAAGGATTGCATCCTTCCTCCAAATCTCACTCAACATAATAAGTGCAGAACAACATGCCAAAGCACTGTATGAAGCACTAGGGACAAAGACAAGGTCAAAATCCTTGTAACCAAATTTAATGGTATTGTAATGCAGTGTTAACACAGGACAGTAACAGAACACCCAAGAACCAAACAGAAGAGGGTAGGGATAAGCATAAATGAAGTAACATGAAATAAACTTCCAAATGGAAAACTTGTCCATACCCCCAGGGCAAGTCAACTACAGTCTCCCAAAGGACATAAATTCCACTTAGGGCACACTAGACAGAAAACAATATTGTGTCTTTTTTTTGTTTTTTGTTTTCAAATAGGGTCTCCCTGTGTTGGCCATCCACTCCTGCCTCGACCTCCCAGAGTGCTGGGATTGCAGGCGTGAGCTACCCACGCCAGGTGGGTACTTGTAGCCACACCAAGATCAATGCCTTCTCTTCCTCAACAGCGGTCGCGCCCCCCACTTCCCATTTCAAACCTCAGCATGAGGGCTTCTACCCAAATCTCCCTACGACAGGTACTTCTTCAACTCTTCCACCACCTCTTGAGGCTCAGGGAATTTGAGTTTGCGTGGGGGCCCCTTCTTAATCCCAGTCCAGAGCTCCGCACCTGAAAGGCCAGAATGAAGCGAAGTTACAATACTTCGGAACCCACGAGCACGTCTCTGAAGTCATGAGACTGCCGTGGTTTCTAAGAATAGCGCTTCCTGTCTTCGGAACCCACGTCCCTTTCACCCACGTCCCTCTCCCCCACATCCAGGTCCCCACTTACTGCTGCCGTCCGGGCGCAGCAGCGTCACCTCGAAGCTGCCCCTCCGGGGCTTCGTCGGGTTCACCTTTACTGGAAGCTCTGGGGCCTCCAGGCGCAGCGCCTGGCTCAGGGCCGCGGCGTTGCGCCCATAGACGCGTCAGCTAGTGCTAGGGAGAGACGGAGAGGTTAGAAACCGGGGCCCCTGGCCCCCCCCGGCGCCACTGTTCCCTCTCTCCCGTTACTCTCCAGGCCCCTCACCAATGCTCGATAACAACGGTCGCCTCCTCCATTCCCTCCCCGCCGTTCGCCAGCTTCTCTCGCTTCTCGGCTACGGCGACCACCGCGGCCTCAGCCTTACGCTTCCTCCCGCGGGGAGCCATGGCGCCTAGAGCCCGGCCGAGAATGCAGCGGGACTGGTGGGTGGGGGGCGGAGACGCGACCACTGAGCGGAAACTGGGCAACGAAGAGCGCAGCCCGGAAGCTCTGCTCCTACAGCGGAAACCTCTCTCAAAGGAAGGGAAAGCTTGGCCCGCAGCACCCACGTGGCCTGGAGGCGGACCTTGGGGCACAACCACTTTGCAAGCAGGGAGCGGGAAGGTGCGGGAAGCGCCTGACGGAACCACCCATCGCTTCGGGTGGAGGGGACAGGGGACGCTGGGATGGTGAACACAGCAGGAAGGGGCGGAGACTAGGTCCGACTGCTAGCCTCGCTTCGCGCAATCTTTTCTGTACCTTTGCATGGCGCTAAATGTTGTGTGCCACCATCTGCCGCCAAACTCTCCTCCCTGGCAACCGCAGGCCAATCCCAGAGTAAACCCACCACCTAACAACATGTGGCCGCTATTCTAGATTTATGGAAACTAGACTTCTCCAACTCTTGCCAGTCCTGGGGATCAATGCCCGGCATTTGGTGAAACCAAATAGGATGGCCTTTGCCCTTAAGATGGGCAATTCCTCTGCAGTTGTCAGGCTTTTCTAATACAGAAACACACAAACGCGCAATCAAAAGGAAATCCCAATCTTTTTATTACGGAAAGCCATCAACTGGGTGTGGGGAGTATGTCAGAGGGTTAGTGAAAGTCCAGGGGATTTCTCCTCCAAGTCCTACCACACAAAGGAAAGTCTCAAGCCTCTATTCACCCCTTCTCAATCCCCACAAAATAGGGGGTTGTTCAATATTGTCTTCAATGATAAAAACTTTGTGGTTAAAGGTTTCTCCTTAGGACTAGCGACAAAGTTAGGCTTATACTTTTAATGAAGACCATAAACGAAGCCAGAAGGGCTTAAGGAAGCAAGAGTCCTTGGGGGAAAATTCTTAGCGTTCTATACCCCAGCATCTTACCTTAGGGTTAAATCTAGGTCTAACCAAGCTGTGCAGGTCAACTAAGAAGGAATGATGAAACCACAGAGTTTCATGGAGAAACCATGGAGATGTCTGAATAGCTGATAAGCAGTTAACACACTGACCCAAGCTTGGAGGGAAACCATTTCCCCCTCCGTCCTATGAGATCTCTTTCTTGCTCCAGTGAAACAGTTGGCCACAGCATGGCAGGCCTTCCTGTAGGGTGCCTGACAATTCCCTAGATGCCTCTTTAAAATCAGAAGCTGCATGCTGCCCCACCCAGTCACAGCCAAAGGGAAAACATAAATAAAAGGCTGCAGCCTCAGGCTTGTGGTTATGGAAAGAGCCTGGAATTGACAGGAGAGGAAGCACTGCCAAAGTGAGGATCTTATTTATCCTTCTTGTTTTCCCCATCTGACACTGTGGTGGGGGTTGAAGCCACAGGCTGCTCCTCAGGGATATTGTCTCCAGCCTTTGATAGTTTCTTGGCCCGCTGGTATAGCTCATTTAAGTTAAATTCTCGGATCACATTCTCCTGCACAAAAGAGATGCACACGTCAGGATCTGGGTTGGAAGGGAGAGTAAAGAGCCTGGGAAGTAAGAGGTATTTTACACAAAGTCTGGGAAAGGAAGGAGTAAGCAAAGGACAAAAATCTTCCCTAACCTTCCTCTTTTTTAGGTACCCAGAAAAGTCAACTAATAGTTAAATACCCATTATGTGCCAATCACCGTGCCAAGAATTATACCTAAATTATTTAATGTAATCTGCAAAACAACCCTGTAAGCCAGGGGTTATTACCTCCAATTAACTGACAGGGAACCTAACACCTACAGACAATAGGTGCAGTGGCCTTCGAGACAGAATCTTTTTTTTTTTTTCCTGATGGAGTCTCTTGTTGCCCAGGCTGGACCGCAATGGTGCAATCTCAGCTCACTGCAACCTCCACCTCCCGGGTTCAAGCGATTCTCCTGCCTCAGCCTCCCAAATAGCTGGCATTATAGGCATGCGCCACCACACTCGGCTATTTTTGTATTTTTAGTAGACACGGGGTTTCTCCATGTTGGTCAGGCTGGTCTCAAACTCCTGACCTCAGGTGATCTGCCAGCCTCGGCCTCCCAAAGTGCTGGGATTACAGGCGTGAGCCACCGTGCCTGGCCTGAGACCAAATCTTAACTAATGATTGTTACCCAGTACTAGCAGGTCTGCACATAATATATATTTGCTAAATGAATTAAAACATGAGGTCTAGTAACTAGTCCACACCCTCAAAGCTAATGGGCAAGTGGCAGAGCTGTGAATCAAACCCGGGTAGGGCTTGAAAGCCCACCTACTGTTCTGCACCCTTCATGCACCTGCCCTTCCTTTCAGGTACCTCAGAGAAGGTCCATGAGACAGCCCGTCCTTTCTTGTCAATCTGTGGCCGCCGCATTGCCTCCTTGCCACCTTGGAACAGGATCAGGGTAGGGAGTTGCTTGGTGAGGGGTGATGTGCTCACTTTGTACCTGCAGGGCCCAGAAAGTTCTCTAAATGTCCCTGTATGTATCACTCAAAGTGATTTCCCTGCTCAGACCCTCTGCCCAGGTCTTTACATACCGCGTACTAACATCAGTATAGCGTCCAACATCCACCTTCCCAAAATTTAGCCCTGTACAGTTGTATCTGAAAAGAATATATTATTTAATATGCTGAAAAAAAATAATGGATCAAGGAAAGTGGAAGTATAGATATTTAAGAGGGGAGAGGGAGATGCCTTTGGTTACCATGTGTGAAAATCAAGGCCAAAAGAAAAAGAAAAGCCAAAAACAGTGAGAGGGAAGGCACAGCATCTCCATTTCCACCATCCCTCCCTTTGCACTACTCACTTAAGGGAGAGGTCAGCATAGATAGGGGCAAATGATTGGCAGTCATTAGACCAATTGGCAAAGAACTCCACAATCCAAGTGACCCTCTTGTCCCGTTCTAGTTCCTCCTGCCAAATACAGGGAAGAAAAGTCAGCTGGATCCACATAGCCTCCTGGGAAGGTTCAGACTTTAGCATCTAATTCCTCATCCTGGTGTTCCCTCTCCCCCGGCTCTCATAATGAACCACAGTGCCCGTGACATCCATTTTGAAGCACTGTTGTTCCTCCTAGTGAATGGAGAGCACAACTACAAAATCACCCACAAGGGACCCAAGAAACAGAAAGGGGAAAGAGCACTCACATCAATGGTTTTATCATTGAAGTACTTGATATACTCAGGGCCCATATATAGGGGGGGTTTGCACGTCATCAGGAACACTAAATACAGAAAGAAGATGTCGAAGGAAACATAAAAAGCCTTACACAGGGAATTTACTTCCAAACCAACCCAAGGATTTCAGCCCCCAAATAATACACACTTGTGGATATATGTAGACCACCAACACATTCCCTACCTCTACAATAACAGTCTCTGTAAACTGTTATCATCTGAGCTACATATATAATTCATTAGGTATGAGATATGGAAGAAGGGTATGGAGAAACATGTTTGGGATTGCAACTGTTGGGACTGTGGTTTCCACAATCAAGTCTATCAACACAGTCTTACAAAAAAAAAAAAAGAAAGAAAGGCAGTCTCCTCACCTATGCAGAGTGTGATGTAAAGTAGGCCCATGCGAATATCCAAGCGGAAGAAAAGAATTGTGTTGGCCACTTTACTAAACATGAAAATGTTGCCTATATGTTGCTCCACAGTGACTGAAACACAGAGATGTCACAGGTCAGGCTGGGCTGTGCACTCCTATATCCCATTCTTTGTCCCTCTTCATGGGGCACTTTGAAATAGGAGACAGGGAGGGGATAGAAGTCCAAGTTCAAATTCAGCCTTGGAATTAAACGTAGGACAAATTTACCAAATGATTGCCACTCTCTTAACATGAAGCAAAGCACCTCCAAAGGGCATTAGATCTAACCTTGAGTCTGAGAAGTGAACTAAACTTACTGGATCTGCGGTTCTTCATCATCACAATGGCACTGAGAAACATCAGGATCTCCACTTCTCTCTGGAACAGAATCGAAGTATTATAACAGGAATGCAGTGACTAGAGCTAACTTAGGTGGGAAAGGGAACTAAATATGTAATAAAAACCAATAGCGATCCAAACTGGGAATGGGAACAATAAAGAACTGCAGTTAGGTAAGGTGTACGGGGATAAACATCAGTCAGAAGACCTGGATTCAGGTTCTACTCCTGCCACAAACTTGCTGGTGCTTTTCTTTTTGAGACAGAGTTTCACTCTTGTTGCCCAGGCTAGAGTGCAATGGCGCGATCTCGGCTCACTGCAACCTCCGCCTCCCAGGTAGCTGGGATTGCAGACATGCGCCACCACACCCGGCTAATTTTTTTATTTTTAGTAGAGACAGGGTTTCACCATGTTGGCCAGGCTGGTCTCAAACTCCTGACCTCAGGTGATCCACCAAAGTGCTGAGATTACAGGCACGAGCCACCGCGCCAGGCCTGCGGTGCTTTTCAACAAAGCACTTAATCCCTTAGCTTTGGTTTCCTCAACTGAACAGTATCTATTTCAAAATGCTACTGGGGGATTAAATGAGATAACAGATTAAAAAGAGTTGTATAAAGCATGATATGGTATAAAATCGTAAGATTATTAATATCAACTCAATGTGACGCTGGTAGAATAAAACTTTTCCAGGTAAGTTTTCTTGATAATAGCCCATTAATATAATATCTAGCTATTCCACATGTTTAATTTTTTTTTTTTTTTTGAGACAGTCTTGCTCCATCGCCCAGGCTAGAGTGCAATGGTGTGATCTCAGCTCACTGAAACCTCTGCCACCTGGGCTTGTGTTTCTCCTGACTCAACCTCCCAAGTAGCTGGGACTACAGGCGCACACTACTGTACCTGGCTAATTTTTGTATTTTTTGTAGAGACCGGGTCTCCCCATGTTGCCCGGGCTGGTATGGAACTCCTCAGCTCAGATGATCCGCCCGCCTCGGCCTCCTAAAGTGCTGGGATTACAGGTGTGAGCCACCGAGCCCGGCCCCCATTACTTAATCATTCCTCCCCACCCAATATGCATCGTGATAATCCATGTACTTTTGATATAATTTGAGAGCTGAAAGGGGCTTTCAGAGCTCTCAAAAAGCCCTTTTCAATACTCGTCTTACAGTTTTCTCACCTTCTAGAACAACCTTCTTGTCCAACCTGTGGCTCACATGCAGCCCAGGATGGCTTTGAATGGGGTCCAACACAAATTCATAGACTTTCTTAAAACATTATGAGACATTTTTGATTTTTTTTTTTTTTTAGCTCATCAGCTATCATTAGGTGTTAGTGTATTTTATGTGTGCCCCAAGACAATTCTTCCAATGTGGCCCAGGGAAGCCAAAAGATTAGATAACCCTGTTGTAGAATGTAACCACCAAGTGAGCAAGTGAGACAGACAATAAACATGACAAAGACACTGAGAAGTAATAGAATTCTAAGCCCTGAAGTGACTGAACAGACTCCTTCTTGACTAAGGGGACCCCAGAGAAACCTTGAAAACTGAGTTCTCGGCCATAACAGGGTGTGAGGTCAGACACATCTCTTTATACCCCCTCCTTCACTTACCAACATTAGGCTTTCTTAAACAGAAAGTTAAACAGAAACCAGCCCTCTGAAAAGACTTGCTCCACCTGACATCAACCAACTGCCTGACACTGCCCCTCCCTTTTGCAGTTAGGACAAAACAACTAACCAGCATTGCTTCCTGATAAGAGACCAGTGACCATGCAGTGGATCTGGCCAGGCTAAGGAGAATGCATAGTTTCTGTGTCCTCTGCTTCACCTTTTGACTTGAGAGGGCTGAAAACTCCACCTCAGATCATGGTTAACATTGCCACTTTTGAACATGGGTCTTATGGACAGATATGAAGCTCAACTGAGCATGCACGTGTTTCTCCTTTCATAAATATTCATGACTCTGCCGATAGCTTATTAAATATGTATATTTGGCCACCCTGCTTAGCATAAACTCCTGTTTCCTTTACCCCTCACTCCAAGTGTCTGTTTTTAGCTTCTGAGCGGAGGCTATGCTTCCCTGCCTGACAGGATAGCCAGCAGGTTGCAACTTTTTATGAGAAATAAAGCTCTCCTGGCCGGGTGCTGTGGCTCAAGCCTGTAATCCCAGCACTTTGGGAGGCTAAAGTGGGTGGATCACCTGAGATTAGAAGTTCAAGACCAGCCTGGTCAACATGGCAAAACCCCGTCTCTACTAAAAATACAAAAAAATTAGCCAGGCACGGTGGCATACGCCTGTAATCAAAGCTACTCAGGAGGCTGAGGCAGAAGAATCGCTTGAACCCGGGAGGCGGAGGTTGCAGTGAGCCGAGATCGTGCCACTGCACTCCAGCCTGGGCAACAGAGTGAAACAACGTCTCAAAAAAAAAAGAAAAGAAAATAGGGGTGAGGGAGCATGACAGACTTTGTAAATATTATACCTGAGGCAGAAATTAGGAAAGATTTTTTCTTTTTTTTGAGACGGACTCTTGCTCTGTTGTCCAGGCTGGAATGCAGGGGCATGATCTCGGCTCATTGCAACCTCCGCCTCCCAGGTTCAACCGATTCTCCTGCCTCAGCCTCCCGAGTAGCTGGGACTACAGGTGCCCACCACCACGCCCGGCTTTTGTATTTTTAGTAGAGATGGGGTTTCACCACGTTGGCCAGGATGGTCTTGATCTCTTGGCCTTGTGATCTGCCCGCCTCGGCCTCCCAAAGTGCTGGGATTACAGGCATGAGCCACCCTGCCCTGCCAGGAAAGATTTTCATGAATGAAACTAGGTGGGTTAGAATTGGGAATGAAAGTTGTGGAAAGATTAATTTTATTTATTTTTATTTTTTATTTTTTATTTTTTTTGAGATGGAGGAGTCTTGCTCTGTCGCCCAGGCTGGAGTGCAATGCCACAACCTCAGCTCAGTGCAACCTTTGCCTCCTGGATTCAAGCAATTCTCCTGCCTCAGCCTCCGGAGTAGCTGGGATTACAGGCACCTGCCCCCACGCCCGGTGAACTTTTGTATTTTTAGTAGAGATGGGGTTTCACCATGTTGGCCAGGCTGGTCTTGAACTCCTGGCCTCAAGTGATCCACCTGCTTCGGCCTCCCAAAGTGCTGAGATTATAGGCGTGAGCCACTGTGCCTGGCTGAAAGATGAATTTTAAAAGAGAGTTGTAGTTAACCAGGGGACCAAAGGTAGGACCAAAAGAAATTCTCTAAGGACAGAAAATGGTCTATGGAGGGACTAGCTATTGCTACTGCAAACTTCATTTATTTTCTTCCCAGGCATACTGCAGCTAGACTCTCTCCCTATCTCTTTGCATCCAGGTAGAACTGTGTGACTGTTACTTGAGAATGGAATGTGAATGAAAGTGATTTACCACTTCTGGGTTCAGGCAGTTAAGAAAGTGTGTGCCCTTGCAGTCCTTTTTTTTTTTTTTTTTTTTTTTTTTTTTTGGAGACAGGGTCTCTCTGTCACCCAGGCTGGAGTACAGTGGCGCGGTCTCCTCCGCCTCCCAGGTTCACGCCATTCTCCTGCCTCAGCTTCCCGAGTAGCTGGGACTACAGGCACCCGCCACCACACCCAGCTAATTTTTTGTATTTTTTAGTAGAGACCGGGTTTCTATTATTTCAGCCAGGATGGTCTCGATCTACTGACCTTGTGATCCGCCCGCTTCAGCCTCCCAAAGTGCTGGGATTACAGGCGTGAGCCACCGCACCCAGCCCGCATTCCAGCTTTTTTTCATTTGCTGGCTGGATGATGCTGGGATGACCCAAGGCCACAGGTTGAAGACAGAATGAGCCTTGGGTTCTAGGATGACTCTATAATGCAGAGCCCTTGGTTGTTCTATTTAATTGTTTTAAAACTTTTTATTATGGATAATTTGAAGCATACAGAAGAGAGGATAATTGAATGAACCCCTATTACCCAGCTTCAACAGTAACCAACATTTTGCCACTGTGATTTCCAATTCATATATGCTACCCATTTTTTTTTCTTAGAGAAACTTTAAGCAAATTCCAGCTATATCGTTTCATCTGTAAATTCCTCACTATAGGCTGGGCGCGGTGACTCACGCCTGTAATCGCAGCACTTTGGGAGGCCGAGGCGGGTGGATCACCTGAGGTCAGGAATTCAAGACCAGCCTGGCCTACATGGTGAAACCCGTCTCTACTAAAAACACACAAAAAGTCAGCCAGGCGTGATGGCGGGCACCTGTAGTTCCAGCTACTAGGAGGCTAAGGCAGGAGAATCGCTTGAACCCGAGAGGCGGAGGTTGCAGTGAGCCGAGAAAGCGCTATTGCACTCCAGCCTGGGCGACAAGAGTGAAACTCCATCTCAAAAAAAAAAAAAAAAAAAAAAAAATTCCTCACTGTGTCTTACACGAGGACTTAAAAAAAAAAACACAACCACAGTTATCACTGACACACTGTTATGCTGTGAAATATATAGTCATGTGCCGTATCATGACATTTTGGTCAGCAATAGACCACATATACAACAGTGGTCCCATAAGATTATAATACCATATTTTTATTGTACCTTTTCTGTGTTTAGATATATTTAGATACATAAATACTTACCATTGTGTTAAACTGCTTATTAGTACAGTAACATGTTGTGTAGGTTTGTGCCTGGGAGCAACAGGTTGTGCCATAAAGCCTAGGTGTGTAGTAGGCCATCTAAGTTTGTGTAAGTACACTCTATGATGCTCCCACAAGGACCATATGGCCTAAGGACACCGCATGATTAGCAGGTTAGGACTTTCAGCCCCACCCCACCCCCCACCAGGCTGAAAGTTCAGCTGATCACCAATGGCCAATGATTTAATTAGTCACACCTATGTAATGAAGTTCCATAAAAACCCAAAAGGATATGTTCCAGGAACCTTCCTGTGTTTAGCTATCTAGAAGCTCTGAGAACCTAGTCCCAATCAGCAAGGTAAATAGGTGAACCATGAATTTTCCAGAAAAACAAAAATTGGCTATTAACCCTAAGCATTTTTTAAAAATTCTATCAGAGTAAGAATATAAAACTTCCAGCATTTTGCATATTAGATAAGAGTATACAGGTAAATGAACTTTATAAAAGGTCTCCTATACTTATTAAAAATCTTTATTACTATCCACTTATATTTTGGGGTCCCATTTTCATTGAAGTGGCATCAAATATCAAATGAAAGATCCTCTGAAATAGCAAGGCTACATTTGAGCTAATTGATTATACAGTTTGGGAAAAAGAGGAAGCAGGAAAAGGAAAGAGGAAAAAAATAAGGGAGTGGGTTCTGGTAAAGGTAATGACTCATTTTGGGGGCTGGAAAAAGTACAAAAATTCTGGATGATGCGCCTTCATCTGAGCACAGATGTTGCTTATAGGCACAAAGGTAGCCTCCCCTCCACCTTCTAAAGTTTTGCTGAAAATGAGCTGACAAAAGGCAGATTGACATGAGAAAAGGAAAAATTTATCAACGCACACGGAAACACTAGTAAAAAGAAAAAGACACATGAATAAAGAGACAAAAACCACTTTTGGTCTCCTTTTCCTTTCCAAATTTAAGATTAATGGGAAAAGAACATTTGTATGATTAGTCTTAGGTGTAGCAACTTTGATATGTTTTTGGTATGAATATTCACATTGTCTGATTCTTTTTCTCCCCAAAATAGTCTTTTTCTCTTGTTATATCTTCCTGTGTTATTTTGTCATAGAGTAGGGTACCATAAAGTACAACATCAGAATAAAGCCCCTGTAAGCCTATTGGTCAAGCTGGCCCTCCAGACTGGTGGGTGAGTTTTAAAATTCTTATCAGAATGACATACAAATTGTGCTGTGGGTCCCCAAAATAAAAACCAGATGAGGTTTCCTTCTCATCTTATGTCCTTGGAAGCTCGACTTGTGACCAAGTGGGAGCTTCTTGGTCTCCACCACTTGGAGGCCTTATTTTTGGGTGAAGTCCAGTGGCCAGTGTTGACGAAAAGAGTCAAACTCTGTAAAATATTTTAAGAGATTTATTCTGAGGCAAGTATGAGTGACCATGGCCTGTGACACAGCCCTCTGGAGGTCCTGAGAATATGTGCCCAAGGTGCTCTACAGCTTGATTTTATATATTTTAGGGAAGCATAAGACATCAAATACATTGATTTAATTTTTTTGGTCTCAAAAAAAAAAAAAAAAAAAAAAAAGGCTGGGTGCGGTGTCTCACCCTTGCAATCCCAGCACTTTGGGAGGCTGAGGCGGGCAGATCACCTGATGTCAGGAGTTCAAGACCAGCCTGGCCAACATGGCAAAACTCCGTCTCTACTAAAAATACAAAAATTAGCTGGGTGCAGTGGCGCATGCTTGTAATCCCAGCTACTCGGGAAGCTGAGGCAGGAGAATCGCTTGAACCAGGGAGGCAGATGTTGCAGTGAGTGGAAATTGCACCACTCCACTCCAGCCTGAGCGAGAGTGAAACTGGATCTCAAAAAAAAAAAAAAAAAAAAAAAAAAAACAAAAAACAAAAAACGGAAAGAGTGGCACTTTTAAGATATCAATCTGAAGAATGTTAAAGGAAACACATTACAGAATTTAAAAATTTATTGAATTAAAAATAACTCAATATTTGTAATAAAATCTTGTTTTAACTAAGTTTTGTGTTAGTGCATTTTTTAAATATTAAAGACTAATCTCTAGAAAGATATGATTTTCTTTAATCATAGCCAACCGAATTATACAACCCCTTTAAAAATTCCTTCTTACTAACCGTATTATGACTTACATAGATCATTCACAATGGTTAGGCTGTTTTACCCTAAATGTCTCTCTCTCTCAAGCAACCCAGTTATTTTATTTGAGGGCAAAAATTCACTCTACAAGGTTCTTGGTTTTTTGTTTTTCTTTGAGACGCAGTTTCACTCGTTGCCCAGGCTGGAGTGCAATGGTACGATCTCGGCTCACTGCAACCTCCGCCTCCTGGGTTCAAGCGATTCTCCTGTGTCAGCCTCCCGAGTAGTTGGGATTACAGGCGCCCACCACCAATGCCTGGCTAATTTTTGTATTTTTAGTAGAGACGGAGTTTTGCCATGTTGGCCAGGCTGATCTTGAACTCCTGACCTCAGATGATCTGCCCGCCTCGGCCTCCCAAAGTGCTGGGATTACAGGCATGAGCCACCATGCCTGGCCTTTTTTTTTTTTTTTTTTTTTTTTTTTTAAAGACAGTTTCACTCTTGTTGCCCAGCCTGGAGTGCAATGGTGTGATCTCGGCTCACTGCAACCTCCACCTCCCAGGTTCAAGCGATTCTCCTGCCTCAGCCTCCCAAGTACCTGGGATTATAGGCGCCCACCACCATGGCTGGCTAATTTTTGTATTTTTAGTAGAGAAGGGGTTTCACCATGTTGGCCAGGCTGGTCTCGAACTCCTGACATCAGGTGATCCACCCACCTCGGCCTCCCAAAGTTACTGGGATTACAGGCGTGAGGCACCATGGCCACCACATGCATATATATATATATAATTATTTTTTTTTGTGGGGGGAAACGGAGTCTTGCTCTGTTGCCCAGGCTGGAGTGCAGTGGTGTGATCCTGGCTCACCACAACCTCCATCTCCCGGGTTCAAGCGATACTCCTGCCTCAGTCTTAGTAGCTGGGACTACAGTGCATGCCACCATGCCTGGCTAATTTTTGTATTTTTAGTAGAGACGGGGTTTCACCATGTTGGCCAGGCTGGTCTCAAACTCTTGACCTTGTGATCCAACCTGTCTCGGCCTCCCAAAAGTGCTGGGATTACAGGCGTGAGCCACTGCGCCCTACCCGCTTTTATATATTTTTAAGCCAATTAATTAGAGCTCTTTATATATTTTCAGTAGTGAAAATATTGTATACACACACATAAATATATAGACTTATTAGGTATGCCGATAGAAGCACATGGCATAGACTCATAACAACCTCCTTTTTGTTCCGTTTTTTAAAAATCCTACCCTAGGCAGCTGTCAGCTAAACAGCCTTAAATTTGCATATTAAAGGCAACTCAGGTGAAAATCAGATAGCAAAATTTACATCATAAGGTAAGAAGAGAAAGTCTGGTGTGCTAGAGGGAAATTAAAAGGGTTTCAATTGCCAATTGAACGTAAAATTATATAAGTCTATTATAAAGGCCTTTAAATACACACACACACAGTTCCCATAGCTATTAATTCAATACTTTTGCCATGAGACAAATACAACTTCACCGACTTGCAAAAAAACAGAGAACAGTGGTTTTTATCTCAGTCGAAAAGTAACAGCCGATCTAAAGCAGGCAGAAAAAAAAACAGAACCTAGAACTCTATAGTTTTCAGTTTGACCTTAGGACTCTTTTTTCTTAATGCAAATGTGCACAAAGACCATATTACTTCCATTTTATATCAATTCTGGCAAGTAGAGGTGCCATAAAACCTATGAAGGACCCGAAAAGGGGACATTCTCCTCATTTTCTCCTTAGTCTTAGATTTGTTTCTCGCCTTTTTTTTTTCTCCTTAGAGGAGCTGAGCTGTAGCCTAGGGTTCTTGTGTGGTGGATTGATGTGTGGTGGATTGATGCGTGCTGCTTGCAGGCAGGACTCCACAGTGTCACCACTGAGTCGTTTCTGCCCTCTTAAGTGTCTCTCTCCAGAGGTCTGTGACCTCTGAGAGGGCTCAAAACGCTGGGTGATCAGCCCTCATGTGTGTTTCCTGGATGAGCCATTTTTTAAATTAATTGTTTTTGGGGATTAATCCCTAAAGGGATTTCCCTTTAGGGCCGCTGTACGTCTTGGGGGTCAACCCCTGGACACTCCCACAAAGCCCCCAGTCACCCAGGGGCACCTTTCAGCTGGGAAGAGCAAACACCCTTTCTCTTCAGAGCTGAAAAACTCAGTCTCTATGAAAGCAACAGTTCAGTTCCTCACACAAATGGACACAGATGAACCGAATCAAGATAAATTTTAGGAGAAAAAGCAATAGAGAATTCCCTTCAGAATGCATACCCAAACTACAATCAGGATCCTTAAACAACAACTTCCTAGCAAAAAACCAGCTCAGAAAAAATCAAGAACCATCAGCCCTTGAAGGGAGGTCCGGGGCTCAGGACGACTTAACAGTTCCACCGAAGGAGAAGCTCGAACTCAGTGGGGCTTCAATGGGCCCCTGCTGGTACCTTACCTCCAGTCTCGGGCAACTCCTTTGGGGTTCTGAGTCTTCTCTGAGGCCAACGTTGGGAGCCATATTACTGTTGCCAAAAAGAGTCAAACTCACAGTGAAACCCCATCTCTACTAAAAATATAAAAAATTAGCCAGGCATGGTGGCGGGCGCCTGTAGTCCCAGCTACTCGGGAGGCTGAGGCAGGAGAATGGCGTGAACCCGGAAGGCGGAGCTTGCAGTGAGCCGAGATGGCGCCACTGCACTCCAGCCTGGGCGACACAGCGAGACTCCGTCTCAAAAAAAAAAAGAGTGAAACTCTGTAAAATATTTTCAGAGATTTATTCTGAGCCAAATATGAGTGACCATGGCCCATGACACAGCCCTCAGGAGGTCCTGAGAACATGTGCCCAAGGTGGTCTGGGTAGAGCTTAATATTTTAGAGAGGCATGAGACATCAATCAAATACATTTAAGAAATACATTGGTTTCGTTCAGAAAGGCAGGACAACTCAAAGCGGGGCTGTAGGTAAATTTAAACATTTTCTGGCAGACAATTGGTTGAGTTTGTCTAAAGACCTGGGATTCACAGAAAGGAATGTTCAGGTTATGATAAAGGATTGAGGAGGCCAAGTTTTATTGTGCAGAGGAAGCTCTCAGCGGACTTCAGAGAGAGCAGGTTGTAAATCGTTTCTTATTGGACTTAAAAGGGTGCCTAGCTCTTAGTTGATTATTTCCTGGATCTGAGAAGGAAGGAAAACAAAGGGGAGAGGGGATTCTCTACAGAATGTGGATTTTTCCCAGAAGAGACTTTGTAGGGCAATTTCAAGGTATGGGAAGGAAACAGATTTTGGGGTAAAACATTTTTAGTTTCTTCCTTGTTATGCCAGAGTCAGATAGGAAAGTAAGTCACAATAGATATCCAGGGTTAAATAAAACCCATCTGATGAGAATTTATGGTTTTTAGGGCATGATTACCCAGACCCCTTAGAAAGGAATTTGGGCAAGATAAAAAAAATCATAGCTTAGTCCTCAGTCCCCTCTCTTGGCCAAAAAGCATTCCATAGAATGTATGTGTAGACCAACAAACACCAGCAGGTCCCAACGTGCTAGGAAACCTCATTCCTAGAGTTGTCTGATTTGGCTATCTGGCAGGGTCCCACAGGACTAGGAAGGCTTGTTTCTAGAGTCCTTTGATTTGATGGTAATAGTTTTAAATATTAGCGATTTGGATAATGGGGGGAGGACATGGTCTGACCTGATGTAATAGCCAATTGTTTAAGGGGTGAAATGGAGTCAGGCTTAGTCTAAAAAAAAATCCCGGATCAGATCTATTTTCTGAGCTATTATGATCCGGGTCTTTAACTGTGCCTTTGCCTTTTGCTGTATCTGGCATAATATTTACAAGAAATGCCTAATGCTAATATAATAACAAATATCATAAAGACAGTGAAGATTTGGGCACTCAGGGTTATAGGTAGAATCTGAGGGCAGTAAACAACCCAATCAGCCAGGAAAAACCCTGCATGCATCATCTATTCTTTGAATAGACTTACAGTGTGTTTGTACTCCTTAATAAGGGTTATTTGAACCCTGTGATAAATCTTATTTGAAAATTGTGATACCAACATTAAATTAGAATGTAATAAATTTAATCTCTCTTTCCGCCAATTTATCTCCATAGGTATAGCATCCTGAGGGAGGATATAAATTAAATGGGAGAAATGCCTGGTCCTTGGTGTTTAAATTGTTACAGACTTATTAAAAGTAGAAACCTATTTTTCCCACAACTTTTGTATTGCACCATATACTGGTATTTGGGAGAAAAGGTTTTGTCACAGGAGAAGTCATATAATTCTACAGTGTTTTTTCCTTGGCAGGACTCCCTATGGCTGAGGGCCTTAAGAGTCAAAAGACTTATAGTCAATTGTTTTAGGCCATATAGGAATGGATGTGGACAGGCATTCATTACTTCTTAAAATTATTAAGTAAAAAAAAAAGCCAACAATAAACCCAAAAAACAAAGTTACAAGACTGACTTGTTTTTTTTTTAATCTTATCTTTTATGGAGATGGAGTCTGGCTCTGTCGCCCAGGCCAGAGTGCAGTGGCGTGATCTCGGCTCACTGCAACCTCCGCCTCCCGGGTTCAAGCAATTCTCCTACCTCAGCCTCCTGAGTAGCTGGGACTACAGGCGCATGCCACCACGCCTGGCTGATTTTTTGTATTTTAGTAGAGATGGGGTTTCACCATGTTGCCCAGGGTGGTCTCGAACTCCTGACCTCAGGAAATCCGCCCACCCCAGCCTACCAAAGTGCTAGGATTACAGGAGTGAACCACCACGCCCGGCAGACTGACTTATTTTTAACTTTTATGTGGAGCTACTGTAAGCTTGGTTTCTGTTACAGACTTATAGCAATTAGCTATACAAAACATAAGCATCATTCTGAGAAATAATTTAAAATATGTATATATACATATCTGTATCTGTAGATATATTTATCTTCACGACTTATAATTTGGAGTATTATACCCAGGAGGCTTTGTTCCATGGTACTTTATAATGTTAGTAAATATTTTTCCTTAATTTTATAGTAAGCAGAAAATTTTTATGGTTGGGGTGGATGCAGAAGTAACACATAATAGTTTAGAAGGCAACCAATTTTGTTTTACCAGCTGTTTGGGCATTTTTAGTACCCCCTTCTTGATTTGGAGGGTTTAATCTTGACCTTTTTTTTTTCTTCGAGATAAGAGTCTCACTCTGTCGCCCAGGCTGGAGTGCAGTGGCACAATCTCAGTTCACTGCAACCTCCACCTCCTGGGTTCAAGCGATTCTCCTGCCTCAGCCTCCCAAGTAGCTGGGATTACAGGTATGTGCCACCACACCTGGCTAATTTTTGTATTTTTAGTAGAGACAGGGTTTCATTCTGTTAGCCAGGCTGGTCTCAAACTCCTGACCACAAGTGATCCACCCGCCTCGGTCTCCCAAAGTGGTGGGATTACAAGCGTGAGCCACCTCGACCAGCCAATCTTGACCTAATTTTATCCCTCAAAACCAGCCCTTATAACCTCATGTGCCCTGGCCCAAAGGGAGGCAGCTTGTATAGTTTTAGCAGCAGAGCATTAGCAGTGAAACAGATCCAGGGTCAGTGGGATACCAAATGAGGGAGATTCATGTTTCTAGTCTTCAGAATACCATGATTTCGGTTTCCTTGGAAGTAAAACAGGGAGAGATAAATAATGGCTTAATCTGCACTTAAAAAGTCAGGGCTTAGTTTTTGCCATCAGCCCCGATAAATGCTCCACACAAAAGGCTATGCAATGGAGGATTTACATGAGCAGATTTACATCTTCAGTTTTACAGTACTAGAAAGGGGAAAACATCCCCCAATTAGATGTAGAACCCATTTTCTTTTCTTTTCTTTCTTTTTTTTTTTTTTTTTGAGACACAGTCTCACTCTGTTGCCCAGGCTGGAGTGCAGTGGCACGATCTTGGCTCACTGCAACCTCTGCCACCCGAGTTCAAAGTGATTCTCCTGCCCCAGCCTCCCGAGTAGCTGGGATTACAGGCGCCTGCCACCGCACCCAGCTAATTTTTGTATTTTTAGTAGAGACACGGTTTCACCACCTTGGCCAGGCTAATCTTGAACTCTTGACCTTGTGATCCACCCGCCTCAGCCTCCCAAAGTGCTGGGATTACAGGTGTGAGCCACCATGCCCAGCCTTATAGTACCCATTTTCATAAGACATTTAGGTAAAAGGGGTTACAACTACCTTAGATAAAGCTTGTTTAAACATCTTACATTTTACAGTTCTATTAACCTGTATGTTTTTATGTTCTGGTCCCAGGAAGCCTTTTTTTTTTTTTTTAATCCCCAGACCATTTTACCTTTTCTGGTACAAAGGGTTTGCGTTCCCAGCATGGGGTTGCATCTGTAAGACCTATGAGGGACAGGATATTTGGTAAGGCTTCTTAAACAGACCTATGATTCTGTAGGAGGGCACCCATGTAAAACGGGCCCTCTTAACCTCCAAATTTACCATGACCTGGGTAATAGACATATTTGGTGGGAGGATATCCCAGTTATCATAAAGCTAGTGCAACATGGCTTGTATATGAAACATACTAACTGCTTCATCTGGGGTACTTCACTTGGTATTTTAAAGGGAGAGTTGGGCAGTTCCCTTCTCAGGGCAAAGAGACCTTATAATGGCATTATCTGGCCCACTAGGCTGATTGCTTTTTCAAGAATAAACCCCCTTTGCGTTTGGATCATATATACTCAGTGACTGTTCAGTAATGAGTTCTGGGTCCTGCATTAATTCAAACAAGCTCTTAAATTCTGTAGCATTTAAAATTAAGAATTTTGTCCTTAAAGCAGTTATTTTCACAATCCACTAAAGTTTTTTTTAAAAAAAGAAGCTGAATGATACCAATCTACAAAATGGAACAATTCCTTTACATTACACCCTTTGGTTTTAAATAGTTACTTGGTTTTGCCCTTCCCCTATATTGACTATTTTCTTGGTAACCATAGGGCTCAGAGTTTTGTTGCCCTGGCTTGTTTTGTTTTCCTTTTTAAAAAAAAAAAATCCATTTAGTTTTATCTGTATAATTTTCTTCATTATAAAGCAACTCTTAGCTTATTATTATTATTATTATTATTATTATTATTTTTGAGACAGAGTCTTGCTCTGTCACCCAGGCTGGAGTGCAGTGGTGTGATCACAGCTCAATGCAACCTCCGCCTGCTGGGTTCAAGCAATTCTCCCATCTCAGCCTCCCGAGTAGCTGGGATTACAGGCACTCGCCACCATGCCCGGCTAATTTTTGTATTTTTTTTAGTAGGACAGGGTTTCACCATGTTGGCCAGGCTGGTCTCGAACTCCTGACCTTGTGATCCGCCTGCCTCAGTCTCCCAAAGTGCTGGGATTACAGGCGTGAGCCACTTAGTTTCTTTCTTTCTTTTTTTTTTTTTGCGATGAATTTTTTTTTTTGAGACGGAGTTTTGCTCTTGTTGCCCAGGCTGGAGTGCAATGGCACAATCCCGGCTCACTGCAACCTCCGCCTCCCGGGTTCAAGCAATTCTCCCGTCTCAGCCTCCCAAGTAGCTGGGATTACAGGTGCATACCACCATACCCAGCTAATTTTTTTTGTATTGTTAGTAGAGATGGGGTTTCATCACATTGGTCAGGCTGGTCTCGAACTCCTGACCTCAGGTGATCCATCCGCCCTGGCCTCCCAAAGTGCTGGGATTACAGGCGTGAGCCACTGTACCCAGCCCAAGCCACTTAGTTTCTTAACAAAAAAGAAACTTACATTTTTTTGAGAGTTGACATCCGTGTGTTTATTTATTTATTTATTTTCTTTGAGACGGAGTCTTGCTCTATCCTCCAGGGTGGAGTGCATTGGCACAATCTCAGCTCACTGCAACCTCTGCTTTCCGGGTTCAAGGGATTCTCCTGCCTCAGCCTCCCAAGTAGCTGTGATTACAGGAACACGCCACCACGCCCAGCTAATTTTGTATTTTTGTACAGATGGGGTTTTGCCACGTTGACCAGGCTGGTCCCGAACTCCTGAGTTCAGGTGATCCACCCGTCTCAGCCTCCCAAAGTGCTGGGATTATAGGCTTGTGCCACTGCACCCCAGCCAATAAAATTTTAATAAAAGCATATTTTATGTTTCTACTATCTTAACTTCTAGTAACCCAAATTTCCAGTGGGGGAAAAAAAAACTTGAGGGTTTAAACATGACTTTAAGATTTTTAAATCACTGGAGAGTTTTACCAAGGTTATGTAAATTAAAAGGCATCTGAGCTAGCTTTTACCAATGTGATAAGCACTTACATTTTTTAAATTACTTGATTAGAGCTCTTTCATGTAGTTTGGCAGTAAAGTATCACTTCTATATGACACATATAAAGATACAGATATAACAGGCATGCAGAATAAAAGCCATGTTCAAAAGATACTTTATTTGCCTGTTTTCAAAAACAATTTTTCTCCCTTACTTTAGATAATTAGTAAAAGTTACAGGACACAACAAAAGGTGAAGGAGAGAGCCATCTTTCAAGGCCTTTTCAAAAGAGAAAGAGGGCCGGGTGCAGTGACTCACACCTGATTTTATTGTCTCAACTCTTTTATCTTTTTCTTCTCCTTTTAAAAAAATTCCTTCACTGAAGCTGGGTGCGGTGGCTCACACCTGTAATCCTAGCACTTTGGGAGGCTGTGGTGGGAGGATCGCTTGAGCTCAGGAGTTCGAGACCAGCCTGGGCAACACAGTGAGACCTCCTCTCCACAAATGATTTTTAAAAATTAGCTGGGCATGTATGTTGGCACGTGCCTGTACTCCCATCTGCTTGACAGGCTCAGGTGGGAGGATGGCTTAAGTGCAGCAGGTTGAGGCTGTAGTGAACTGCGACCATGCCACTGCACTGTAGCGTGGGTAAGAGAACAAGACCCTGTCTCCCCCCTCAATTTTTAAAATTAATTTAAAAAATAAATAAATAAAATTACTTCAGTGAGAAGGAAGAAATCTCAACTCTTATTGCCTGGTTAGTCCTGGGCAAGTCCAATCCAGGGAGGGCCTAGCTGGTGTCTCAAATTAATAGGTCTATGATTAGCAGCCCCCCACGTATTGGTGGGATACTACAGGAAACACACACATAAACACCATCCTTAACTGTCTATGAAAACAAGAGTCTTTCGCTATCTTAGCCTATTTTTGAAAGTAAATATTTTGGGGGAATGTGAGGGTTATATCATCTGGTATTCTGAACCTAGAAAATTACCTCTGAGACTTTCCATGAAGAAGGCTTATTGGCTTAAGTCGCTAAGTAAATTGGCTTTATTTAAAAAACATTTTAGACCAGGCACAGTGGCTTATACCTGTAATCCCAGCACTTTGGGAGGCCGAGGCTGGTGGATCACCTGAGATTGGGAGCTTGAGAACAGCCTGACCAACATGGAAAAACCCCATGTCTACTAAAAATACAAAATTAGCTGGGCATGGTGGCACATGCCTGTAATCCCAGCTACTCAGGAGGCTGAGGTTGTGGTGAGCCGAGACTGAGCCATTGCACTCCAGCCTAGGCAACAAGAGCAAAACTCCATCTCAAAAAAAAAAAAAAAAAAAACTTTATTTATTTATTTAAATAAAACATTGATTGATTGATTGATTGGAGATGGAGTCTCACTCTGTCACCTAGGCTGGGGTGCGGTGGCACTATCTCAGCTCACTGCAACCTCTGCCTCCCAGTTCAAGCAATTCTCCTGCCTCAACCTCCCAGGTAGCTGGGATTGCAGGCACACACCACCACACCCGGCTAATATTTTGTATGTTAGTAGAGACGGGGTTTCACTGTATTGCCCAGGCTGGTCTCGAACTCCTGAGTTCAGGCAATCCACACGCCTTGGCCTCCCAAAGTGCTAGGATTACAGCCACCGTACCTGGCCTGAGGAAAAAAAAAAAAAACAGCTATCTTTCTAGTACCCATAAAAAGATACAGAAAGAACACAGCCTTAGAAACTCCCTTGGCAAGATTTTTAAAAGACAGAAATCAGATTCAAAACACAAGTTAAAATTCTTTGTACACTCAAACTGCTTGTTTTGGATCCCCTGAAGGGCCTGCAAAAAGGCACTATGATCTGTGGTCTAGTGGCTGGCAATAAACTGGTTAGCTGCTGCAGCGTGGGTTCGATTCCTTGTAAGGTAACAGTCCATTGCAGATGCAAGTCTTTTAACTCAGAGGAAAAAAAAGAAACACTTATAAAAATTAGTTTGAGGCCAGGCACGATGGCTCACGCCTGTAATCCCAGCACTGTGGGAGGCCAAAGCGGGCGGATGGCTTGAGGCCAGAAGTTCGAGATCAGCCTAACTAACGTGGTGAAACTGTCTCCACTAAAATACAAAAATTAGCCGTGTGTGATGGCACACGCCTGTGATCCCAGCTACTCAGGAGGTTGAGGTATGAGAATCGCTTAATCTGGAGGCAGAGGTTGCAGTGAGTAGAGATCATGCTAAAGCACTCCAGCCTGGGCGATAGAGCAAGACTCTGTTTCAAAAAAAAGAAAAAGTTTTGTTTTGAATTTCCATTTGTTGACTCCTGACTTTTGGGGGTACTCATTCGTTATTGGTACCATATACACAATAAACACATGTATAGACATATACATACATATATAGACACATGTATCGATACAAAAGCCAAAGACTAGAGAGTTTAATTCAAAAGAGAGAAGAGTTTTAAACCTGACATGAACCCATTAGTGACTTTTGGGGCTCTATAAGGAAAACGAGAGGCCCCAAAAGAGAGGGTCAGTGGCACCTTTTTTTTTTTTTTTTTTTGTATTTTTAGTAGAGATGGGGTTTCACCACGTTGGCCAGGCTGATTTTAAACTTCTGACCTCAGGTAATCCACCTGCTTCAGCTTCCCAAAGTGCTGGGATTATAGGCGTGAGCCACCGCGCCCAACCAGTGGCACCTTTTTTTTGTCTTCCTCAAGGGATCTCAGGGTTGTCAGAAGTCCCATCTAGACCCCTTTAAGGGTTATCAAAGGTGGCAAAAGGAAGAAGTAGAAATACATGGAACAACCAGTTTTGGAGAAGCCAATTTGGAGAGATTTTAAGCTTCCCCAAAAGGCTAATGAAATTTTACATTTTCAAGGCAGGGTGCAGTAGTTCATGCCTATAGTCCCAGCACTTTGGGAGGCTGAGGGAAAATGTACCACTTGAGCCCAGGAGTTCAAGATCAGCCTGTGCAACATGGCGAAACCCCATCTCTACAAAAAATACAAAAATTAGCCGGGCGTGGTGGTGTGCACCTATAATCCCAGCTACTCAGAAGGCTGAGGTGGAATACTTGAGCCCGGGAGGTCAAGGTTGCAGTAAGGTGACATCTCACCATTGCACTCCAGCCTGGGCAACAGAGTGAGACCCTGTCTCAAAAAAAAAAAAAAAAAAAAAAAAGACAAAGAAAAAAGAAATTTTACATTTTTCTCAGCAAAGATCATGCCAACAAGAAAGGAAGTGAACACAAGGACTAAACATAATTTTTTTTTAAAGGGGGTTTCAGTGAACTGAAAAAATTTCCCAGGGCATGAGATCCAAAAGAGAAAAAGCAGAAAGCCTTTAAAAAATAAAAAAATTGGCCAGGCACGGTAGCTCATGCCTGTAATCCCAGCACTTTGGGAGGCCGAGGCAGCTGGATCACGAGTTCAGGAGATCGAGACCATCCTGGCCAACATGGTGAAAACCCGTCTCTACTAAAAATACAAAAAATTAGCCGGGCGTGGTGGCGTGCACCTGTAATCCCAGCTACTCAGGAGGCTGAGGCAGGAGAATCGCTTGAACCCAGGAGATGGAGGTTGCAGTGAGCCAAGATTGCACCACTGCACTCCAGCCTGGGTGACAGTGAGACTCTGTCTCAAAAAAAAAAAAAAAAAAAAAATATATATATATATGGCCTGAATATCAGCTTTTAGTTAAGCCAACTTCTGACCAGAAAGCTCTTTTTAAAAATCCTTTGTGGCTGGGCGCGGTGGCTCACACCTGTAATCCCAGCACTTTGGGAGGCCAAGGCGGGCGGATCATGAGGTCAGGAGTTAAGAGACAAGCCAGGCCAACATGGTGAAACCCCGTCTCTACTAAAAATACAAAATTTAGCCAGACGTGGTGGCAGGCACCTGTAGTCCCAGCTTCTCGGGAGGCTGAGGCAGGAGAATTACTTGAACCCAGGAGACGGAGGTTGCAGTGAGCCAAGATCACACCACTGAACTCCAGCCTGGGCAACAGAGTGAGACTCCATCTCAAAAAAAAAAAAAAAAAAAAGAGGGGGGGTTATTTCAGAATAAATGAATGGAGGAAAACAATGATATAGATAAAACTAAACAGATATAAAAAGTTGGGCAAAGAGGCTTTGCTGCCACCACCAGGAGCCCTGTACTATCAGCCATGGTCAACCCCGTGTTCTTTGACATCACCGTGGATGGTGAGCCCCTGGGCCGCATCTCCTTCGAGCTGTTTGCAGACAAGGTTCCAAAGACAACAGAAAACTTTCGTGCTCTGAGCACTGGACAAAAAGGATTTGGTTGTAAGAGTTCCTGCTTTCACAGAATTATTCCAGGGTTTATGTATCAGGTGGTGACTTCACACGCCATAATGGCACTGGTGGCAAGTCCATCTATGGGGAGAAATTTGATGATGAGAACTTCATCCTAAAGCATACAGGTCCTGGCACCTTGTCCATGGCAATTGCTGGACCCAACACAAAAGGTTCCCAGCTTTTCATCTACACTGCCAAGAGTGAGTGGTTGGATGGCAAGCATGTGGTCTTTGGCAAGGTGAAAGAAGGCATGAATATTGCAGAGGCCATGGAGCGCTTTGGGTCCAGGAATGGCAAGACCAGCAAGAAGATCACCATTGCTGACTGTGGATAAGTCTAGTAAGTTTGACTTGTTTTGTCTTCACCACCAGACCATTCCTTCTGTGCTCTCCTCTCAGGAGAGCACCCCTCTACCCCATTTGCTCGCAGTATCCTAGAATCTTTGTGCTCTCACTGCAGTTCCCTTTGGGTTCCGTGTTTTCCTTGTTCCCTTACATGCCTAGCTGGATTGCAGTTAAGTTTATGATTATGAAATAAAAACTAAATAACAACAACAATAAAAAGCTAGGGAAAGAAAATAAAGAATGAAAACAAATTCTGGCCTCTGCCTCTGCCTCTGCCTCTCCCTCTCCCCTCTCCCCTCTCCCCTCTCCCCTCTCCCTCTCGGTCTCCCTCTCCCTCTCTTTCCACGGTCTCCCTCTGATGCCGAGCCGAAGCTGGACTGTACTGCTGCCATCTCGGCTCACTGCAACCTCCCTGCCTGATTCTCCTGCCTCAGCCCACCGAGTGCCTGCGATTGCAGGCAAGCGCCACCACGCCTGACTGGTTTTCGTACTTTTTTGGTGGAGACGGGGTTTCGCTGTGTTGGCCGGGCTGGTCTCCAGCTCCTAACCGCGAGTGATCCGCCAGCCTTGGCCTCCCGAGGTGCCGGGATTGCAGACGGAGTCTGGTTCACTCAGTGCTCAATGGTGCCCAGGCTGGAGTGCAGTGGCGTGATCTCAGCTCGCTACAACCTCCATCTCCCAGCCGCCTGCCTTGGCCTCCCAAAGTGCCGAGATTGCAGCCTCTGCCCGGCCGCCACCCTGTCTGGGAAGTGAGGAGCGTCTCTGCCTGGCCGCCCATCGTCTGGGACGTGAAGAGCCCCTCTGCCTGGCTGCCCAGTCTGGAAAGTGAGGAGCGTCTCTGCCCGGCCGCCATCCCATCTAGGAAGTGAGGAGCGCCTCTTCCCAGCAGCCATCCCATCTGGGAAGTGAGGAGCGTCTCTGCCCGGCCGCCCATCGTCTGAGATGTGGGGAGCGCCTCTGCCCCGCCGCCCCGTCCGGGATGTGAGGAGCGCCTCTGCCCGGCCGCGACCCCGTCTGGGAGGTGAGGAGTGTCTCTGCCCAGCCGCCCCGTCTGAGAAGTGAGGAGACCCTCCGCCCAGCATCCGCCCCATCTGAGAAGTGAGGAGCCCCTCTGCCCGGCACCAACCCCGTCTGGGAAATGAGGAGCGTCTCCGCCCGGCAGCCGCCCCGTCCAGGAGGGAGGTGGGGGGGGTCAGCCCCCCGCCCGGCCAGCCGCCCCGTCCGGGAGGTGAGGGGCGCCTCTGCCCAGCCGCCCCTACTGGGAAGTGAGGAGCCCCTCTGCCTGGCCAGCCACCCCGTCCGGGAGGGAGGTGGGGGAGTCAGCCCCCCACCCGGCCTGCCGCCCCGTCCGGGAGGGAGGTGGGGGGGTCAGCCCCCCGCTCGGCCAGCCGCCCCGTCCGGGAGGGAGGTGGGGGGGTCAGCCCCCCACCCGGCCAGCCGCCCCGTCCGGGAGGGAGGTGGGGTCAGCCCCCCGCCCGGCCAGCCGCCCCGTCCGGGAGGTGAGGGGCGCCTCTGCCCGGCCGCCCCTACTGGGAAGTGAGGAGCCCCTCAGCCCGGCCAGCCGCCCCGTCCGGGAGGGAGGTGGGGGGGTCAGCCCCCCGCCCGGCCAGCCGCCCCGTCCGGGAGGGAGGTGGGGGGGTCAGCCCCTCGCCCGGCCAGCCGCCCCGTCCGGGAGGGAGGTGTGGGGGTCAGCCCCCCGCCCGGCCAGCCGCCCCGTCCGGGAGGGAGGTGGGGGGGTCAGCCCCACATCCGGGAGGGAGGTGGGGGGGGGTCAGCCCCCCGCCCGGCCATCCGCCCCGTCCAGGAGGGAGGTGGGAGGGTCAGCCCCCCGCCCGGCCAGCCGCCCGGTCCGGGAGGTGAGGGGCGCCTCTGCCCGGCCACCCCTACTAGGAAGTGAGGAGCCCCTCTGCCCAGCCACCACCCCGTCTGGGAGGTGTACCCAACAGCTCATTGAGAACGGGCCGGGATGACAATGGCGGTTTTGTGGAATAGAAAGGGGGGAAAGGTGGGGAAAAGATTGAAAAATCGGATGGTTGCCGTGTCTGTGTAGAAAGAAGTAGACACGGGAAACTTTTCATTTTGTTCTGTACTAAGATAAATTCTTCTGCCTTGGGATCCTGTTGATCGGTGACCTTACCCCCAACCCTGTGCTCTCTGAAACATGTGCTGTGTCCACTCAGGGTTAAATGGATTAAGGGCGGTGCAAGATGTGCTTTGTTAAACAGATGCTTGAAGGCAGCATGCTCGTTAAGAATCATCACCACTCCCTAATCTCAAGTACCCAGGGACACAAACACTGCGGAAGGCGGCAGGGTCCTCTGCCTAGGAAAACCAGAGACCTTTGTTCACTTGTTTATCTGCCAACCTTCCCTCCACTATTGTCCTATGACCCTGCCAAGTCCCCCTCTGCGAGAAACACCCAAGAATGATCAATAAAAGAAAAAAAAAAGAAAACAAATTCTAAGAGGTTATAAAAGGTTTATGGAAATTTTATCTTGTCTAGTCAAAGCTGATCAAGATTAGACAGATTTGTTTGTAAAGTTTATTAAAATCAGCTTTAGTATTAAAAGCACATTAATACATATATATTATATATAAAATATATTTTTTTAATTTTATTTATTTATTTATTTTGAGACAGAACTTTGCTCTTGTTGCCCAGGCTGGAGTGCAATGGCACGATCCTGGCTCACTGCAACCTCTGCCTCTCAGGTTCAAGTGATTCTCCTGCCTTAGCCTCCAGAGTAGCTGGGATTACAGGCACCCACCACCACACCCAGCTAATTTTTTGTATTTTTAGTAGAGACGGGGTTACACCATGTTGGCCAGGCTGGTCTCGAACTCCTGAGCTCAGGAAATCCACCCGCCTCAGCCTCCCAAAGTGCTGGGATTACAGATGTGAGCCACCATGCCTGGCCAAGTGTCTTATTTTCAAGGAGGATCATGGAAAGCATGGGAAGAATGCTGACAAATAAAGGTTTCTGATAACTTTGAAACTGTATCACCGGACTGGGTAAAAATTTCCAAAGTCTAATGAAAATAAAACTGGACTCATAAAATTGCTAACCTCCAGACTAATGTTTTCCATTTTTCACCCACTCTTCTGACTTAGAATCACTAAAAATTAAAACGGCCTTTTTTAGCTTGGCGCAGTGGCTCACACCTGTAAATCCCAGCTCCTTAGGAAGCCAAGTCAGGAGGATCCCTTGAGCTCAGGAGTTCAAGACCAGCCTGGGCAACATCAAGAGACCCCACCTTGAAAAAAAATTTTTAAAAATTAGCCAGGTGTGTAGTGCATGCCTTTGGTTCCAGCTACCTGGAAAGCTGAGGTGGCAGGATGGCTTTGCCCAGGAGGTTAAGACTACAGTGAGCCATGATCACATCACTGCACTCCAGCTTGGATGACAGAGCAAGACCTTGTCTCAAAAAAAAATCCAAAAAACTAAAAACCCTGCCTTTTTCCTAAGGCCTTACCAGCTAAAGCTAGTCAACGTGACTTTGAAAAAAAAATCACCACAAAAGCTTATATTTGGACAAACTTTACACACAACCTACAATCTAGGAAAATAGATTGCTATTAATCTTCCCAATTGACTGCCCTCCAGACTCTAAAGAAACTAGTTTATAGACTATACCAGATATTAAGCTTTGTTTGTCTTGTTCCATAGAAATGTCTCTCTTATTAAATACCTGTTTGCCTACATCATATACAGAGGCCTAGCTTTGAGAACTCATCTACAATGCCATCTTCTGAAATGAGACACAACAATTTAATTGAACTGGACTATCCCCCAAAATGAGAGGCTGGTTTAATGGGATCCTTTGCCGCTCAATTACTAGCCCGATTTCTCTCTCCACAGACACCAACTCAGCTTATAGTGAAACTTCTAAGGAAGTTTCAGACAAAGGAAATAAAGAAGACCAGGGACTCACACCCCAAAATATGGCATCCTGTATGCTAATCATTTTAAATTAAAGGTCCCTGGAAACCAGCAGATACTGGAAGCAGCTTTACTCTGATAACTACCTTATCTGCCTAAAGTCCAGACCTGTCAAAGAAGACAACAATTACTTCTGGTCTCTTCCCTGAGTTTTCATTAACTTACTTCAGTACAAGAAGAAAGATGGAAGCCTGTCAACACACCTGGACAGATTTTTGTCAGAAACCATTGTCTGCTCTGCAGGCCCAACAGTCATTGTCCCAGGCCACTGTATGTTCTCCAGGCCACTGAATCACCCTAAAAATCATTTACGATCCACCTTAAAATCACCCACATTTTCCCATCTCCCATATTCCTATGAAAGAGGGTATATAAGCATCTGTACCCCACTGGGTCATTCTCCTGCAATTCCCTCATGCTATGCACGTTAAAATAAAATTTCTATGCCTTTCTCCTATTAATGTGCCCTTTGTCGGTTGATTTTTCAACAAACCCTCAGAGAGCAAAGGGGAAGCTTTTCCTTGGCCCCTACATGCTATATGGCAGAAGGGAAAGTGCTTTAAGTTTATGTTCCGAGCAGTCCCTCCACCCATACCAAGGAAGCACAGCAAGGAGCTTGGGACACTTCCCAAAGAAATCCCAAAGATTTCTTTACAACGTATTTTTTACAATTCCTTTACAGTAGCCCCCAAATTTTATCCACTTTCGCATCTTCAGGATCAAGCAGAGTGCCTAGAGTGTACACTCTAGAAATGTTTATTGAATTAAGAAGCGGCTGACAGTGTTGTGCAGGTAGTGTGGCCAGAAGAGTAGTTTCAAGTCCCAGGCACTCATTAGTTGTATGACCTGGGGCAAGTCACCTAAATATACCGAGATCCATTTCTTCACCAATGAAACAGGAATATTACTACTTGCCTTGTCTACCTTACTGGCTCCTCAGGAGGCTTTACATAATGAGCGGCACTGTAAAACGTTATACACGTGTATGTACAGTTTTGATAGGGCTGTTAATTAGTCTCAATGGTGAAACAGAAAGAAACCTGGACTCAACAGTCAAAAGCTGTTGGGCCGTTGTGCATGGGCTACGACTAACATGTTCCGTTTTCCCATCTTAAACACAAAGTTTAGACTCGATGATGGTTCGGACCCTGCACTTAATAGTCTCTAAGTCCGCTACAGGCTCGGAACCTCAGGTGTCCTCAGAGAGGTAAACCCCAGGGTTCCCAGATACACCTGCAAGGGCAGGGACAGTCAAGGTCGCGGGGTACTAACACGCGGGAGGCTCACCCAGTCAAAGTCACACGGGTTACCGTCTTCGCGTTGGGTGGGCAGACCGTGGCAGAGCGGCGGCAGTTTCCTCACGAGTAGGAAGGCAGCAGAGAGCAGGGCCGACAGAAGGTAGTAAGGTTGGGCGAGCCATCGTGAAAGTCGCGGCACCGAATACACGAGAGCAATTAGAGGTGCCAAGACCGCCATCTTTTCGGCCGTAACGGCCACTGCTCGCCGGCGTCGTAGGTCTCGCCCCGCCTCCCCCACCATAACGACTGCTATTGGGCTATATCGCAAACGTACGGCCTCTAAACCCGGATGTAGTTCTCTGAACGCTGTGGTAGGTCAGAACCCAAAAAAGAACTTAATATTTTATTGGTTAGTCTAGTTGTCGCTTTATCCGCCTAAGTCATTTTATTGGACTGTAGCAAGCAGAGCTAGCAGAAGACTCTAATAAGGTTAAATAGCACTTCCTGAACGTTCTCATAAGGCGACGGAAGTAGTTGTTGAAAAAAGGTAGGCGGTGCCTGAGGCATCCAATGACAAGCGGCTCCTTGAGAAAGGGCGGGGGGGTACTCCTTGAAAGCATTGTCCAATGAAAATTACCAACGGCAGACACGGAGACAGCGCCGGGGCGGAGGGTACGATGGAGAATTTCACGGCACTGTTTGGGGCTCAGGCTGACCCACCACCGCCCCCAACCGCACTCGGCTTCGGACCAGGAAAGCCTCCACCCCCGCCACCGCCTCCTGCGGGCGGGGGACCCGGCACGGCCCCGCCTCCCACCGCGGCCACGGCTCCTCCTGGCGCGGACAAGTCAGGAGCTGGCTGTGGCCCTTTTTACCTCATGAGGGAACTGCCAGGTGAGTACTCGGCCTTGCCAAAGCCAGCCAATCAAATCTTAGAGAGGAGGTGATGGGCGTGGCTCTCAGCCGGCTAGCGGAGGTGCGAGGTAACCTAGGCAACGCATACCCGGACTGTGGAGCCCTAAGTCGGAAGCGCTGTTAGGATTCACAAGCAGAGGGATGACTTGAATTCAACCAGGATGAGTTGAATTCAACCAAAGGGATGAATGGCGGGCAGGGGCGTAGTGCATCTCCGTTACTGTCTTTTGCACCATGTCCAGGCTGTGTCCCTGACACTGGTTTATGTCTCTCTAAAAAATGACCTAGGGCTGGGCGCGGTGGCTCACGCCTGTAATCCCAACACTCTGGGAGGCGGAGGCGGGCGAATCACCTAAGGTCAGGAGTTCGAGACCGGCCTGGCCAACATGATGAAACCCTGTCTCCACAAAAAACACAAAAATTACCTGGGCGTGGTGGCGTATACCTTTAATTCCAGCTACTCGGGAGGCTGAGGCGGGAGAATCGTTTGAACCCCGGGAGGCGGAGGTTGCAGAGAGCCGACATTGCTCCACTGCACTCCAGCCTGGGCGAACGAGACTCCGTCTCAAAACAAACAAAATCCAGGGTTTGAGTTTGGAACTCGAGAGGCCTGATTTAATATCTTTGGGGACCCAAAGTTTTAGTTACAGGTCTCCCACAGACTTGCTATTGGTTTGGGGCAAGTTGCCATTCTTCCTTCTAAGGTTCCGGCATTTCCTGGTCTGATCAAAAAAGGGATAAGAATCGAACCAAACTCTTCATTCAAAAAATTATTTTGTTGAGTACCTATGTACCAAGCACTTTTCTAAATGCTGGAGACAGTTGTGAACAAGACTGACAAGATGCTTGCCTTTTTTGGGATGTACATTTCAGTGGAGGAGGCATTGTAAACAAGATAATGTCAGAAAGTGGTTAATGCTAGGAAAAGAAAACATGATAAAAATTGAAGGTGGCCAGGCGCGTTGCTCACGCCTGTAATCCCAGCGCTTTGGGAGGCCGAGGCAGAATCCCTTGAGCCCAGGAGTTTGAGACCAGCATGGGCAACATGGCGAGACCCAGTCTCTACAAAATATACAAGATTAACCGGGCGTGGTAATGCATGCCTGTAGCCCCAGCTACTCAGGAGGCTAAGGGAGGAGAATCGCTTGAACACAGGAGGTCGAGGCTGCAGTGAACCAAGATTGTGCCACTGCACTCCAGCCTGGGCAACAGATGAGACCCTGTCTCTTAAAAAAAAAAAATTGAGGGGCAGAACTACTTTAGCTAGAGTGGCCAGAGATGCTCTCTTCACATAGCTAACATTTGAACTAAAATGTAAGCATAGACAAAGGGCCAGCCATGTATGGACAGGAGGGAGAGACAATTGTAGATACAAGAAATGAGGTCAGAAACCCTGATGTGAGAAAAAGCTTAGAATATCTGAGGGACAGAAAATCAGTTGGACTCCAGTGAAGTGAACAAAAGGAAAGAGTGTTAGGGAGAGAGATGAAGCTGGGAGAGTTAGGCAGAGGCTTTTATAAAGCAGTAAAGGCATTTAGATTGTAAATACAAAAGGAAGCCATTTAAAAAATTTTTTTATAGACACAAGGTCTCACTGTGTCACCCAGGCTGGACTGCAGTGGTATAATCATAGCTCACTGTAACCTCCAGTTCCTAGGCTCATGCTGTCGTCCCACCTCAGCCTTCCAAGTAGCTAGGACTACAGGCATGCACCACCACAGTTGGCTAACTTAAAATTTTTTTGTAGAGACTGGGTCTTACTGTGTTGCGCAAGCTGGTCTTGAACTCCTGGCCAACAGCAGTCCTCCCGCCTTGGCCTCCCAAAGTGCTAGGATTATAGGTCTGAGCCACTGTGCCCAGCCAAGGAAAGCCATTTTAACATAGGAAGTTGGTCAAATGCACTTGTTTATAATCATTTAAGCAGCCACATGACAAATAGAAAGTGGGGAAATTAGTCAGAAGTTACTGCTCAGTAGTCCAGGAAAGATAATGGTTTGAACCAGAGCATAGCAGGGCATAGAGAAGTAAATGGATACAGGATGTTAGAGGTAGAGCTGACAGGGTTGAAAAATTGAATACAGGGCCAGGCGCTGTGGCTCACGCCAGTAATCCCAGCACTTTGGGAGGCTGAGGTGGGAGGATTGCTTGAGCCCAAAAGTTTGAGACCAGCCTGGGCAACATAATGAGACCCCATCTCTACAAAAAATAAAAATAAATTAGCTAGGGATAGCAGCATGCACCTGTAGTCTCAGCTACCTAGGAAGATGAGGTGGTAGAAATCACTTGAGCCCAGGAAGTTGAGGCTGCAGTGAGCCATGATTGTGCCACTGCACTCCAGCTTGGATGATAGAGGAAGACCCTGTCTCAATTAAAAATATATATTGTATATAGAAGTGAAGGAAATAGAGGAATTGATGCCTTTTTAAGTTTTCGGCTTGAATAATTGGGTGTATGGGTACGGAGACTTGGAAGATGAGGAAGGAACAAGTTTGAAGAGGTGGAAATCAAGAGTTATTTTGGACATGTTTGGTCTCCAAGATGCCTCTTTTTTTTTTTTTTTTAAACAGAGTTTTGCTCTTGTTGCCCAGGCTGGAGTGCAATGGCACAATCTCAGCTCACCACAACCTCCGCCTCCCAGGTTCAAGCGATTCTCCTGCCTCAGCCTCCCGAGTAGTTCGGATTACAGGCATGTGCCACCACACCCAGCTAATTTTTTATTTTTAGTGGAGACAGGGTTTCTCCCTGTTGGTCAGGCAGATCTCAAACTCCCAACCTCAGGTGATCCGCCCACCTTGGCCTCCCAGAGTGCCAGGATTACAGGCGTGAGCCACTGCGCCCAGCCTCCCAGATGCCTTTCATTGTCTCAAGTCTTATTTCCACATCATGACTTGAGGGAAATAGCAACAAATATTGGTATAGTACTTTGAAGTTCACAACACACTTACATGCAGTATTTAATATAAGTAGTATTTAATACTTAGAATAGCCCTTTGAGGTAGCATTACTGTCTACATTTTATAATTGAAAAAACTGAAACATGGAGAAGTTGACATCCCTTTGATTAGTTAGTGGTTGATGTCCACCAGCGGTTTCTTTTAATCTTTCTTTTGCCTTCCCTATTCTGATTGTAGCTATTTGTATCAGTCAGTTGACAGATATTGAATATATGTTCTGGGCAAATGCTGGGTGTATGAGGCGGGTGAGATGGAGAGAGAGATTAGTAATGCTGGTCATTGCTTTTCAAGGAGTTTAGTTAGGAATGTAAAATTTGTGGTTTAAGGATAGTGACTATATTTCCTGTCACCTCCATCTCATTTTGTGCTCATGCCTCACAACAGCAATTAACAATATCTTAGCCATCAATATTAAGAACTACCTAATGGTTTTCAAAGTGTGTTGCTATCCAGAATGACAGTGAGAATAAGATGTCACTTGAGCTAGACCTTGAATAATCCATATTGGTGAAGAAAAATTAGGAAGAATTTTCCTAAGATGAAATAATGTGAGGGGTGTTTTTTTGAGGCGATAAGGAGATCCATTTGGATGGATCAGAAATTTTGCATAGGAGAGTAGTGGTTGATGAGGCCCCAAAGCTAAGTTGGAGTAAGATGTAATTAGCCTTGAGTGCCAGTCAAAGGAATTTGAGCTTTCTCCTGAGGGCAAAAAGAAACCATTAAGATTTGTGAACTGAGGAGTACTGATTTCCAAAAATATCTGGAACATGTGGGTGCCATGGATTGAAATAGAGAAGCCCTGAGTGATGTTGGCAAGATTTGGAATTTCAAAACAATTTTTTTTTTTTTTATCTTGTTGGGCAGGGTGGTTCACGCCTGTAATCCTAGCACTTTGGGAGGCTGAGGCAGGCAGATAGCTTGAGTCCAGGAGTTCAAGACCAGCCTGGGCAACATAGGGAGACCCCTGTCTCTACAAAAAATACAAAAATTAGCCTAGCATGGCAGTGTATGCATGTAGTCCCAGCTACCTGGGAGGCTGAGGCAGGAAAGTAGTTTGAGCCCAGGATGCAGAGATTGCAGTGAGCTAAGATTGTGCCATTACACTCCAGCCTGGGTGACAGAGCGAGACTGTCTCAAAAAATAAATAAATATAAAAAGTAATCTTTGTAGAATAGTCAAAACTGGAATTTGAACTCTCAAGTTACAGTTTAGAAAAAGCACAGACTGCCTTCTCACCTGAGCCTTAAGGATAACCATCTGGACAGAGGAGAGTTGGCAGAGCAGGGGAAATTCAGAAGATTGTAATGGCAAGAGGCAGTGCCCAGAGTTATGAGGAGAGATACTGTGACATTGGGTCTCCTGCCATTACCCTCGCTCAGTCTTCTGAGTTGTTTGGTAGTAAAGGGAAGGAAAAGGATGAATAAGGCCTAGAGGTATAGAGGGAAAGTGCCTTGTTTATTTAATAAATATTTATTAAGCACCTAATGTGTGTACTGTGCTGGGCACTAGCGATACATGAATGAACAAGACATTGTCTGTGCCTCCAAGGAGCTTACAGTTCAGTACCTCAGTTTTCCCAAGTGAATGATTATAAACAAGCCATTTTTGTCATTTGTACCCTCTGTGTCTATCATAATTACAAATGAAGTTGTAGTTAGCTATTTCTACCCTTGCTAGTAGGTCCTTATTAAGTTACTAATAAATGTATATTTTTTAAAAAAGAATCAGCCATGCAATATTTATATGGATAGTGCCTTGCATACATATAATACTTTTTTTTTTTTTTTTTTGAGATGGAATCTGACTCTCCCACCCAGGCTGGAGTGCAGTGGTGCAAACTCAGCTCACTGCAACTTCCACCTCCCGGGTTCAAGCAGTTCTTCTGCCTCAGCCTCCCAAGTAGCTGTGACTACAGGCGCATGCCACCACACCCAGCTAATTTTTGTATTTTTAGTAGAGATGGGGTTTCACCATATTGGCCAGGCTGGTCTCAAACTCCTGACCTCAGGTGATCTGCCTGCCTTGGCCTCCCAAAGTGCTGGGATTACAGGCATGAACCACTGTGCCAAGCCTGATACTTTATGCTTTTCAGCATATTTTCATTTGAACCTTGGGAGAAAATTATGTGTATGTAAGATAGCTATTATTCCATTCCACAGATAAGAGGAAACTGAGGCATGGAAGACAGCCAGAATAATTCTAGTTGCCTGACTTGTTTTTTTGTTTTTGTTGTTTTGTTTTGTTTTGTTTTTTTTGAGACAGGGTCTCACTCTCTCACCCAAACTGGAGTGCAGTGGCCTGATCTCAGCTCACTGCAACCTCCGCCTCGCAGGGATTACAGGTGTGTGCCACTACTGTCCAGCTAATTTTTGTATTTTTAGTAGAGACAGGGTTTCACCATGTTGGCCAGGCTGGTCTTGAACTCCTGACCTCAAATGAGCTGCCCGCCTTGGCCTCCTGAAGTGCTGGGATTACAGGCGTGAGCCACCGCGCCTGGCCATTAGTTGACTGACTTCTAATCAAACATTTCTTCCTGGATGCGTGCTGTGGCTCACACCTGTAATCCCGGCACTTTGGAAAACCGAGGCGGCGGGGGGTGGCGGATCACTTGAGGTCAGAAGTTCAAGACCAGCCTACTCAACATGGTGAACCCCCTTCTCTACTAGAAAAAAATTAGCCAGGCATGGTGGTGTGTGCCTGTGATCCCAGCTACTTGGGAGGCTGAGGTGGGAGAATCACTTGAACCTAGGAGGCGGAGGTTGCAGTGAGCCAAGATCGTACCCCACTGCACTCCAGCCTAGGCGACAGAGCAAAACTCCCGTCTCAAAAACAAAAAACATTTATTCCTTTTAGGCAAGGCATCATACTCAGTATCACGAGGAAGAATAAAGATGTTGGTAACAAGTTAGGCAGTGGTAGCTAGAAAAAAATCTCCCAGTTCTTTTCTTATGTAAAGGTGATTAGTGTTTCTTGCTAGTAAAAAAAAAAAAAAGTCCTTGACAAGACCCTTAAGTCACTGGGTCATATTTGGCCCCCTGAGCATGGTTGTAGCTGAGCTGCAAGGTCGTATTTTCCTAGCTGTGTCAGAGAATATAATTTTTCACTAATACATTTTATGAGAAACACTCAGAACAGCATTTACCACGAAGCAAGCATCATATAAATCAACTCCAGTTAATCTTAAGAGAGTGGAGTGTCTCCTTCATTGGGCTAGAGCAGTTCCTGTCTCTGCCCTATTGGATTTTTGCCTGTTTTTCCCCTTCCCATTGGAACCTACCATTGTGTTGTATTATACTTTTCATGTTATTTACTTTTGCTGTTTTTTTTTTTTTTTTTGAGACAGAGTCTCGCTGTTGTCCAGGCTGGAGTGCAGTGGCGCAATCTCAGCTCACTGCAACCTCCACCTCCCGGGTTCAAGTGATTGTCCTGCCCCAGCCTCCTGAGTAGTTGGGACTACAGGCACGTGCTACCACGCCTGGCTAATTTTTTGTATTTTTACTAGAGACGGAGTTTCACCGTGTTGTTAGCCAGGATGGTCTCGATCTCCTGACCTGGTGATCCACCCGCCTCAGCCTCCCAAAGTTCTGGGATTACAGGCATGAGCCACTGCATCCGGCCTGCTCTGTTTCTTTAAAAATAAATTTTAAATTTTAAAATCTGCACTTAAAAAATGTCTTATTTAGGTTAATATATAGTCCTTCACTCCCTGGGTCTACTTTGAAGACTGATCTTTTTTATTTTTATTCTGCGTTGTCTAGGTAGCACAGAGCTGACAGGCAGCACGAATCTGATCACACACTACAACTTGGAACAAGCCTATAATAAATTCTGTGGGAAGAAGGTGAAGGAGAAGCTAAGTAACTTCCTGCCTGACCTGCCAGGGATGATTGATCTGCCTGGTTCCCATGATAACAGCAGCCTCCGCTCTCTCATTGAGAAGCCCCCTATTCTCAGTAGCTCTTTCAATCCTATCACAGGGACCATGCTGGCCGGCTTCCGCCTCCACACTGGCCCGGTGAGTCCTGTTGGAGGAAGAAGGCAAATGGGGAGGCCTAAACATGGAGATGGTTTTTCTCTCCAAGTCTGTTCCTTCATAATGGAGCAGAATGGATGATAAGAGCAGGAGAGATTTCCTCCCTCTACTCACCTGGACCTTCCTTTGGTTCCTTCAGTTGCCGGAGCAGTGTCGTCTGATGCATATTCAGCCTCCCAAGAAGAAGAATAAGCACAAGCACAAACAGAGCCGTACCCAGGATCCTGTCCCCCCAGGTAAGAAGCAGTTCTATTCAAAGCAAAAAAAAAAAAAAAAAAAAAAAAACCTGACCTTCTGAATCTGGTTTGAACTTCCATAGGTAAACCCAGTTAAGTTCCGTATGGAGCTCTGGACTCCTAAATTCCCCTGAAGAAGAAACCAATGTACTGTGGTCTCTTGGGACTTGGGACAGGGACTCTAGCAGCACCTCTGTATCCTTTCTGGCCATTTGGACAAAAGCAGTTGCCCCGACTTGGGATTTTCCTGTAGTCTTCAGTGGTTCATAACAGTAGAGGATTTTGAGCTTTACAGGTGATAGGTACCTAATGTCTCCTACAGAAACACCATCTGATTCAGATCACAAGAAGAAGAAAAAGAAAAAAGAAGAGGATCCTGAACGGAAAAGGAAGAAGAAAGAGAAGAAGAAAAAGAAGGTAGAGTAGAGGCCTATTGCCACAACCCAGTGAGTTTCCCCAGATCTCACCCCTGTCCTAAATACCCTAGAGTTCTTTGCCTCAAGTTGGACCCAAGATTGAAAACCCAAGGCAGGTTGCAGGTTTCTCCTGTACAGCCTGATCAAAGCCAAGGCTAGTTCCTAGTTGTTCTTACCCTGCTTCTTTCTCCCCCAGAATCGACATAGTCCAGACCACCCAGGTATGGGCAGCTCCCAGGCCAGCAGCAGCAGCAGCCTACGCTAATAGGACCACTGGACTCTTTGCCAGGATGGCTTTTCCTGCTGTACTGAACCTGCTGATAAAAGCTGCCTTCCAGGCTCTTGGACACTGCCTTGGGAGCATCCTGCAGCTGGGACAGAGGCCAGCTCCTGTTGGGCTCAGTTGAGACTAAGTAAATTAGGAGAGAGAGGGACATGCTTTTGTAGGCTCATCCCAGTTGGTTTTCTCATGGACATCTCTTCCTCTCCCAGGAAGCTTACAATTTTCTTCTCTCTCTTTTGTGCAATTTGTCTGATTTAGGACTTGTTCTGTGTTTTCTTTAAAAAAAAAAAAATTACATTTATCAAACTGGCTGAAGTGTGACTGCCTGTTAAGAGGTATGTGCCTTTCTGTGAATCAGGATTTAAGACAAGGCATTCCTAAGACTTGAGGGGATTTGGGTCTTGTCATTACATGATCTCACTAGCAGGCAGGGAACCAACCAAAATGAAAAGTGACCCAAGCTTACTAATACTCCACAGCAGACACGTAACACTCTGCCCATTATGTTGAGAACCAAGCGCCTCGGTGATCTCAGGCTCCATCTGAAGAGCTGATCCAGGTAGGGCTCAACAGTGTATTCTAGGTCAATTTTGTGTCGAAAGAGAATAGCCAACTGAAAACACATGGACAGTCACCCATGTGTTTCAACAAGATTGGTTCTTTAGGTCAGAAGCCTGTGATCTTTTGAGATGAACTTCTGGCAAGCAAAGGTAAAGCTTCCCTTCTCTTTACAAGAACTTTTGACCTGCTTCGGTCCTTAGTTAAGACAATAAAGTTATTTAGCTGATGTGAAAACATTTCTAAAACAGCAACAAAATGTAGCCTAAACCATCAAAATGTGAAAAACAAAAACAAAAAACACTTTTAGTTTTTCCAGCTGGTTAGGTAACTGAAAACATCCATGAGAAAACCTGAATTAATGTAATCTGACTTTAAATTTAACACAGTTAAAATCTGTTGCCGTGAAAGCCAAGGTTGTTCCTGAATCAGTGGGTGGAAAACCACTCATTCAGCTGGTTTAAATCCAGGATTTCAGAATAAGAGTTTGCTGGGTTTTTTTTTTTTTTTTTTTTTTTTTGAGACAGAGTCTTGCTCTGTTGCCCAGGAGTGCAGTGGCATGATCTCGGCTCACGGCAACCTCTGCCTCCTGGGTTCAAGTGATTCTTGTACCTCAGCCTCCCAAGTAGCTGGGACTACAAGTGTGCGTCACCACACCTGGCTAATTTTTGTATATATATATATATATTTTTTTTTTTTTTTTTTTTTTAAATTTTGGAGAAAGAGTCTTGCTCTGTCGCCCATGTTGGAGTGTAGTAGTGCAATCTCAGCTCACTGCAACCTGCACCTCCTGGGTTCAGGTGATTCTCCCACCTCAGCTTCCCAAATAGCCAGGATTACAGGCACCCATAACCAACGCCCAGCTAATTTTTGCATTTTTAGTACAGACGGGGTTTCACCATTTTGGCCAAGCTGGTCTTGAACTCCTGACCTCAGGTGATCCACCTGCCTTAGCCTCCCAAGGTGCTGGGATTACAGGTGTGAGCTACTGCACCCAAATAAGAGTATATATATATATATATATTTTTTTTTTTTTTTTTTTTTTTTTTTTTCCTGAGACGGAGTCTTGCTCTGTCACCCAGGCTGGAGTGCAGTGGCGTGATCTCGGCTCACTGCAAGCTCCGCCTCCCAGGTTCACGCCGTTCTCCTGCCTCAGCCTCCCAAGTAGCTGGGACTACAGGCGCCCGCACCACGCCAGGCTAGTTTTTTGTTATTTTTAGTAGAGATGGGGTTTCACTGTGTTAGCCAGGATGGTCTCGATCTCCTGACATTGTGATCAGCCCGCTTCGGCCTCCCAAAGTGCTGGGACTACAGGCGTGAGCCACCACGCCCGGCTAAGAGCTTATATTCTTAAATTTTGAGTAATTAAAGGGCTCTGGTCAACTGCTTGAGATTTAGTGTCTAAGGATACCTATTTAAAATTAGAGCACAGCTTTTGTCCAATAAAATGCAATATATCTAATTGAACTGACACCGATATCTAGTTAACCTGCCTTCAACAGGCTTTCATACCTGTTACTATGTCACCTTTGGCTGTTTCCAAAATTAGCTTTACTTTCCAGAGACTAAATCCTGTATTAAAAAACAACTGTAGCTGGGCATGGTGGCTCATGCCTGTAATCCCAATGCTTTGGGAGGCCAAGGCAGGATTGCTCAAGGCCAGAAGTTCGAGATCAGTCTGGGCAAAATTGGTTGAGAGTCTATCTCTACCAAAAAAAAAAAAATTAGCTAAGCATGGTGGCATGCAACTGTAAGTCCTAGCTTCACAGAAGGCTGAGGTGGGAAGATCCCTTGAGCCCAGGAATTTGAGGATATAGTGATCTGATTGTGCCACTGCCCTCCAGCCTGGGCAACCAGAATGAGGCCCTGTCTCTTGAAAGAAACAACTTTTAAGAGTTCTCTAAGCTTTCAAATAACAAGCAGTTTTGGTGATTTCAAGAGACCTTTTTTCAGGAATTTTTGAATTAAATCACCCAAATAAAAACAGGACCTGTTGTTTTTAGAAATGGAGTCTCTATGTTGCCCAGGTTGGTCTGGAACTCCTGGGCTCAAGTGATCCTCTTGCCTCAGCCTCCCTCAGTGCTGGGATTACAGGTATAAGCCACCGCACTGGGTCTCTTTTTTATTTTTTTAGTTGTTAAGTGGCTAATTTCATTATAGTCTTGCCTAAAGATGGGCTGGGACCAGAGAAGTTTATGAGGTTGTCACTGATAACTTCCCACCAGAGATCGTTCACCCTGTCTCAACCAGACAAAATAACACAAGTCAGGGGGCGCTGGTTAGATCAGGATTTCTTTTTATTCCTCGTTGGTTTAAAATGGCTAATCAGAATAAAAAATAAAAGGGCCTCTTTGTGGAGGCTGGGATCTCCCCTATTTAGAGGTTAGAACCCAGGTATCCCCTCTACCCAGCACCATAGTGAGGTGGGCTGAGGGGTAACCCCCAAGGGACAATCGGAGGGGCCTAGGCCTGCCACTCCTTCTCTCTATCCCCCGTTTTTGGCATGTGATGAAAAATATTGCTTTTTGGATTCTTCTCTCCTGGCCTTGGATTTTAAAATCAAGTTAACTGTGTAAGCTAGGGGAGGCTCCAAGGGGCCAGTAGGAGCACACTCTAATCCCTCTCCCCCAAGGAGGGGATTATCCAATATTGTTTGAGCTAGGCCAAGTTATTTTCCTGATCTCCCACCACCACCAGTGTCTTGAAGTTTTGACCCCTTTCCTAGGGAAACTAAATGCCAATGAGCCTAGAAAACTAATTCTCCTCTCCAAGTCCTTCCCTCTTGTGACCAAAATTCCAGACTCACCTCTCCCCAGGCTTCTTCCTAATCACACTTAGCACCAGCAGAGGATGCTATTTCCGTAGTTAGTAACTGGGACAAATGAGAGGGAACCACAGGAAAAAGACTGACGTCTCCCCTCTTTTCCTGCTGGTCTGAGGAATGGGAAGAGTAAGATCCCCCTCCGTATATGTATCCCTCCCTCATTTTCCCATCCCAGGATAGATATATAATTTCTTTGATATTTATAATATATATATATATATATTATATGTACACACACACCTGGTAACGCAGAAGAGGAAAAAAATAGAATCCGTAACAATAATAAAAAAAATTATTTCTGGTTTAAAAATGATCTGGTTCCCTCCAGGGCGAGCAATTGCACAAATGTCCACTGAGTCTGGTCCAGGGATCAAGGAAGGGAAGGTCTTAAAAGATAAAAGGGGGGGTTGCTACCCCAGTCTCAGGGCCCCAACTCTCCGACTCCCCAAGCCTACTGCATTTTAGAAAACACTCCTCATCCTCTTGGAATCGGTGGTTTAAAAAATGTCCATGCACGGGAGGGGAGCCCCTTGAGGGAAGGAAGGTGGCCACCTGGGGCCCTTTGGTGTAGGCGCAGAGGCGTTGGGGAGGGGAGGTGCCGAAGGCTCACACCGAAATCTCATAGGTGGTACCACCAACCCCTGACACCTTCTTGACTCCTCCCCTCGTGGGGCTACTGAGAGGTGGCTGGCCTGGGCCAGGGGAGGCTGAGCCTAAGCTCTTGGGCTGCCCGTTGGATTTGCTGTAGGTGGTCTTCAGCTGTACTTCATCTCTGGAAAGAAGAGACAAGACGTAGGTGTCAGGAAATGGGACAGAAAACATTGGAAAGGGAGACAGTTTCAAAGGTTCAGAGAAAAAAATGATGTTCTTTTCTATATCCATACTTTCTTACCCAAACATTCCCCTTTATTGCCCTGCTTAAAATAAGCCTGATTCCCAATCTCTCCTATGTACTACTACTCTCTAGTAACAGCTATCACATGTACTTACTCCCAAGCAAATACTTTTAGGAAGATAGCATTATGGAAAAAGTATTAATCTTCAGTCTCTTAACAGGAATTGCCCATGAAGGCAGGTAGAGTCAAAGTGAAAATAAAGAGCTACCAGGATACCCCTGGGTCCACCTACATTAGGATGTACAACAGAAGCCCTGATAGCTTTTGCAGAGCAGTATGCTAATTTGAAATTGGCTAAGGGTCAGGATAGTACTAATACTTACTTGGGTGTCAGTAATGGCTGCAAGGCCACTTCTTCTGTCTCAGAGACACCAGGTTGGGCTTTTTGGCTGCTGTAAGACATCGATCGGCCCAGGTATGGGGCTGTTGGGCCTGGTTCAGGGGACCCTACTCCCCGGCCCCTTAGCCCATCTGGCTTGCCAAAACGGGGGACAGCTGGGCGTCCCAGTGGAGTCTTGCCCAAAGGTGATCTCTTTGAATCATCTGAGGAGGAACTAGTACGAGGGGCATGGCCCGAGCCTGGTGTTGACTGAATGCCTGAGTCCCCCAAGCCTGGTTCTTCCTCACGGCCCGGGAGTGGGGGTGACTGGCGCAGCAACTTCTCTCGTTCCTGGAGAGAGGCCACAATGTGGCGCGACAGATTGTCGTAACGGACTGGTGAGGGCTCTCGGTGTGTTGGGCCAGTTGGCACCAAACGTGGGTGCCTCTCAGCTTCCCGTTGCTGGGCCAGCCTGGCTGACAGGAAGGGAGAGGTATAGCCTAAAGGTGGGTCTGGCTCAGGCCCTGCCTGCACTGACTCAAAATCAGGGCTGTCTGAAGGTGTGAGCAAGCTGTCATAAGATAGGCTTCCATTGCGTGTCTGGTTGGCCAGGCTCTTATAGGAGGTGGAGGTGGTGCCCTCTGAACGAATGGATTGCAACTGGCCCAGCTCAAAGCCTGTGCCCTGGGCTGACTTGAGGCTGGAGGAGCGTGAGCCACTGGATAGTGGATCGAAGTGAAAACTTTTGCCAAAGGTAGGAGAACGGAAGCTCTCTGGTTCCAAGCTGGGCTCTGAGCGGTAGCTGGGGTGACGGCTGCTCTCTGCAATTGAGGTTGGCTCCTTCAAGCTGTCCCCACGACTCAACTGAGGAAGAAAGTAAAGCAGGCTCTTAGTGCTCCTTTTGTGACAGAAGCTAGACCCCAGAGCTCAAGGAGTTGGTCAAAAAGAGAATTATGTGCCAATAATAAGCTTAGAACTCTTACATGCATTATCTGGGTTAATCCCTCAAGAAAAACTGAATTCAGGCAAATATCATCTCCTTTTCAGATACAGAAAGCAAGACGTAGAAAGGCTGAGTATCTCGCCCGTGGGCAGAACTGGGTTATAAACTCGGATCAAGCACTAATCTATTATGCTATATTGCCCAGTCTGATGAAGGACACAGTATCAAGGAGATTGAGTTCCACGAATGCCAACAATTAGTGAAATGTCCTTTCTTCTGCCTTTTCCTTCCCCTAATCTTCTTTTTTTCCCGTAACAGTTGGCATTTGTTTGTGTGTGTGTGTGTGTGTGTGTGTGTGTGTTTTAAGCCCAGGCTGGAGCGTGATGGTGCAATCTTGGCTCACTGCAACCTCAGCCTCCCAGGTTCAAACGATTCTCCTGCCTCAGCTTCCCGAGTAGCTGGGATTACAGGCGCCCCGCCACCACGCCCAGCTAATTTTTGTATTTTTAGTAGAGACAGGGTTTCACCAAGTTGGCCAGGCTGGTCTCAAACTCCTGACCTCGGGTGGTCCGTCTGCCTCAGCCTCCCCAAGTGCTGGGATTACAGGCTTGAGCCACTGTGCTTGGCCTTTTTTTTTTTTTTTTTTTTTTTGAGGTGTAGTCTCACTCTGTCACCAGACTGGAATACAGCAGTGGGAGCTCAGCTCACTGCAGCCTCCACCTCCCAGGTTCAAGCAATTCTCCTCCCAGGTTCAAGCGATTCTCCTTGCCTCAGCCTGCCAAGTAGCTGGGACTACAGATGCATACCACTACCAGCTAATTTTTTTTTTTTTTTTTTGAGATGGACTCTCACTCTGTCACCCAGACTGGAGTGCAGTGGCGCAATCTCGACTCACTGCCACCTCCACCTCCCAGATTCAAGTGATTCTCCTGCCTCAGCCTCCCGAATAGCTGGGATTACAGGTGCCCCCCCACCACGCCCAGATAATTTTTGTATTTATTTATTTATTTTTTTTTTGAGATGCGGTCTCGCTCTGCTGCCCAGGCTGGAGTGCAGTGGCATGATCTCGGCTAACTGCAAGCTCCGCTTCCTGGGTTCACGCCATTCTCCTGGCTCAGCCTCCCGAGTAGCTGGGACTACAGGCACCTGCCACCATGCCTGGCTAATTTTTTTGTATTTTTAGTAGAGACGGGGTTTCACCATGTTAGCCAGGATGGTCTCAATCTCCTGACCTCGTGATTCACCTGCCTCAGCCTCCCAAAGTGCTGGGATTACAGGCGTGAGCCACTGTGCCCGGCAATTTTTGTATTTTTAGTAGAGATGGGGTTTCACCACATTAGCCAGGCTGGTCTCGAACTCCTGACCTTGTGATCCACCAGTCTCGGCCTCCCAAAGTGCTGGGATTACAGGCGTGAGCCACCACGCCTGGCCTAATTTTTGTATTTTTAGTAGAGACGGGGTTTCACCATGTTGGCCAGGACGGTCTCAATCTCTTGACCTTGTGATCCACCCACCTTGGGCTCCCAAAGTGCTGGGATTACAGGAATGAGCCACTGTGCCTGGCCAGTTGGCATGTTATTACCCCACCTCTTAGAGTACTCAGTACCTTGGCGCTGGAGGAATGCGGCATGGCAGCTGACGTACTGCTGCTACTGTAACCCGGCCGATACTTGTACATGGTAGGTGTCGGGGGGCTGTCCTTGGCCAATAAGCTACTATCTGCAAGAAAAAAGGCCAAGGGGGCACTATTTTACAAGCGGTTTTTTGGTTTAAGAGACAGGGTCTCACTCTACTGTCCAAGCTAGAGTGCAGTGGCACGATTATAGCTCACTGGAGCCTTGAACTCCTGGGCTCCCACCTCAGCCTCCTGAGTAGCTGGGACTGCAGGCATATGCCACCATGCCCAGCTAACTTTTTTAAATTTTTTGTAGAGACAGAGTCTTGCTATGTTGCCCAGGGTGGTCTTGAACTCCTGGGCTCAAGCAATCCTCCTGCGTTGGCCTCCCAAAGTGCTGGGATCACAGGTGTGAGCCACTGCGTCTAGTCTATGAGTTGTTCACTTTATCTGCCTAGGGTTCCTTAAGTACAGGGAGAGGACAAGGTAGGAATAGATATACCCTTCGCTGAAATCAAGACTTTTAAAGACTCACACCAGCCCAGAATTCAGGGTGGGTAAATGCACCAAAAAGGTTCTGTGATGTTCTCTGGTCTGCCTAGAGGCTGACCATTTTCCCGGCAAAAGTCCCATTCACTGCCAATAGCTAAATGGCCTCTCTTCTCTTTCAGTTGCAAAGTAGCACAAGTACCAACTGTTGGGTGTTTAAAGTCACAACACGAGTAATATCTCCCAGCCCTTGCCTGTCTTCCACAGCTCATAAGCAACCTTCTCAATCCTGCCCCTAGTTCTAGTATCTTGCAAATCAAGGCAGCCCTTACCCTCATTAGTAGCCAAGCCGAGGTGTGTTCGCAACCCTGTGTAACGGCTCAGGTCTGGCTTAGGAGGAGGTGGAGGTTCAGCATCTGCAGACTGGCTCTCTGTTATCTCCAGGCTTCCCTTAGACTGGATTGATGAAGGGAGGGAAAATCAGATTTAGAAATTGAGCATTATGGCAACTCAAAGTATTAAATTGATATAAGAGGGAGGTATTTGGGAGTCAATTCTCATGTATTTTTTTTTTTTTTTTGAGACAAGGTCTCACTCTGTTGACCAGGCTGGAGTACAGTGGTACGCATGATCATGTTCACTGCAGCCTGCAACTCCTAGGCTCAAGTGCTCTTCCCACCTCAGCCTCCCAAGTAGCTGGGATTACAGGCACATGCCACCACACCCAGTTAATTTATTTTACTTTATTTTGTAGAGATGGGGGTCTCGCCATGTTGCCCAAGCTGGTCTTGAACCCCTGGCCTCAAGCAATATCACCCCACCTTGGCCACCCTAAATGTTGGGATTATAGACATGAGCCACTGCCTATCATATATTTCTCAACTATACTGGAAGACAAGGCACAAGAATCAGTTTGGGTATAGCATTAGATGAAGAAAAGTTGGGTTTTTTTTTTTGAAATGGAGTCTTGCTCAGTCACCCAGGCTGGAGTGCAGTGGCGTGATCACGGCTCATTGCAACCTCTGGCTCGCAGGTTCAAGCGATTCTCATGCCTCAGCCTCCCAAGCAGCTAGGATTACAGGCATGTGCCACCACACCTGGCTAATTTTTTTTTGAGATGGAGTTTCGGTCTTGTTGCCCAGGCGGAGTGCAATGGCATGATCTCGGCTCACTGCAACCTCCGCCTCCCGGGTTCAAGCAATTCTCCTACCTCAGCCTCCCAAGTAGCTAGGACTACAGGCATGCGCCACCATGCCCAGCTAATTTTGTATTTTTAATAGAGACAGGGTGTCTCCATGTTGGTCAGGCTGGTCTCGAGCTCCCAACCTCAGGTGATCCACCCACCTCAGCCTCCCAAAGTGTTGGGATTACAGGCATAAGCCACTACGCCCAGCCAGAAAATTTTTCTATTTTTTATTTTAGTCTGTTTTAGAGATGGAGTCTCGCTATGTTGTCCAGGCTGGTCTTGAGCTCCTGAACTCAAGCGATCTTCCCACCTCAGCCTCGCTAAGTGCTGGGATTATAGGCATGAGTTACTGTACCTGGCAGAAGAAAGGGTTTAAAAAAGGTTTTAATTCTGTCACTTATTTGCCCATTTAAACCAACAACTACTTGTTTAGCTCCTACCATCTAGCTGTAAGCTGTTAAGTCCTATGAAGACATGGAAATGAATGAATTCATTTTCTATTGTTAATGAACTTAAAGTCTAATGTAGGGCCGGGTGCAGTGGCTCACACCTATAATCCTAGCATTTTGGGAGGCTGAGGGGGTTGGATCACTTCAGGTCAGGAGTTTGAGACCAGCCTAGCCAACATAGGAAAACCCTGCCTCTACTGAAAATAAAAAAATTAGCCAGGCGTGGTGGCGCATGCCTGTAGTCCCAGCTACCCAGGTGGCTGAGGCACGAGAATCGCTTGAACCTGGGAGGCAGAGGTTGCAGTGAGCTGAGATCATACCACTGGAGTCCAGCCTAGGTAACAGAGCAAGACTCCCTCTCAAAAAAAAAAATCTAATGTAGAAAACAAGATTTGTATTTAAGTAATTTTAACCCAAATTAGTAAGTGATAAACACTGTAAGAAATATGGGCCAGGCGTGGTGGCTCATGCTTGTAATCCTAGCACTTTGGGAGGCCGAGGTGGGCAGATCACCTGAGGTCAGAAGTTCGAGACCAGCCTGGCCAACATGGCAAAACCCCATCTCTACTAAAAATACAAAAATTAGCCAGGCAAGGTGACGGACACCTGTAATCCCAGCTACTCGGGAGGCTGAGGCAGGAGAATTGCTTGAACCTGGGAGGCAGAGTTTGCACTGAGCACCACTGCACTCCAGCCTGGGCAACAGAGCAAGACTCTGTCTCAAAAAAAAAAAAAAAAACACAAAGGAAACTAAAGCAAGCTTCCGTCTCTTTGCCTTGGGTGAGACTTCCATGTTATCTAGCTTGACTTCTCTAAATTCCTCACCTTTGTTCTCCTCAGCTCTCCCTGGATGCCATTATCCATGATCTTCACAGTTATCTGCCCATCTGAAACTTCTGGTCGAAGGAAGGGAGGTCTGATTACAATTGTCTTCTCTTTCTTTGGTCTCCCCAAATACCTAAGTGTCGAGAGAGAGAGAGAGAGAGACACAGCGAGAGAGCTTTCATTCATTTATATTTTAAAGTATCTACTGTTTCTGTAAACCATTTTTATTAGGTTGGTAAAAAAGTAATTGCAGTTTTGGCCATCACTTACTTAGCAATAAACAGAATTGATTCTGTGAAGGACTGCAGCAGGACTAGGCCTTTGTGAGCAGATACCTAGCTCAAGGAAAGCACTTTAGAGTGTATCTTATTCACCCTCAATTCTCAAAGATTTACCTTAATACCTGAAGAATATCAATGGAATTCACAGTGTCCACTAAAGCAGGGGTCCCCAACCCCTGGGCCGCAGACCAGTACCGGTTCATGGCCTGTTAGGAACTGGGCCACATAGCAGGAGGTAAGCAGTGGGCCAGTGAGCATTATCACCTGAGCTCCATCTCCTGTCAGATCAGCGGAGGCATTAGATTCTCTTAGGAGCGCAAACCCTAGAACCCTGTTGTAAACTACACATGCAAGCAATCTAGGTTGTATGTGTGCTCTGAGCTCACTGCAACCTCTGCCTCCTGGGTTCAGGCAATTATCCTGCCTCAGCCTCCCAAGTAGCTGGGATTACAGGTGCCTGCCACCTTGCCCAGCTAATTTTTGTATTTTGAGTAGAGAAGGGGTTTCACCATATTGGCCAGGCTGGACTTGAACTTCTGACCTCAAGTGATTCGCCCACCTCGGCCTCCCAAAGTGCTGGGTGTGAGCCGCCACACCCAGCCATGAGAATCTAATGCCTCATGATCTGAGGTGGAACAGTTTCATCCTGAAACCACCCCACCCCAGCCCCCATCTGTGGAAAAAGTGTCTCCCATGAAACCGGTCCCTGCTGCCAAAAAGGTTAGGGACCACTGCACTAAAGGATGGGCATGTAGGTACTTACCATTCTAAGATAGACTACTTACCATTCTAAGATAGAGTGGGTACTTAACATTCTAAGATAGAGAACCCTTCCTAAAGGCTCTCACCAGACCCCTCCTTTACCAGAACAAGCCCAAAGAAGATAAAAGTTCTGACCAATGGTAAACACTAGACCAGAGGGATAGGTGTACCTGGGTGCTGGAGAACTGCAGAGAACACGGCTGACATTGTTACAGCAGCCATTGGTGAAGGGGTTCACACCTCCCCGGAATTTACCCGTAACCTAGAGGGAGAAAAAAAATACCAGGTTAGAAGATGAGACCTTGACTTCCAAAGGCCAAAATACAAATCTATTACAAGTTATTGTGCACTCACTATCTGAGGGCTATGCAAATGAGTAAAACACAAGAAATTTATATATGTTATGGTTAAGAGCAGGGAATCTACAGTCAGGGTCCTTAGTTCAAATCCTAGGTCTACCTCATGGTTGCTGACCCAAAACCTCAGTTTCCTCATGTAAAATGGGATAGCTTTCTAAATATTGAAAACTAAGATAAAGAATAAGCAATTAAGGGCTGGGCATGGCAGCTCACACCTGTAATCCCAGCACTTTGGGAGGCTGAGGCAGGTGGATCACCTGAGGTCCGGAATTTGAGACCAAACTGGCCAACATGGCAAAACCCCATCTCTACTATAAAAATATATAAAAACTAGCCGGGCATGGTGTCAGGCACCTGCAATCCCAGCTACTTGGGTAGCTGAGGCAGGAGAATTGCTTGAAGCCAGGAGGCAAAGGTTGCAGTGAGCCGAGATCGTGCCACTGCGCCCCAGCCAGTGGGCTCCAGCCAGTGGGCTCCAGCCTGGGTGACAAAGCGATACTCTGTCTCAAAAAAGAAAAAAAAAAAGCAATTAAGGTTAGCTACTATTATATGCACAAAAATCATTGCTTTCCTGTAAGCAGCACTATAAGCTTCTTGAGGGCTAGCCTAAGTCTTTCATTGTTTCTATAAACTCAGAGCCTAAATTCTCCAGTATCCAGTGGGCATATAGTAAATGTCTGTTAACTAAGAAGTGGCCTCTATTCTTTTTTTTTTTTAGGAAGATCTTAAATATTTATATGTATATGAACATATATGTACATATACATATGTCTTGCTACACTTTAAATTTAAAAATCTATTAATATGATTTTTGACAAACTAAAGAAAGAATACTATTATTTGGATACCAAGTTCTATGGTGAGTATTGTTTAAAAAACTATCATCTTATTCTTTATGCTATATTGTCTAGTTTCAGTTTGGTTTGGGTCTCTCAATTGATATTTCAGGTGATGATGCCAAACCATCCAAGACTTTCTTTGGAGATAGATATTATTTTGTTATAAAATATATTTTTAGGCTGGGCGCAGTGGCTCATGCCTGTAATCCCTGCACTTTGGGAGGCCGAGGTGGGCGGATCACGAGGTCAAGAGATCGAGACCATCCTGGCTAACATGGTGAAACCCCGTGTCTACTAAAATTACAATAAATAAATAAATAAATAAAAGATATTTTAGCACTTTGGGAGGCTGAGGTGGGTGGATCACCTGAGGTCGGGAGTTCGAGACCAGCCTGGCCAACATGGTGAAACCCTGTCTCTACTAAAAATACAAAAATTAGTTGGGCGTGGTGATGCACATCTGTAATCTCAGCTACTTGGGAGCCTGAGGCAGGAGAATCGCTTGAACCCAGGAGGCAGAGGTTGCAGTGAGCCAAGATCACGCCACTGGATGCCAGCCTGGGCGACAGATCAAGACTCTGTCTCAAAAAAATAAAAAATAAAAAAAGATATTTTAGGGCAAAATTCAGCCTTTATCTCTATTGTCTTAGTATCTCTTTGAGAGTATCTTTATTATTATTATACTTACAGCTCTAGGGTACATATGCACAACATGCAGGTTTGTTACATATGTATACATGTGCCATGTTGGTGTGCTGCACCCATTAACTCGTCACTTACATTAGGTATATCTCCTAATGCTATCCCTCCCCGCTCCCCCTGCCCCACAACAGGCCCCAGGGTGTTATGTTCCCCACCCCGTGACCAAGTGTTCTCATTGTTCAGTTCCCACCTATGAGTGAGAACATGCGGTGTTTGGTTTTCTGTCCTTGCGACAGTTTGCGCAGAATGATGGTTTCCAGATTCATCCATGTCCCTACAAAGGACAAGAACTCATCCTTTTTTATGGCTGCATAGTATTCCATGGTGTATATGTGAGAAATGGCCTCTATTCTTACATGGCCTCTACACTTACATGAGGAACTAGGACTACCTCACTCCCTACCATTAATCTCTACATAATCATGAAAAGTATTCATTAAGCATCTCTTTGTGGAAGCACTACACTGCACACTAATCAGAAGGCTAAAGAGACATGACCTGCTCTTCAGGGGTCTCTCGTCACTTTTCTCCATACCTGTTCATTGGTTGTGCGTCCCCTGGCCACCAGAACCACGTGAAATCCCGTGAGGCCAGCTACAGGGATGAAGAATAAGCCAGCCACACACATTACTGCCATTCTGATGCCAAACAATCAAGGAGAACAGAGCAACATGACCTCACTTTCCCCGGCCCCTACTGCAGCCATTTTCCCTTTAGCCCTCATTCCTCCCCCTTCCAATCCCACAATCTAAAAGGCCTTGAAGGATACGTGACAGCCGTGCGGACCCCTGAGAGTTCCTCTATGTGGTAGAGGACATAAAGGAGGCCAAAGCCAAACACACCCATAATGTGGGCTGTCAGGGAAAGGAGGAAAAGGAAAAAATAACGGTAGTTCCGGCGACCAATACAGTTATTCACCCAGGGGCAGTGATGATCAAATTCCTAGGGACAAAGAGAGACAGATGAGAGGCATCCCTGGACCATAGCATTAAATTACTTCTGTCAAGAAGAGAAACAAATGGCAGCTAAGTTTTGATCATGGTCACCAATTAGTTCAAAATTAAATCCAGTTTATTTTGCTCTATAAATCTGCAAGGGAGACCTTCCAGAGGTTGGTCAAAGGCCAAGGCCAACCAGGCGTAGTGGTGCACACTTGTAGTCCCAGCTACTTGGGGGGCTGGGGCTTGAGCCCAGGAGTTCAAGGCTGTAGTGAACTATGATGACTGCCTGTGAATAGCCACTGTACTGGGCAACATAGCAAGACCCCATCTCTTAAAAAAAAAAAAAAAAAAAAATTGGCCGGGCGCGGTGGCTCACGCCTGTAATCCCAGCACTTTGAGAGGCCGAGGCGGGTAGATCACGAGGTCAGGAGTTCAAGACCAGCCTGACCAACATGGTGAAACCCCATCTCTACTAAAAATACAAAAATTAGCCGGGCGTGGTAGCGCGTGCCTGTAATCCCAGCTACTCAGGAGGCTGAGGCAGGAGAATCGGTTGAACCCGGGAGGCGGAGGATGCAGTGAGCCGAGATTGCGCCATTGCACTCCAGCCTGGGCAACAGAGCGAGACTCCGTCTCGATAAATAAATAAATATATATATATATAAAAAAGACCAAGGCCGGCTCTCAATGTTTATCCTATGTGACCAAGGAACTCTAAAAGTGACGAATGTCAGAGGTTTTGCAGAAACATCAAGATTCATAAGAAAAGAGGATTAGAAGGAAGATTTGGCAGGTAACTGCTTATAGCTAAGTGAAAATGGAATGGAAAAAGGACAAGGGATGCAGAAGGACAGGCAGGAAAACAACTACAACAAATTGAAACACAACAGCATGATTTTCTGGAAGAGAAAATGCAAAGCCAGGATAAATAACCAAAACTGAGCCAATAGATAGAAGGCTAGAACTATAAATCTTGGTGTCAAGAAAGCCTACACCCTGCTAGTGCAATGGCTCATGCCTGTAATCCCAGCACTCAGCACTCTGGGAGGCCAGGGCATGAGGATCACTTGAAGCCAGGAATTTGAGATAGTCCAAGCAACACAGTGAGACCTCATCACTACAAAAAGTAAAAATAAATAAAAAAGAAAGCCTATGCCCATATTGAGTTAAAGCTTCCCTCCTGCAATAATATTTATGCTCTGCCTCTCATGCCATGTCATTATTAACACCATTTGACAGAGCTGGACCATGTGGCCAACGTAGTTAGACAGGACTATACCACATCCAAAGCTAAGAATCTATTATATGGTTAGGATGAAGACAATGAAGGTTAAGCATGAAGTCTTACCCCACCCAGGGTGCTTACCTCCACACAGTTGTCACAGACACTGCAGTGGGAACATCGAGGGGGACGGTAAAAGCGGCAGGTGGCACACCATTTCATGCGCACCTGGATGCCCTTTATCTCCACTGTTTTGTAAAGGGGAGCTCGGAAATCATCTTCCTTGTCCTCATCCTCCTCAGCTGTAGAGAGGAAAAGTCAATTAAAAACAACTATGCCAGAACTGTAGTAAGTGCTAGGGATTCAATGATGTTTAAAATATAGCTTCTGCCTTTGAGGAATTCACAGTCTAATGAGTGAGACTAGGAACTAGGAACTATAAGACTGTGAGGTCAGGTCTTTATACAACACTATGGGAACATGGATGAGGGAGCAATTTATTCTGCATTGGGAAGTGAGGTTCGAGATAAAATGACTCAAGAGGTAGCTCTTGTATGCATCTGCTGGTGTTATTTGGTTTAAGTATATGAATATATTTTAAAGAAATAGTTTACATATCAAAGCACATACATAATGAGTTTGCATAAGAGTTCAGTATCTACATTTATATGAGTGAACTATAGCAATCCAAGAGAGGAACTAACATCAACCTTTTTTTCCAGGCACGAATCCTTTGCCCAGCCAACCATGGTGGCTCACGCCTGTAATCCCAACACTTTGGGAGGCCGAGAAGGGCGGATTGCCTGAGCTCAGGAGTTCAAAACCAGCACGGCCAACATGGTGAAACCTCGTCTCTACTAAAAACACAAAAATTAGCCTGGTGTGGTGGCATGCACCTGTAGTCCCAGCTACTCAGGAGGCTAAGGCAAGAGAATCGCTTGAACCCGGGAAGTGGAGGTTGCAGTGAGCTGAGATCACGCCACTGCACTCAAGCCTGGGCAACACAGCAAGACTTCATCTTCATCTTAAAAAAAAAAAAAAAAAAAAAAAAAACTTTCCCAAAATGTCTTCCCCTACTCTATGAATTTTCTCTACATATACGTATTTCAGTATTATTTGTTGCACAAGCATAAATGCCCTTTCTCTCAATTTTCAGCTATCAGAAACCCACCATCCCATTTCAAAACTTAAAAGACATTATTTGCCTTCTCATATACAGTTAGCAATTTTTTTTTTCTTGAGACGGAGTCTTGCTCTGTTACCCAAGCTGGAGTGCAAGGGCGTGATCTTGGCTCACTGCAACCTCCACCTGCCGGGTTCAAGTGATACTTCTGTCTCAGCCTCCCAAACAGCTGGGATTACAGGCGCACGCCACTTCGGCAGCTAATTTTTTGTATTTTTAATAGAGACGGGGTTTTACCGTGTTCCCCAGGCTGGTCTCAAACTCCTGAGCTCAGGCAATCCACCTGCCTCAGCTTCCCAAAGTATTAAGATTACAAGCATGGGCCACCGCACCCAGAGCAATTTTTATTATTAACCTAGAAAAAAAAAATGTGGGAAGGAAAAATTAAATAGATGATAGTGTGGAATTAAAAATTAAGTTTTCAAATTTTACTGATTTCTTTACATAGCATTTTTTCATATTTACATCACAAGAAATGCTAGGTAAAGAACTGTACAGCTGGGTACGGTGGCTCATGCCTGTAATCCCAGCACTTTGGGAGGCCAAGGAGGGCAGATGACTTGAGGCCAGGAGTTCAAGACCAGCCTGGCCAAAATGGCGAAACCCCATCTCTACAAAAAATATAAAAATTAACCAGGGGTGGTGGCACACGCCTGTAATCCCAGCTACTTGGGAGGCTGAGGCAGGAGAATGGCTTGAATCTGGGAGGCAGAGGTTGCAGTAAGCCAAGATCATGCCACTGCACTCCAGCCTTGGTGACAGAGTAAGACACTGTCTGGAAAAAAAAAAAAAACACACACACACACAAATATATACTGCAGATACATGGTATACATAAATATACACATATATTTTTTAAGTCTTCAAAATATTGCAAGGATATATACCACAATATAACAGTAGTTAGCTCTGGTCTGTGAAATTATAGGTAATGTTTTGCCTTTTTTGTACTTCGTACATAATGAATGTGCACTACTTATTGAAATCTTTAAATAAAAGATTTTTTCTTTTGGTCAGGCACAGTGGCTCATGCCTGTAATCCCAGCACTCTGGGAGGGTGAGGCAGGTGGATCATTTGAGGTCAGGAGTTCCAGAGTAGCTTGGCCAACATGGTGAGACCCCATCTCTACTAAAAATACAAAAATTAGCCAGGCACGGTGGCACGCTCCTGTAATTCCAGCGACTCGGGAGGCTGAGGTAGAATAATTGCTTGAACCCGAAAGGCAGAGTTTGCAGTGAGCCGAGATGGAGCCACTGCACTCCAGCCTGGGCAACAGAGAGTGAGACTCTGTCTCAAAAAAAAAAAGATTTTTTTCTTTTAAAGGGAAAAAATTCAAATGCTATTTTTCTTTTAAGAGAGTTTTGCTCTATCACCCAGGCTGGAGTGCTGTGCTGCGACCACAGCTCACTGCAGCCCTGAACTCCTGGGCTCAACTGATCCTCCAACCTCAGCCTCCCAAGTAGCTGGAACCGCAGGTGGGCACCAGCATGCCCAGTTGCAATGCTCCTTATTTTGAAATGTCTGATCCTTCTACATCATCATCTACCAGAAGTGATCTCTTTGATTACTCTTACACAATGTATTTGTTTTTTGTTTGTTTGTTTTGAGATGTAGTCTCACACTGTCGCTGGAGTGCAGTGGCGCAATCTCAGCTCACAGTAACCTCCACCTCCCGGGTTCAAGCGATTCTCCTGCCTCAGCCTCCCGAGTAGCTGGGATTACAGGCATGCGCCACCACGCCCGGCTAATTTTGTATTTTTAGTAGAGACAGGGTTTCTCCATGTTGGTCAGGCTTGTCTCGAACTCCCAACCTCAGGTGATCCACTCACCTGGGCCACCCAAAGAGTTGGGATTACAGGCGTGAGTCACGGCACCCGGCCCACGGTGTATTTGTTTATAGAGGTGTCTTCCTATCTTCCTTTCTAGTCTGAGCTATTTGAAAGGAATGACCTTTTTATTTTTTATTTACTTTTCTTCAGATGGAGTTTTGCTCTTATCGCCCAGGCTAGAGTGCAATGGGGCAATCTCGGCTCATCACAACCTCCACCTCCCAGGTTCAAGCAATTCTCCTGTCTCAGCCTTCCAAGGAGCTGGGGTTACAGGCACGTGCACTACCATGCCTGGCTAATTTTTATATTTTTAGTAGAGACGGGGTTTCGCCATGTTGGCCAGGCTGGTCTCGAACTCCTGACCTCAAGTGATCCGCCCTGGCCTCCCAAAGTGCTGGGATTACAGGCGTAAGCCACCACGCCCGGCCAGCAATGACCTTCTTAAAAACCCCAAATGACCATCATAGTGCCTTCCATAATACATCAATAAATATTTGATGAATGAACATTAAAGGCTCATTAAAATAGCCTTTCTTGGCTTTAGGGACACAAAGTTCTTTTCCCTCACCCAATCTTTGAAGGGAAGTCACAAACAAAGCACAATGATGTAGGCTTTGGGAGCACAATGAAGTTCTTTTTTTCTTTCTTTTTGAGACGGAGTCTTGCTGTTGCCCAGGCTGGAGTGCAATGGCACAATCTCGGCTCACTGCAAACTCTGCCTCCCCCACTCAAGCGATTCTCCTGCCTCAGCCTCCCAAGTAGCTGGGATCACAGGCACCCACCACCATGTCGGGCTAATTTTTGTATTTTTCAGTAAAGACAGGGTTTTACCATGTTGACCAGGCTGGTCTTAAAGTCCTGACCTCAGGTGATCTGCCCACCTTGGCCTCCCAAAGTGCTGGGATTAAGATGTGAGCCACCACGCCAAGCCTACAGTGAATTTCAGAAAAACTTCATCTCAGCAGAGTTGCCAGCCCGAAACTACTTGTCTCACTCTTGCAAAATAACCTCACATTTGAGAGGAAAACTACATGTCATCAGTGACAACCTTTGTCAACTTATTTTCTTTCTACCTTTTAGTCCACTGATGATGGTTCTCTCCCCTCCTATTCCAGAAAGAGCCTACTTCTTCTGCAAGCATAACCTTCAGAAATGTACTGGAAAGCATCTCCTTCCTCTAAAAGTCCAATTTCAATTATCACCTTTCTTCAACCTCAGCTTCTCTCCTCTGGTTCCATCTCTGCATGCTACAAACAAGCTAAATTCTGTATCCTAAAAAACTCTCTCCTCCCGTAGCAATTCTCCTGCCTCACCCTCCCGAGTAGCTGGGATTACAGGCATGTGCCACCACACCCGGCTAATTTTTTGTATTTTTAGTAGAGATGGGTTTTCTCCATGTTGGTCAGGCTGGTCTCAAACTCCCGACCTCGGGTGATCTGCCCACCTCAGCCTCCCAAAGTGCTGGGATTACAGGCATGAACCACTGTGCCCAGCCAGCTTACTTCTTAAAAGAGTAATTTTGGGCCAGGCGCGGTGGCTCACGCCTATAATCCCAGCACATTGGGAAGCTGAGGCAGGCGAATCACAAGGTCAGGAGTTCAATACCAGCCTGGCCAATATGGAAACCCCATCTCTACCAAGAATAGGTATAGAAAAATTAGCTGTGTGTGGTGGCCCGCGCCTGTAGTCCCAGCAATTCTGGAGGCTGAGGTGGGAGATCACCTGAGCCAGGGGGGGGTCAAGGCTGCAGTGAGCCGTGATTGCGCCACTGCACTCCAGCCTGGGCAACAGAGTGAGACGCTGTCTCAAAAAAAAAAAAAAAAATTAATTATTAGTTACCAAAAAAAATGGGAAATTTGAGTTTCCATACTATTGGAGCTCTCTAATTTCTAATACTGCCAACCATCGGCTATTTGATGAATTTTCCTTAGTTCCCACTTTGTTCTATTTCTCCTCCTCCTAACTCTTCTTACTCAATCCTTCTTCATGGCTCTTCCTCCTCCTCTGATCGTTACAAAAATGTCAGTGCTGATCAGGTCTAACCTCAGTTCTTTCATAATCTCACAGTATTTTCTCTGGACAATCTTACTCCTGTTGTTTCAAATACCACATGGATGAAGATTATTAAATCAAGGTCTTCAACACTGACTATTCAATTGCCCACTGGGTAACTATCTGACTGATTCAAGTATATCAAATTCAACATGTCTAAGAGTATTTATTTTCTGTCTTCCCTCCAAACCCGTTTGACATTCTTGTATCTCATATTCAGGTTTATAAAAATCAGTATCCAACTTATCTCCCAGTTATGAACCTTGAAACTACTCTAGATAATTCCTCCACTTTCTCTCTCTTGCCCAATAAAATCATGAAAAGTCATGAAAAATTATTGAGTCTACTACTAAAAAATCTGTAAATCCAGCCTTGAATTCAAGTTCTCATCTGGTTTATTTCCACAGCCTCCCAAAAGGTAGCTGTAATTCTTACACGAATTATTTTTCTAAAAGGAATTCTGATGTTGAGTCCTCCAATTAAAGACCTCTTCCTATCCAAAGGAAAATGTATGATCTATTTAACTTAGTATGTAAAGTCCTTGACAATTTGGCTCTGGGTTTACCTCCCATCCCTCTGGTCACACCATGCATAACATCCTCTAGCCCCACTAAGTTTGCCATTTCATGGCTACAAGCTTCTGCATGTGCTGTTTCCTCTGCCTAAAAATGCCCTTCCCTCCTATATTCTACTTGGTAAAGTCTTTCCCACCTATTTTCAGCAGCATTTCCCCAATTTATTTGGGCAAAATATGTTCTCATATTTCTTTGTTCTCAATTGTTTGTATTCTCACAGAACCTTGCTCTTGCCTCCATTATAGTCTGCATCACACTGTCATAACTGTCTTAATTCACTGTGGGTATTACTGTACCTAAAAATAGCATCCAACCCATATGCTTTAAATAAATTTCTGCTGAACAAATCACTAAAACTCAAAGATTTGACCCAAAGTGAATCATAGGACTAGAAGTTATGACATATATTCCTAAAGACCCTGACCTGATTTTCATCATCAGAAAATGATAAAAGTATCCCAAAATCCCCGGACTTTAAGGCCCAAGATCAACTGCGTATGCCCAAATCATTATTTTTCATATCCCAAAATCCCAGGACTCTTAAGGCCCAAGATCAACTGTGTATGGCCAACTCATTATTTTTCAAAGGCAGTGTAAGGTGCTTCTAAGAGAGAAGCAGATCTTACCTCGAGGGAAAATCCCTGGGTCCATGAAGGTGGCCATGCTGAAGTTGGCCAACACAAAGAGAAACATAATTGCATTGTAGATGGGCACTGCAGGTGACACATACAGGCTTAGTCCTGGACACCTGCACAGACAATAAAGAAAATGAGGGGTTGCCTCTAATATTTTGGACACGAACCATACATACAAAAATCTGTAAAGACTTAGCCCCTTACCTATAGATAAATCTTGTGTGGTTTACCTTTGCCATCCCAAATTATTATCTTTATCTTTCCCACTAAGTGAGTCTAGTTTCCTATGGGAACTGCTCACTTTAGATAAAAGTACAAGACTCAGAATCTCTCCCATCTTAACCTGTTGCACTAAGGTCTTTGTGCTTCAGATTCATTCCTACCCTGTGGATCTTGCCACATGTTTTGAGATCTGTCCTTATCTCCTTTCTAACCAGACATGAGAACCAGGTACTGACTATGATATCAGCTACACTCCCTTCTCTGGAGCAGCCTGAGGTTTCTGGATCCCAGCTATGTCCCATTGACCTGCACATTGGCCCAAAGCATGGGATACCACCTACCTTTCTAGCCCCCGCCTCCCCCTTGCCAGGGGACTGAACCACATAAGTGCCTAAAGTATCTCCATTGCATTGGATATGCCTGAGAGTTTACTCAACTACAGGCCAGTTCTTAAGGTTGGGAAATTCTTTTAAAACACACAGATGAGAATGGATATCAAGACACAGAAGTAAACCCTTTGATGTCTAAAAATGAAGCAGGAATGGGGGAGGATAGAGACTATCAGACCAAAGAAGCCCTCAATTTTGTAGGAAAAAGAAACTACCCAAACATACCCAGTATTCCACAGCAGTCAACTCAAGATATGCTTTAAGGTAACTTTTCTTGATCAAAAAAACAATTCTCTAGTCCAGAATTAAACTCAGTTTCTTTCAGGATTTGAATCTACGTAGGAATGCTTCAAGAGCTCTTCCTTTCTCTGCTGATTTCCTGGGAGCTGGAAGTTTTGGAAGAACCTGATGTGCTACTTTTTTGTCAGTAGTATCAAACACTCTCGTCTCAGCTCAGGGAGAAGTTCCCACTACCAAGACAGTGGATAAATACTCTAATCTACTTTGTGGCTGAGAACTTAATCTCCAGAATGAGGACAGCATCTGTCCTTGTCCCCTTTATCTGAACCAGTCAAAGCAAAGGAAGAACTCACTGAAGGAAAGGAAGAAGAGGACAGGAGAACAAGACAGCATATGATTCCAGAGAATTAAACCACAGCAGTCTGGGATTCTGTGAAGAAAAGGTATCTGCACCCACCAAAACAAAAAGCACAGCCCTGAGACTGACTCAGAGCAGTTTGGAGGAACTCAGTTCCTTAACGAGATACAAGCAAATCAAGATAAGAGACAAAACTGTCACAAAGCATCTCACAAATCTTTACCACCACCATCTATTTATTCAAATTCCATTCAGCCATTCATTTTGAAAAGTTTTTAGTATTTATTATATGCCAGGCTTTTTAGATAGTAAATATCCATTAGCTGTTTGGTTCTCTTGATATGTCAGTACACAATTAGCAGACAAAATAACGAAGCTGGAGCAAGGGCATCAATTTTAGGGACTAAACAGACCTTCAGTCATAGTTCTATACTATCCTCAAAGAAAGCCCCCCATGGAAGCTTCTTCCTCTGTGAGTTCTTTGGTTCAGAAAAGATGTCTCCATACATTGGCAGGGTTTGGAGTGGAATATAAGCAAAAAGAAGAGTTCCTGCACCGCCTCACCCCAAAGCCTGACCTCCTAGGTTCCTTAAGAAGGAGGGAGAGAAACTGAAAACCAGTCATCCAGGTCAGAGCCCCTCCCTAGTACTAAGTTGTCACTTCAATTTCCGCCTGGGGAAGAAGAGAAAGGGTGACTCACTTGACTCCTACAGCCTGGGAAGATAATTAGAAGGGAAAAAGAAATTAAATCCTTAGAACACTGAGGTGCCCATGATTTAAAAGTCTCATTCCTACAACTGGCCACTGTGGCCTCTTGAGCTTCTGAAAGAAATATTCACCTTAGTTTCCATCTCTGAGAGAAACTAATGAGAGTAAGAACAAGATATGAAACCTCCTGCAGGCCCATGTCAATCTTTCTGACTCGACTCTTTCTTCAGTTTTGTTTTTTGAGACAGGGTCTCGCTCTCTTGCCCAGGCTGGAGTGTAGTGGCAAGATCACAGCTCACTGCAGCCTCAAACTCCTGAGCTCCAGTGATCCTCCCACCCCAGCCTCCTGGGTAGCTGGGACTACAGATGCACACCACCACGCCCGGCTAATTTTTTGTAGAGACAGGGTTTCACCATGTTGCCCAGGCTGGACTCAACTCTTGAGCTCAAAGCGATTTGCCCGCCTCAGCCTCCCAAAGTGCTGGGATTACAGACATGAGCCACCATGCCCAGCCAGTTTCATTTTTAGGCAAAGCAACTCAGTTTCTTGGGGATCCTGCCAACCTATCCCTGGATGATGAACTTTACCCTACAACCTTCTGGATATCAACTTGGTCCAGATAAAGTGTGTAATCCTGGAATGGAATTCCAGTATCTGTTGCCAAAATAAAGTCTGCCCCCACAGTGCCAGAATCTAGAAATGATGCAAATAACAACTTCATGGACAATATTTGCTCCTAGATTCACAGAACCATTGCTTCCAATCAGCACTATAAGGGAACACCCCACCAAGGAGAGGCATGTGTGAGCAGAGCCCGTTCTTGCCATATCCCAAATTCTGCTTGATTTAAGGAGAGGCTTTCCGTTGCTATGGTACTTTGCCAGATTCCTAGGTGACCACCCCAAGTGGCCTGTCTGAATCTGTTGCCTTTGATGGAAGATGAGGCCAGAGCTCAGAACAGGAGATGTTGGGGCTCGTCCTTAGACTATGGCAATAATCATAAAGCTCTAAAAGCCTAGGGAGTGGTCACAGCCCAGAAGGCTGGCTGACTCATTGACAGGACTACCAGACCTATACCATCTCAGGTAGAACGGGTTCTTCTGCCCATCCATTCAGCACTCCTGTTTTCAAGACCAAATAAAATTGGCAGAGTGGGGCCAGGTATGGTGGCTCACGCCTGTAACCCTAGCACTCTGGGACACCAAGGTAAGTGGATCACCTGAGGTCAGGAGTTCGAGACCAGCCTGGCCAACATGGTGAAACTCTGTCTCTACTAAAAATACAAAAATTATCCGGGCGTGGTGGTGGGCACCAGTAATCCCAGCTACTCGGGAGGCTGAGGCAAGAGAATCACTTGAACCCGGGGGGCAGAGGTTGCAGTGAGCCAAGATCGCGCCACTTCACGACAGCCTGGGCGTAAAAGCCAAACTCCGTCTCAAAATATATATACAAAATAAAATAAAAAATAAAAATAAATAAAATTGGGAGAATGGATTCCAATATCCACACTCCTGAAACCCTGTTTCAGAGCACTCCCTAATGCATCCTGTTACAAAAAAATGGTTAAGTTCTTAGAAAGAAACACAAAGTAGGAGTCAAGAATCTTTGGATTTTAATCCTGCCTCAATTAATACTTCTCTATGCAAGGCCTTAGGTAATCCACATGAAACTCTCCAACCTTGTTACTTCAGCTACATAGTACAAACATGAGAATGAAGGAGAAAGATCTTCATTCAAAAGTTATTAGAATTCATTTTTTTTGAGACAGGGTCTCGCTCTGTCACCCATGCTTGGCTCACTAAAATTGCCTCCCAGATTCAAGCAACCCTTCAGCCTTACCCTCCCAAGTAGCTGGGACTACAGGTGCATGCCACCATGACCAGCTGACTTTGCTTATTTTTTGTAGAGACAGGTCTCACTATGTTGGCCAGGCTGGTCTCGAACTCCTGGGCTCAGCGATCCTCCCGCCTCAGCCTCCCAAAGTACTAGGATTACAGGTGTGAGCCACTGCTCCCAGCCGCTAGAATTTTTTTTTTTTTTTTTTTTGAGACAGAGTTTTGCTCTGTCACCCAGGCTGGAGTGCAGTGACGCGATCTCGGCTCACTGCAAGCTCCGCCTCCCGGGTTCACACCATTTTCCTGCCTCAGCCTCCCGAGTAGCTGGGACTACAGGCGCCCACCACCACGCCTGGCTAATTTTTTTGTATTTTTAGTAGAGAACGGGTTTCACCGTGTTAGCCAGGATGGTCTCGATCTCCTGACCTCCTGATCTGCCTGTCTCAGCCTCCCAAAGTGCTAGAATTCTTTTTAAACTAGCTGGCTTGATACTGAGCATTCAGTGGACAGAAGACAAAAGAAAACATTATTAACTATCACCATCATTATCATCATCATCAATTATTCCACCTCTACCTTCCCCTATCTGAAATACTAGGAATTCAAGGACACTTAAAACAGAGACACTAAGCTCCTAAAGAATAGGTCTATGCATTCTGCCCATGCCTAGCATATTGCTTGAGCATATGACTAGTGTTCCTTGTTGATGAGAGAAGGCTGAAATGAATGTTCCACTTCCTGCCCATGGGGATCCTCATTTAGAAATCCTTTCCTCAAGATTCCATGAGAAAACAATTTCTCCCTTTACAGGTGGGCAACCCAGTTTCTCTGAAAACACCTGATTTGTGGTACCCAGACTTTCAACCAGCTGAATGTGAGACGTAGGACCTGGGCACTTATTCCTGGATAAGAAAACAATGTGAGAAGGAAAAGGCACAACCACTGCTCCATTAATGTGCTAAATCACAAGGCTGCTCCCACTCAAATCAGGTGCTAATACCTCTGCAGTTACGGGGGAGGGGGGACCAGAGAGAACTCCATGGAGGTCGGCCAACTTCCTGTGGGTAAAAGGGTTGGAAGAGGACTGAGGCAGAAACTGAAAAGCCGCAAACTATATAATGGATGGGAGCCTGAAAAGACCATCATGGATTTCCATACAACTCTGACTTTATCCTTCCCTTAGATCACGTGAAGTGGCCAGGTGCGGTGGCTCACGACTGTAATCCCAGGACTTTGAGAGGCCGAGGTGGGTGGATCACCTGAAGTCAGGAGTTTGAGGCCAGCCTGGCCATTATGGTGAAACCCCAACTCTACTAAAAATACAAAAATTAGCTGGGCTTAGTGGCAGGCGCCTGTAATTCCAGCTACTCAGGAGGTTGAGGCAGGAGAATCGCTTGAACCCAGGAGGCAGAGGTTGCAGTGAGCCGAGATCACACCACCACACTCCAGCCTGGGCAACAGAGTAAGACTCCATCTCAAAAAAAAAAAAAAAAAAAAATCACGTGAAGCAGAGATCTTATCCTGCCCCCTCCCCACCAGCTTTAGAAATGGATAAAATAGGGGCTGGGCGTGGTGGCTCACGCCTGTAATCCCAGCACTTTGGGAGGCTGAGGCGGGCAGATCACGAGGCCAGGAGATCACGACCATCCTGGCTAACACGGTGAAACCCCTTCTCTACTAAAAATACAAAAAATTAGCCGGGTGTAGTGGTGGGTGCCTGTAGTCCCAGCTACTCGGGAGGCTGAGGCAGGAGAATGGCATGAACCCAGGAGGCAGAGCTTGCAGCGAGCCGAGATCGCGCCACTGCACTCCAGCCTGGGCGACAGAGTAAGACTCCATCTCAAAAAAAAAAAAAAAAAAAAAAAAAAAAAATCACGTGAAGCAGAGATCTTATCCTGCCCCCTCCCACCAGCTTTAGAAATGGATAAAATAAGACCTTAACTGGACTAATTCACAGTTTGATGAGACTTTAAACAAGATACAATTCAAAGTGATTCGAAATGGTGTTACCAGGAGCACTAGGTCTCAGGAGATCCTACACGGTAAAGAGGCGATACCAAGGGGCTGGGCCTCTATATGCCAGCCTCACTTGAACCAGAGCAGCCCTAATTTTTATGTTGGTTTTTTTTTTTGTATATAAGATTTCATTTGAAAAAGGGTCATGTTGCTTAAACAAACTGCTGTAGGTCAACGTTCTCACTGTAAACAGGAAGAACTTAGGTCCACAAAGGTTAACAGACTTCACCAGAATCAATCTCCTGACCTCCCCCAAAGAGGGCTTATCCCACTTACCTAGGACTGCCCCTCTGCCAGTCAAAAAACAAGATTAAACTAAGATAGATAAGCATCCAAGTAGTTATCCTAAATGAAGTCTAGTAACTAACTGGGAGGTAGAAGGTTACTTCAGCAGACACTCTCCCTCCCAAATAGTGAAAACAGAGAAGAATTAAGACAGGATCCCCACCATTCCTTAGTTTTAGTGCTGGACAAATTCAGGGAATGAGAGGGATTAGAGTTCCAGGAGGAAGGCCTGAACTGTTCTGTTCAAGATTCTCTGGGGCAGATCACTATTTCTTTGATGCAAACTCAACTAGTAATTTCTGCTCATAGCTTTCCCCAACTTAACAAAGAAACATGGAAGGTAAATTGTTCCTAACTAGTTGAAGTCTACATGCCTCCACTAATTATGTCTGTTACCTGAAAGGGACTCTCCCTCCTACTCGCATTCCTCTATATCCCAAAGTAATTCTCACCTGGGGCTTCTAATAATGTAGCTAGTTGTAGCCTAGTGAAGAGAATAGGAGGATGATAGAGTAGTTACAGATTTACAGCCCCACATAGGAGCTAGTTCAGAGAGTTTTCCTCTTGCCTCTCCATTTGAAACCCTGAACTCTTTTTTAGGTTGTATGGTTTTAAACAGGGGATTCTCCAGGGAACTGAACCTCGAAAGAGGTAAAATACATGAGAGGATAGTTTTTAAGAACAGTGGTGCCTCAGCCCAGATATATGCTTACAGAGGAAATACTCTAGTCAGATGGAGAAGAGGAGATGAGAATTTCAGAATTACCCGAGCTAGGTGCTAGAGTAAGATAAACAGTGTGTTTGTGCCCCCACAAGGTGACTAGGGGAGATGCTTAGGAAAAGATGGAGCCCAGAAATTGGTCCTGTGGAAACTAGCGCCAGGGGGAAGGAACTCCAGCTATGACTTAGGGTTCTTCTAACTTTGGATGAGAGGCAATAATTCCAAATAAGGTCAATATTGTCCTCCAAAATCCTTTTTCCTAGAGCTAAGAGACCATGGAATAAGGAGGGCTCCTACTTTACTGGCACCAGGGAATGAGAAAGTAGGTTAAACAGCTTCAACTATCAGTTGAGAAAATGCCTATGTCAGGACAACTCTTTGTAGGCAAACTGGTATAACCAGTCAAACACTTCAATGGTTCCAGATTAGCAAATTAAAAACAAGGATTCAGCTTGCTCTATCTCAAGAAGAGGGAGCTTGAAAGACAGAAATCATTTAGTCCCCTCAATTTCCTTCTCCAAAGGCTTTGCCTCTTAAAGGAAAATAGACCCTCCCCAATTGAGCAGAGTTAAGGGTGTCAAACTGGTCTTGTACATACCCCTCTTGACCCAGAACCAAAATTGCTACAGGATACTAAGATATAATATAAATGTCCCTTAGTTAAAATTTTGATTCTACTTCCTGGCCATATTAGCAAAAACCAAAACAAGTTCTGACACCAAAGACTCACCCCTCTTTCTGGTAGTAAATGTATGAAGAAGGACAGAGCACTGAACATGTTGAGTTTAAGCAAGAGGAAAAGGTTATGAAGAAAATATTAAGTCAGAGAAAAGCAGCACTGTCTCTAGATCCTTGAGAGACTCCAGCAGGTATGCTCAAGCTCAGAGCTGGGGGCCAAAAAATCTACAACTTCTCTGCTTCAGAGGAGGTGAGAAGTAGGATGGTGTTCATGCCTTAGATAGTGATTCTTTCTCTCCTTCTTTAAAAACTAGAGAAATACATCAGTATTACTTTGCTGACTCTTTAGACAATGTGACCCACATTTTTCAGAATATCTTTTGGCTTCTAAAGCTAAATATGGGGAGTTTTCCTTCCCTCCTACCTCAGATTTAACTTGTGTATAATTGCCTCCACCCCAATAATCTCTACTTCAATGAGCCCAAGTGTTTTTATTCCCTACCACTTCAATTCACTTCTTCCTCTTTCCAGCAACCTCATGTTGCTCTGAATAACACTTCACAACTAGGTTTGAGCCTGAACCATGACAAAGTAACTTCCCAGAAGATCCAGCATGCTCTGATGATTCCAAGAGCTGCAACTAGAGCACTAAATCAATGACTCAACAGTATAAGGCTCAGAAGCCTGGTACATGTTAATTTATAAACAGGTAACAGCAAGGATGCCTTCCAGATGGTCAAGAGCTTAATAAAAAAAAAAAAAAAACTGAGGAAAAAGGGAAGGTTTAAATCACTCAGTCTCTTCCAATAACAAGTAAATGAAGAAAGTCTGAAGATCAAAGTGAGAATGATGCAGATCCTAGATCCTAAATGGGAAATTTTTTCATACCAACTGCTTTTCCCAACAGAACCAAGTAATGGGAAAATTACTGTCATTCCCTCGGCAGAAACTAACATAAAGGGACTCTTTTAGGACTCTCTTCCCAAATACAACTTACCCTTTCCTTTCTCAGTGGCCTTCACTTCTCCAGGCTTCTGTTCTTAAGAGTACAAAGAAAACCATCTGGGTAGCACTAAAAGCCAAAACTCTCTCATTGGTGTATCTTATAAATCAATTCTGAAATTTTCCAATACTCTCAGTTTCCACAATCTCAAACCTAAGTTTCAGACATCCTGGAAAAAAGCCATTAGCATTTAAAAAGGCTTTAGTCGGCCCAGCATGGTGGCTCACACCTGTAATCCCAGCACTTTGGGAGGCCAAGGTGGATGGATCACTTGAGTTCAGGAGTTTGAGACCAGCCTGGCCAATATGGTGAAACCCCATCTCTACTGAAAATAAAAAAAATTAGCCAGGTGTGGTGGTTGGCACTTTTAATCCTAGCTACTAAGGAGCCTGAGGCAGGAGAATCGCTTGAACTTGGGAGGCGGACGTTGCAGTGAGCCGAGACCGCGACATTGCACTCCAGCCTGAGTGACAGAGCAAGAGACGCTGCCTCCAAAAAAAAGCCTTTAGTCTAGTCTAGTTCTCTTTCTCATAGAATTGACTGCTTAAACTGCTTTAAGCCTCTCTGGTGGTTTCCTCCCACTTCCTTCCTAGCTTAGGATCATCTAATGATGGAGCTGGGTAGAAAAATATGAAGACATCTATGATTCCAAAATAAAGGAGGAAAGGGTAGGTAGAAGATTCAGCGAAGTAAAACTGATAACACGACTGAAAGGACAGGCTTTTTCTCATTTTTCTTACATGTCTCTGGGATTTGGATTTACCTGTACCAGACGCTGAGCCCTCTCAGTCACTTGGCTTTGCAAAACTCAAGAGAAAGCGTTATCTCCTCACTTCCCATGGAGTATCCACCCACCCAAACACCCCTGCTGGGAGAAAACTCACGTAAAGGCAAAGAAGAGTGTCGTAGCTCCCACTAGGAAGATGGCGGCTGCAGAGACCGGGACATACTTGCTGGGTTTGAATCTCTTTCCAGACTCTGCGGGCATGTTGGAGCTCTGATGGGAAATCTGCCCTGCCGCATAGCCCAGGCCCACACAGCGGCAGAACAGACAAGAAAATGGGAGGAGGGAAGCAACAGAGAGGAGTACAAAAGAAAACCAGGGAAACAGAAAACTTTATCACCCTTCCCCCTCCCAAATAAAGCCAAAGGTCAAAAGATCTCAAATGAAGGAAAGCACATGGGAGGGGGAAAGGTGATTCCAAATGATGAATAACCACCTCCCCAGAACAAGGCAGAAGGGAAGATTAAGAAACACAACTTGTACAGTTTAAAAACTGGAGACAAACAGTAGGCTGTACACATGCAAATGGTTGCAGGTGGAAAACATGGACAGTCAGACAGATCAAGATACAGCTCATGGATGGAGGCAGGTCTTCAAAAGAAGGAGAGAATATCAGGGTATGGCAAAAAAACTTTGGGCAAAGAAAAATTCTTCTGAGATACTATAGTACCTCCACGACTACAGTTCCATAAAATGTGAGCTGCACCTAAAAGAGGTGTGCCCTGTGTTTCTATTTCTATTTCAATCCAAGAAGGAACCTGAGGCCCCTTCCAACTTTAAAGAGGAGCTTTGTTTACTGCAGTCTTTGTCTCTTTTAGGTAGTCTTCTCAATGCCACCACTCCCACACCCTGACTTCACCAGGGCTTGTAGTCTGGCAATGGTGGTTTAATTTATTTCTCTCTTGATGGCTAAAGCTGGACAACAGCTGTTCTAAGTTTGAGCTGTAAATCCTTTTCTTTGAAGGGGCAAGGAAAACAGGGCAAGCTTCTCTGTCTTCAATCTCTTCTTGTTATTCCCAAGCCCTTTAAGGGCTCTGTTTCCTACAAAGTTCATGTAAAACTAAAGGGAAACTTAAAATCCTTGAAGCCATGTTCTTCCCAATAGGCAGAATAAGATGAAGAAATCAATTCCAATTGATGACACTTCAAAAGTTTACTGTGGATGAAAACGAAGTTCCAAAGATGTCCCTGTTTCCAGACTAGTCAATGTCTCTTATCTTTCTTCAGTCTTCAGCTTTCCAGATGCAGAGTTCAACCAGGTTACTGTGTCTCACCTGGAGAAAAACAAGTATCTTTATCAGAGAATTCTTTCAGGGTATTTCTTAGACACCAAGGCTAAAATTCCACAGGCTGCTGTTAAAAAGTACTTTCTGAAAGAAAGACTGTTTTCCATTTCACTTACATGTATGTGGGTAAGAAGGGACTCTGAATTCAGAGGAAAACTGACTTGAGAATCCTTTGCTCTGTTCAGATTGGAAGCAGAACATGGCTTCACCTGGCCAAAGGACATCAAAGGACTAGCTCTTGTAAGGGGCCCATCTCACCTGACATAGATGGTAGTAACAAATACCAAGAATATCAAAATCACAAACAAGGGCACAGCAGTGAAGGGCAGTCCTAGAACAAAGATTTCTCTTTGGACAAGAAGAGTGTTTATTGTTATAGTGAAAAAAGAAAAAAATTAACCTCAAAATTAGGAAAGCAAGTCTCATTTTCTTTCTCTGTGTGTTTCTTTTGCTCCTCTATGCTTTTTAGTTACAATCCTGAAGAGGTAGAAGCTGAATTTTTGGTCTTTTGGAATCACCCATTAGAACACTGGGTAAGAAATGTTCTTGCAGAGAAAGCCATGATGCCCTCTATGAGAAACTGAATAAGCATAGCATAGGGTTGGTTCTTTTTTCCCAATTCAACAGTTTATTATTCCTATATTGGCCTAAGGTAACTGAGCCCCACCTGCCCCAATATGATTAAAAGTAACAATTATTTCTGTTGATGACAATAACAAACTAACACCAGCACCTTGGGATTTTATAAAATGCTTTTCATCTGGTGATCTAAAAGCACTTTACTCACATTATCTGGTGACGCAGTCCCTTATCCCACTCTTTAAAATTGAAGGCTACAGAATGCCCGAGGACATTCCACTGAATCACCTCAGGTTCAGAACTCAAGAGGTCACATGCCCCTCTGGTGACACAAACCCTTTCTACCTTTTCATCCACTACCTGCCCAGAGATGATAACTTGGAATCTGCAAGCCAAAAATTTTAAGTTAGAATTTTAAAAGAAAGTAGTTTTATTCCCTTCTCTACTAAAAATACAAAAATTAGCCGGGCGGGCGCCTGTAGTCCCAGCTACTCAGGAGGCTGAGGCAGGAGAATCACTTGAACCCAGGAGGCGGAGGTTGCAGTGAGCCACTGCACTACAGCCTGGGCAACAGAGCAAGACTCTGTCTCAAAAAAAAAAAAAAAAAAATCAGAAGATTCAGATAACAAAATATAAATGTGCCCTATAATGTACCACTTCCTCTCTCACCTATGGCATGGAAGGCAAAGGTGCCTTCCCTTACGATTCATTTCTCTCTTTAAAATTAGGGTTTCAGAGGGCCAAACAGCAGTATTAGAATACAGTGAGCGCCAAAAGATTCTAAGAAACTGTTATAGTCCTAGAAAACATAAATCCTCTCTAGTCCCTGATTTAATGATTATTTAACTCTCAGTTTCCTACAGGAATGGAAGCCTAACATTTGGAATGTAGGCCTCAGTAACTTTGTTAACAAAAGCAAACTCTTGATTTGTAGACAATATGTACTTTTTTTTTTTTTTTGAAACACAGTTTCCCTCTGTCACCCAGGCTGAAGTGCATGGTGTGATCTCAGCTCACTGCAACCTCCGAGTCCCGGATTCAAGCAATTCTCCTGTCTCAGCCTCCCGAGCAGCTGGGATTACAGGAGGGCACCACCACACCCAGCTAATTTTGTATTTTTAGTAGAGATGGGGTTTCACCATGTTGCCCAGGCTGGTCTCGAACTCCTGACCTCCAGGTGATCTGCCTCCTCACCCAAAGTGCTGGGATTACAGGTGTGAGACACTCTGCCCAGCCAATATGTACTATTAAAGCAAACTTTTCCCTCAAAATCCCAAAGACTAGAAAAGATGGAAAATTATACTACTTAAATTTTATCTAGAGTAGAATATCATTTAGATACTATATATTGTTTCATATATTTTCCACAGGAAAAAAGTCACATGGACTAATATTGACATAGTAATACAGAGTCATGAAAGGCCATGCAATTTTGGGAGTATAATACTGGGAACACAAAAGAGAACAGCATCTGAGATGCTTGGGGGCTACACAGTAGAAGGGAAATCAAAAACCTAACAATTTATTGGGTATAAATAAAGATGAACCAATTCTTAGCAAAAGAATGTGCTGCAGATACTAGGATGAAACCACAAGGGTGAGTATGGTTCATCAGAGTCAACAGTTTGAATCCATACTAGTATCAAAAAAGTATACAAGAATATGTATGCCAGCTGGGCACGGGGGCTCACGCCTGTAATCCCAGCACTTTGGGAGGCCGAGGCGGGCGGATCATTTGAGGTCAGGAGTTCGAGACCAGCCTGGCCAACATACCAAAACCCTGTCTCTACTAAAAATACAAACAAATGAGCAGGGCGTGATGGGGCATGCCTGAAATCCCAGCTACTAGGGAGGCTGAGACACGAGAATCGCTTGAACCCGGGAGGTGGAAGTTGCAGTGAGCCAAGATAGCAGCCACTGCACTCCAGCCTGGGCGACAGAGCCAGACTCCGTCTCAAAAATGAGAAAAAAAGTAATATGTATGCCATATTGAGGCACAGAGTAAACTATGAAATGGAAATATGTATATGTAAAACAAACAATACAGGATATGTGGTTTGAAGGCTTTAATAAGGTTTAATACAGGTATTTCCTTAAATAGGTGGATACCAGCAGTACCAAGGACAACACAACTATTTTTTGTTGAAATAAGCGGTGTAACAGTACAATAGAGTAAATCTAAATGCACAGTAATGGAGGTACCATGGAATAATTCACATGTCAAGGTATGGGAGAAAGAGCCAAGAAGTTTAATGTGGGTGTTATCATTATATACCGAGGTAGCAAAATACATGGCAATATAATTTTGTAAACATTAAGTTTATACAATGGGTGATAATGAGCATTCTGAAGATATTTGATCCAGGACAGAGGTATACTGAGATAGAAGGATGATATGCAAATGTTAGATCAACTTGGTCAAGATGGCATTAACCAGGAAGTGAAGAATCCAAGGCAAAAAATAGTCTAGCGTATAACGTATATGTGATCCTACAACTGCCTTCCTAACTTTTAGCAACTTTCTTACTTCTTATTTCAGTGTTTCATTTGGCCAAGTGGGTAAAACACTTTCCACCTGCCTGCCCCAAATATAGGTAAAATATTGACAAACGCATTCGGGCTCCACTTTAAAAAGTACAAAGTACTAAACGCATGGAGCACTCGGCTGGTGGCGGTAGGAGGAGGAAGCGGACGGGTGAGAGAGAACAGGTAACAGGATGAAGCTTGAGCCAAAATAAGTATCAGCAGAGTGGAGCGAGGGACTCGAACCGCAGAGCGGTAAAAGGGAAACAGCACCCGGTCCCCACCACGGGACTGGGGAAAGGAGAATCACCCGTTGGGGCAGGGCTGACGACCGCTGAAACCGAAAAGAAGGAATCCACGGCGGCCAGGCCCACCGAGGTTGAGAGAGCGGGCTGCGGGGACCGCAGAGCCCGAGGGCGCAGGGCCGGGGGCGGAAGGGGCGGCGGCTGGGCGCCAGGCACCGGGGACCGCGGTCTCGAGCTGAGTGGCCGTCTCTAACCCGTTCCGAGCCCTGGCGGTCGTGGATCCCCGGCCTCTACTCGTCGTCCGTTTCCAAGGCCCATGGGTCCCGCCGCGGTTGGAAGACCCGGCCCGGAGGAGAAATAGGGCCTTAATACCCTCCCCGTCTTCGGTCCCCCTTCCCTAGAGGTCACCCTCCCCTCCCACCTCGCTGGTACGGCACTTCCGGTTCCGCAGGGACCGGTGTCCTCCGCACTCACCCGCGAGCCCGGTGCCCGTCACCACCGCCGTCGTTGTCACCGCCGCCTCCCGGCAGTGCCGTCCTGCCTCAGAGAAGCAGCGCGCGGCCCCCGCACGCTCCACGCCCGCCCCGCTGCCGCGCGCTCCCGCCAGGCGTCGCTCGTCTCGGAGCCGGCGCGCGGCCGTTGCCCTCAGTGCCGGGTCTCGAACCCTTCCAGCGTTCCCATTGGCTCCCTAGTCCGGGCTCGCGCGACGTCTCGCGCGGCGCACGTTTGTCTCATTCATGCGGCTCGCGCTGCCGCGCCCAACCCCGCTCACTCTCCCATTCACCCATAGCCCCCACCCCGACTCCGATCTGGGGCGTGCGCGCGAACCCTGGCGACCGCGGCGACCTCGCGGCCTGATTGGCTGCAGCAACACAACGACGTACGCACGCGAGAAGACGAGAGCGCGCACGTAAGGCCGTGGGGTTGCGGGGACAACTAAGAGACAAGGATTGGCCTAATGCACAGGAGTCAGGAATGAGGAAATGGCCAGGCGAGTCTTCCCTTCTCCTGCGTCCTGTTGTATTCCCACTGAATCCAAGCAAAAACCCCCGGAAATAAGAAAAGAATTATGTGTGTGTACTAGAAGTACTCAAAAGCAAGCAGCTACCTTCTCGAATTCAGCAACCCCTCTCCTACTGAGGTGGTACAGTCCAGACAGGCTTCCAGCGCAGCCAATTACCGACGACTATCGCCGCTTCCTGCTTCAGCCCCTTCGCGGCGGATTGGCCAACCATTTGGCGACTAGGCCTCCCTCTTCTCCTTCCCATCTCCTTTTTTTTTTTTTTTTTTTTTTTTGATGGCAAAAACTTTATTTAAAACAATCTTGCTGGAGAAATCTTCAGTCCGGCGAGGTCGCTGGTCCGGGCAGAATCCAGGGCGATGGAATGGTCTGGGCTGTGTCTCCCACATGAAGGGGACGCCCGGACTTGAAGAGCCAATGTAGGGCGAGGCTCCTGCCAAGGGCCGGGGAGGGAGATGAAGAAGAGCAGGCGCCAGCCTTGGAGCCGTAGCGCTAACCGTGAGAGGGAAGCCTAAGGAGCGCGCGACCTGAGGCGGTGGCAGCACCCTCCCGCCCCCGGAGTGCGAGCCGGGAAGTGAACTCCCTGAATTCCATTAGTTTCCCACTGTCACACGTGGGATGGGCGCCCGCATCCCTCACCTCACCCAATCCTAGAATACAAAGCTAAAAGCAAAAGGTTCTCTAGAATAGCTACTGTCCCTGGCGAGCTAACTCTGCATAGGTCATAGTGCTACGCTTTGCCCTGATTAGCCCAAGACAGCTGTGAACCCAATAGCAATGCCCCATGTTCTCTCCCCATTCGGCTCGAGGCTATTTCTTTTTTCGAAAGCAACTCTAGCTATTACATAATGGTCCCTCAAAAAGGTGTTTCACAAGCCACTTCCCTGAAGCCGAGGCCCCTCACCTGTAAAATCCTGAGGACTGTCCTCGGGTTTGGTCTCAAATGTTGCTGGCTTTACTGTGGTTCTGACACTAGCATTAGGCAGTAAGGTAAAAGAGAACTACCTTCTGTTTTCTGGAATCTAGTTCCTTCTCTGACATGGCATATATTATAAGTTCTAGTTTATTCTTGTTAACAGCGTCAATCCAGCATTTATTGCAACACACTTGAGAGTTCTTTATAACGACTTTATATTTTTAAAACAGACCTGGCCTGGCGTGGTGGTTCACACCTGTAATCCCAGCACTTTGGGAGGCCAAGGCAGGCGGATCACGAGGTCAGGTGCTCAAGACCAGCCTGGCCAACATAGTGAAACTCCCTCTACTAAAAATACAAAAATTAGTCGGGCATGGTCGGGGGAGCCTGTAATCCCAGCTACTCGGGAGGCTGAGGCAGGAGAATTGCTTCAACCCGGGAGGCAGAGGTTGCCGTGAGCCGAGACCACACAACTTCACTCCAGCCTGGGCAACAGAGCAAGACTCCGTCTCAAAACAAAACAAAAACCTCTTTAGACCATATGAAAGGTAAATTATTGAAGATACAATATTGATATTTTATTTTTTACTTTTTGAGAGGGAGTCTCACACTGTCACCCAGGCTGGAGTGCAGTGGCGCGATCTCAGCTCATGGCAACCTCCTCCCGGGTTCAAGCAATTCTCATGCCTCAGCCTCCTGAGTAGCTGGGATCACAGGCATGTGCCACCACACCTGGCTAATATTTGTATTTTTAGTAGAGATGGGGTTTCACCATGATGGCCACATTGGTCTGGAACTCCTGACCTCAAATGATCCTCCCACCTCGGCCTCCCAAAGTGCTGAGATTACCGGTGTGAGCCACAGTGCCCGGCCTGATATTGGCATTTTCTACCTGTAAGCCATGTTTCTTTAAGATGAAGTCAGCTTTCATTTTTCTGTTGCAATATTTTTCTTGGATTTTTAGACTTCCTGATTTCCTCCACAAATTAGGCATTTTTATTTTCCTTTCAGCTGTCTAAGAACTTGTAAATAGTGGTGTCTCTTGGCTAGACAGTGCTAAATGGAAAAAAAAAATCAGTCTTCCACCATCCAACCAAACTAAACTCCCCTGGGATACTAACTTGGATTGCCAAGCTTTGTTAGGTGGATGAGCACTAACAGAGGTATAATCACTATCCCAAAGTTGAAAGACAGAGATTCCACTTGTCCAGTTTTCCTTGGGATCACTCAAGATATTTCTTGGAAAGAACGTTTAATAGAACATATGGTTTAAAGTGCCAGCTACTTCTGAAAAGTATCCAGAGTAAAATCTAGGCTAAAACAGTATGATATCCAGACCACCCAAACTTTAAATTACTTTAATATGTTAATGGCTTCTCTCATCTGCGCATCTTTGTTCATCTTGCTCACCACACTCTTCGGCTGCCTGGACTTAGACCCTCAGTAGCATGGGCACCTAAGCACACAGAAAGCTAGAACATGCATTTCCCAATTTTTGTGTTTTTAGGGTTTCACCATGTTGGCCAGGGTAGTCTCCAACTGCTGAGCTCAAGTGATCTGCCTGCCTCGACCTCCCAAAGTGCTGGGATTACAGGTCTGAGCCACTGCTCCTGGTCAACCTCTTTGTGTTTAAATACTGCTCTTTCCTCCTGTCCTTGTGAAATGTCTCTGTATGTGTTAAAGGGTAGTTCTTCCCTTTGTGCTGTGGATCCTATCTCCTTCGCTCCTGCATTTTTTCTGGTGCTGGGGGATGGAGTCTTGCTCTGTTACCCAGGCTGGAGTGCAGTGACGCGATCTCAGCTCACTGCAACCTCCGCCACCCATGGACAATTAATAGCTCATATTTAACACTGCCAAAAACCTCGAGTTTCCCTTGTCCCTCAGGGGGACAACTCCCTGAGTTTTCCCAATCTCATGTCTAACCTAGTGTGTCTTGTTAAAAAAAATCCAGGATGCATCCTTGATTCCATCGTTTTCCTCACCACTCCGTTATGAAGTCCTGCCTTCAGAATATCCTCTCACCAGCTCTACCTCTGCTGCCCTAGTATTTCATCCCCCACCATTTCTCACATTTGCACTTTTACAAAACTCTCCTAATTACTGTCCTTGCTTTTACACTTGCCCTATAACCCACTCTCCACAAAGCAGTGATCTTTTCAAAATGTAAAGTAATCAGCCAGGCTAATCCCAGCACTTTGGGAGTCCGAGGCGGATGGATCACTTGAGGTCAGGAGTTCGAGACCAGCCTGGCCAACATGGCAAAACCCCATCTCTACTAAAAATACAAAAATTCGCCAGGCATGGTGGTGCATGCTACTCAGCTACTCAGGAGGCTGAGGCAGGAGAATAACTTGAACCCAGGAGGCAGAGGTTGCAGTGCACCGAGGTCATGCCACAGCACTCTAGCCTGGGCAACATAGCAAAACTCAGAAGGAGGGAAGGAAAGGGGGAGGGAAGGGGAGGAGAGAGGAGAGGAGGTGAGGGAAGGAAAGGAAAGGAAGGAATAGGAAGGAAGGGGAAGGAATGAAAAAGAGAAGAAAAAAGAGAGAAGAAAAAGAGAGCAGGAAGGAGGGAGAGAGGAAAGAGGAAAGGAAAGGAAAGGAAAAGAAAGGAAAGGAAGAAAGAAAGAGGGAAGGGAGGGAGGAGATCAGCCGGGCGTGCTGGCTTACGCCTGTAATCCCACACTTTGGGAGGCCTAGGCGGGCGGATCACCTGAAGTCGGGAGTCGGAGACAAACCTGACCAACACGGAGAAACCCCATCTATACTAAAAACACAAAATTAGCCGGGCATGGTGGCGCATGCCTGTAATCCCAGCTACTCGGGAGGCTGAGGCAGGAGACTCGCTTGAACCTGGGAGGTGGAGGTTGCACTGAGCCAGATTGCGCCATTGCACTCCAGCCTGGGCAACAAGAATGAAACTCTGTCCCCCCCCAAAAAAAAAAAGATCAAATAATTACTCTACTTAACTACCCCTCCCCTCTGGTTCCCATTGCTCTTAAGAGTAAAATCCATTCTTAAACCAGGTGCTGTGGCATGAGCCTGTAGTCCCAGCTACTCAGGAGACTAAGGTGGGCGGATCACTTAAGCCCAGAAGTTCAAAGCCAGCTTGGGCAACATAGTGAGACACGCCCCATCTCTTTTTTTTTTTTTTTTTTTTTGAGTCAGAGTTTCGCTCTTATTGCCTAGGCTGGAGTGCAGTGGCGTGATCTTGGCTCACGGCAACCTCCACCTCCCGGGTTCAAGCAATTCTCTTGCCTCAACCTCCCAAGTAACTGGGATTACAAGCATGTGCCACCACGCTCAACTAAATTTTTTTTGCATTTTTAGTAGAGATGGGGTTTCACCATGTTGGTCAGGCTGGTCTCGAACTCCTGACCCCAAGTGATCCAGCCACCTCAGCCTCCCAAAGTGCTGGGATTACAGGCATGAGCCACCACGCCCGGCTGAGATCCCTATCTCTTAAAAAGAAATAAAAAATCCTTTTCTTTTTTTGAGACAGAGTGTCCTTCTGTCACCTAGACTGGAATGCAGTGATGCAATCTCGGCTTTCTGCACCTCCACCTCTTGGGTTCAAGGGATTCTCAGACTCCTGAGTGGCTGGGGTTAAAGGCATGGCCACCACCCATGGCACCTGGGCCAAAAAATCCATTCTTCACCGTGGTTTACAAAAGCCCTACATTATCTGGTCTTTGCTGCCCCCTCCAGCCTCATCTTGTACAGTCTTTCTTGGTTCACTAAGCTTCAACCACACTGGCTTTTCTCTTCACCAAACTCATCAAGCTTGTTCCTTTATTAGGGTTTTGCAGTTTTTTCTCACCAGGAAGGTTTTGCCCCAGACTTCACACAGCCATTCAAGTCTTAGCCCAAAATGTATGCTCAGGAAGGGCCTTTCCTGACCACCCAATCTAAAGTAGCCTCCAGTCACTCTGTCTCATATCCCCCAAATTTAAGTCTCTGCATAGCACTTGCCTTTTTAAATTTGTTTATTCTATAATGTAAGCTCCATAAAACTTTTGTCTGTCTTGTTCCCCATCTACAGTGGCTCCTGACAAACAGTCAGTCCTCAGTAAACATTTATGAAAAGAAGGAATGGATGAATGGCATCAGATACTTAAGTAATCCAAGTGCAAACCAGGGACACCAAACAGTCATTTGCAAGAGATCAAAAAGAATGGGCTTTCCCAGTTTCTTACCACCTGAAAGCTTAAGTTACACTTTGACTTAGGGCCTAGTTCCAATCAAATAGACAAGGATAGCTGTACTGGAAGGAAAATGAGCTATCTCTGGAAAATGATTAGATATGAAATCTCATTCCAAGATTATCACCAGCCTCTAACTCCCCACAGTAAATCCAGCACTGACAGCAGATTTACCATCTACTTACCTAAGCGCAGAGGAAAGGTGAACTATCATAAGAACTCACAGCCGGGCACAGTGTCTCACACCTGTAATCCCAGCATTTTGGGAGGCCGAGGCAGGCAGATCATGAGGTCAGGAGTTTGAGACCAGCCTGGCCAACATAGTGAAACCCTGTCCCTACTAAAAGAAATACAAAAAATTAGCTGGGCGTGGTGGCGGGCACCTGTAACCCCAGCTATTTGGGAGGCTGAGGCAGGAGAATCACTTGAACCTGGGAGGCAGAGGTTGCAGTGAGCCAAGATCACGCCACTGCACTCCAGCCCAGGTGACAGTGTGAGACTCTTACAAAAACAACCACCACCACCACCAAAAAAAAAAACCTGACGTGGCTCACAGGTAGGTTTCTTGGTTTTCCCCTCCTCCAAGCATTTTAGCAATAAATCATTCCAATTATGTTTCTATAACGCTTAGGGGAAAAAAATAAATTATACCAACTTCTATGATATGGCAAAAATATTTATTAAAATGATTTTTTTTAAGTTTGAACTTTATTGGAAGGAGTCCCTCTAATTCACACTTTCATCCTAGATAAATGGGTAAGAACCACATATGGAATATAAAGCATTGATTTTTTAAAAACCACATAGTAGCACAGTGAAAGAAATGCAATTCTCCAGGGTCTTAGAGAATTCAAAGTGGCATCTTAGGTGGTCTAAGAAACCAATTACAGTCTCATGGTTTTCCTTTTGGTTCAAGATTAGAAGAGTCAGGTTACCACTACCTGTTTTTAGAGGTAGAATATGAACTTTCTACTAGTCCACAGTTTACTGGTCAGGTGGCCCCAACAGTCTTTTATCTCAGCCCATCTGCCTCTAGGGGTGGCCAGATGATCTCTATGTCCCAGGCAGCAAGGCTTCCTGCTGATCTCTACTTCAGATCCATGAACCGGATATCCATGATGAGAAGGAAGTTCTTAGGCAGTGGGCGAGGGGCTGGAGACAGAACAGTAAACACCTGATGCTCCAGGTCCACACTGGTCACCACAATGAAGCCAGCTACACTTGTCTCGGACAGGTTCTCCTCTGTACCCTCGGCAGTGCTAACACTCAGTAGGTGGTGCACCATATCTCGCCCAGGAGTGACAGGTACTAGCTTGAGCTGATTATCCTCTTGAGACATGCCCAAAGGTAAACAGGAGTCTGGGATGGTGGGTGCCCCAACTTTGTAGATTTTCACATCTGAAAATTTGACATTGAAGGCATGGGGATAGAAACAGCCTCGGAATCCATAAAAATACTCACGGATACGCTCATCCCTACATTCCCGCCGGAAGTCCTTGGAGCGCTCCACCACACCCCCAGATTTAGGGAGCAGCACAGTGCGTACAAAGTGGGGGAGGTCCCGTTTCAGTTCATTGTACAGTCGTTCTTGATCCAGAACAACAACGACATCCACCTCAAAAGCTGAGGCTGCATGCACCAGAGCCTGGTAACCAGAGCCCTTGACCCAGCCACAGGTGTTAATGACACAGCCACTCACAGATGCCCTTCGGTTCACCTCACACCTTTGGTTGAACACATCTGCTAAACGAGATGTAATCTGCAAAAGAGAGGATCAAGGTAAGAACAAAAACACCCAGACAAACCCATGGCTACTTTGTTCCTCTTTAGAATAAGTGCTATTAGATATAAGAAAAATGATTTTTTTTTTGAAATGGAGTCTCACTCTGTTGCCCAGGATGGAGTGCAGTGGCACGATCTCAGCTCACTGCAACCTCCACCTCCCGCGTTCAAGTGATTCTCCTGCCTCAGTCTCTGAACAGCTGGGATTACAGGCACCAGCCACCACGCCCAGCTACTTTTTGTATTTTTAGTAGAGACAAGGTTTCACCATGTTGGCCAGGCTGCTCTCCAACTCCTGACCTCAGGTGATCCACCCGTCTCAGCCTCCCAAGTTGTGGGATTACAGGCATGAGCCACTGTACCCAGCCTGAAAAAATGACATTTTTAATGGCTGTAGTTTTGATACCATAACATGGATTTAATTTTTATGTTGCTGCTTCTGCCTCCTGTTTTATGCCCTAAGTGAAAATCTAACAAATTACTAAGAATAGATCCACAGAAATGTTTAACAATCTGAGACTGACATATTTGGAATTGCCTTTCTAAAGTAATGCAGCAGAAATACCAGCTGAGAAAATGCAGTGTTAACTAGTAAACTTCTCCAGTTTCCTACCCTGATAGCAGCCCTTCCCTCCACCCCACCTTTCTCTGGCTCTGACCTTATTATAAAGCTTGATGTTAGTGCCAGGAGTGGTGGAACCAAAATGATACACCAGAGGGGCCTGGATAGAGAAACCCTCTTCGACATCTGCAGGCCGCTCGATGTAGAGGGCCCCCATGGTACCAGGGATGGACACAGAACCCTGGCCCACATCCAGCTCCACATAAGTGGGACGGCGGCCCAAACGCACTGCGTAGTTGAGCAGAAGGCGACACACTGTAGACTTGCCCACATCAGTGGGGCCCACTACCATCACTCGGGGACCTCGCTCTTCTTCCTTTTCCGCTTGCCTCCGCATCTGTTCCAAGGCTGTGTGAGTGTTGAGGTAAAGCAACATAGGAGTGTCCTTGGAGACATAAGCCACCTCAGTGCGGCCGCTCAGTTGCACAGAACAGCCATGCCAAGTGAAAACAGCCACCTTGGCACCAGCATCAAAGGTGAATTTCTTGTTTCGGGTCAGCTCTGTGCCAAAGATCTCTGCCATGCCAGTCAACAACTCCAACTGAACTGACTGAGATGCCTCCACCTCAAAGCGAAGTTCTGTTTCTCGCTCTAGTTCAAATTTAGTGGTTGGCTTCTTGTCATCATTAGCCTCTTCTCCCATCTCTTCTGTGTAGCTGCTGTGCCTAGAACACAAATTAAATATCAGATCTAATTATAAGTCAGTCTTCTGTTACAAAAACATCCAATGGGGCCAGGCATGGTGGCTCACGCCTGTAATCCCAGCACTTTGGGAAGCCGAGGTGGCTGGATCACTTGAGGTCAGGAGTTCAAGACTAGCCTGGCCAACATGGTGAAACCCTGTCTCTACTAAACATACAAAAAAAAAATTAGCCGGGCATGGTGGAGGGTGCCTGTAATCCCAGCTCTTTGGGAGGCCAAGGCAGGAGAATCGCTTGAACCCAGGTGGCAGAGGCTGCAGTGACCCGAGATTGTGCCACTGCATGCTAGCCTGGGCAACAGAGCAAGACTCCATCTCAAAAAAAAAAAAAAAAATCATCCAATGGGCCAGGCACAGTGGCTTAGGCCTGTAATTTCAGCACTTTGGGGCGCTGAGTTGGGCAGATCCCCTGAGCTCAGAAGTACAAGACCAGCCTGGGCAACATGGTGAAACCCCGTCTGTAGAAAAAATGCAAATATTGGCCAGGCCTGGTGGCTCACGCCTGTAATCCCAGCACTTTGGGAGGCCAAGGTGGGTGGATCACCTGAGGTCAGGAGTTCAAGACCAGCTTGGCCAACATGGTGAAATCTCAGTATTTACTAAAAAATACAAAAATTAGCCAGGCATAATGGTGGGCGCCTGTAGTCCCAGCTACTCAGGAGACTGAGTCAGGAGAATCGCTTGAACCCAGGAGGTGGAGGTTGCAGGGTTGCAGTGAGGCGAGATCATGCCACTGTACTCCCGCCTGGGTGACAGACCAAGGCTCTGTCTCAAAAAAAAATAAAATAAAATAAACAAATAAATAAATAAATAATAAAAACATACAATGAATGTTTCCCCTTACCTTGCTTTAATTCTCTCCATATTTCTTATCACCATCGGTCTCACTATATATTGTGTCTTCCCCGCCTCCTCCACCCCAAAATGTAAGACTTAGGCATTTTTGTTTGATACTATATACTGCTTAGAATACAGCTTGACAGACTGTAGGCACCTCAATACATTGAGTGAATTAATGTCTCAGACATCAGAGAAAAACCATACCTACAGACTGACAGAAGATTTAATTATATCACCCTCCATCACTCTATTGGTAAACTCCAAACTTGAGAAGGTAACAGATGCCCTGACCCCAATCATCCTAGTCAACAGGAAAGGGCGTCTGAAATACGGATGCAAAGCAGAGCACACCGGGTCTGAACTCAGAAAACAGCCTAATCCTCGTCTCTGTAACTACTAGTAGTGTCTTTAGACAATCACTTAACTTCTCTGAACCTTTGAAGCTGTCGACTGGAAGCACTTACACTTCCTCAAATACAGTGTTGTTCTTGGGGTTTACAGGAATTGTGGGAGGAAAAAAAAGCACTTCGTAAACTAGAAAACGGCAAGGAAACGATATGAATTATTTCTGATCCTGGACTGCAGCTCTAGCTCCAGCATTTGTCCCAACCTTCCCAGACACCAAAATCTCCCCAAGACACCAAAATCTCCCCAGACACCAAAATGTCCCCAGACCCCAAGGAGGTGACAGTTGTGTTCCTGCCCTTTTTTTAACTCACCTGCGCAGCCAGGAGCCCAACAGGTAAACTCAGAAGGTCCTCCCGTGCAGAATTTAAACCAAACTACAAGCGGTTCTTGCCCGGACCCACGCCGGAAACAAACGCAGTTCCGCACTTGCGCTGTGAAAGGACACGCGGTCGCGCGCTGCCCTTTGGGATGTGTAGTTTGCCGGAGCAGCCGAGAGCGGGTGCACTCGCTAAGCCGCTCGGCCTTCTGGGAGTTGTAGTCAAAGGATTGTTTTGAACGTGACGCCAAAGGTGGGAGGGGCGGCTGTTGTCATTATTCGTGCAGCCGGAGGGAGGGGTGAGGAGGCGTGGCGGTTGCGCCCCCGCGCTGGGCAGGGACAGGTCGAGGGACCAGGCTTCGGCAGTGCGCGTCCGCGGCGGGAATCTCGCCCCAGATTTCCTGCTCCCCTGCAGCCCAGGAAACAGAAGGGAGGCCCGGGAGAAAGAGAGACTCACTGTCTCGGTCTAGGTCCCGCGACGGCCTGCTTGCCTGGACAAGCCACGAAGCACAAAATCCTTTTTAGGCAGGGGGAAACCCAGGGATAGAGAAAGCGGAGGAAGACAGCCTGACAGAGGTTTCACCAAGCTGTCATCTCCCACCTGACACAGTGCTTGGCACATGGAAGGCATTTCAAATTTTTTTTCTTTAATAAAAGAATAAAAATCCGATGATTTCTTCCAGCTACAAGTCAGTCATTACCCAACAACCTCTCTCCCACTAAACGAGGATTTTTGTTAGGCACTCATTTCCCTCCATAAATCCCTGACAGTTACAGGTCAGTCATTTGCCCCGCAGCCAACAGGTTCCACCACGTCTATAATCCTCTTTTTACTACCTTGGGCTTTGGAATCTTATATTATTTGCTATACTGCTTACATTACTGTGTGACTTTGAGCAAATCACAGGCTTCATCTCTCTGAGATCGTTTTTTTTTTTCTTTTTGTTTTTGAGACAGGGTCTCACTCTCTCGCCCAGGTTGGAGTACAGTGCCGCGAACATGGCTCACTGCAGCCTCGACCTCCTGGGCTCAAGCGTGATATCGTTTTTTGTCTGCAAAGTTGGGATAATAACAGTGCCCAACCTCCTAAAGTTGTTTTGACGATTGCAGGAATGTGCCTGTAAAGTACTAAGTACAATGCCTGTAATATAGAAAAAAATCTGATATCAGCTTTTACGTTTTTATTATAGGCTGGGGCGGAAGGGGCTATAATATCATTCATTCGTGCAATACTTAACATTTTTCAGATCCCTTTCAGGCATCTTCTTTCACAGCCACCCTGTAAAGACAGCTTTATTATATCCAATTTCAGATGGGGGAGGAGACTCAGATAGGTGCAGAGGTTTGCCCAAACATTAACAGCCATTGGTAGAGCTAGGACTCAAACCCAGAGTTTCTGAGTCCGGTTATAATAATAGTAAACATTTAGGCCAGGCGCGGTGGCTCACGCCTGCAGTCTCAGCACTTTGGGAGGCCGAGACGGGCGGATCACCTGAGGTCAGGAGTTCGAGACCAGCCTGACCAACATGGTGAAACCCCATCTATACTAAAAATACAAAAATTAGCTAGGCGTGGTGGCGGGCGCCTGTAATCCCGGCTACTTGGGAGGCTGAGGCAGGAGAATCGCTTGAACCGGGGAGGCGGAGGTTGCAGTGAACTGAGATCACGCCACTGCACACCAGCCTAGGCAACAGAGTGAGACTCTGTCTCACAAAAAAAATCACATTTAAGGCAGGGCGTGGTGGCTCACGCCTGTAATCCCAGCACTTTGGGAGGCCGAGGTGGGTGGATCACGAGGTCAGGAGATCGAGACCATCCTGGCTAACATAGTGAAACCCCGTCTCGACTAAAAATACAAAAAAATTAGCTGGGCGTGGTGGCAGGCGCCTGTAGTCCCAGCTACTAGGGAGGCTGAGGCAGGAGAATGGCCTGACCCCGGGAGGCGGAGCTTGCAGTGAGCTGAGATCCTGCCACTGCACTCCAGCCTGGGCGACAGCGCGAGACTCTGTCTCAAAAAAACAAAAACAAAAAACAAAAAACCACATTTATATACTGTTATATGCCAGATACTGGTCTATGGACTTTTCAGGTGTAAATTCATTTAATCGTAGCCAGAATCCTATGCAGTAGGTACTATAATTGTCATCTCCACTTTACAGGTGAGTACTTTTTTCAGTCCGGCTCACGTAGTTAATTCATATTGAGGAGACTGGGAAGATTTTCTGGTTCGCCAGAAAGATTTTCTCCTGCTGGCCCTACTTAGCAGCACTCCCCAAGCAGTGCCATCCTCACTTATCACTTCTGAGTTTTTCTTTGATGGTTTGCTTTAATTATTTCATTCATTGAACATATATGCATTAGCTTTTTTTTTTTTTTTTTTTTTTTTGAGATGAGGTTTTGCTCTGTTGCCCAGGCTGGAGTGAAGTGGTGCAATTTCAGCTCACTGCAACCTCTGCCTCCTGGGTTCAAGTGATTCTCCTGCCTCAGCCTCCCAAGTAGCTTGGATTACAGGCGTGTGTCACCACGCCCAGGTAATTTTTGTATTTTTAGTAGAGATGGGGTTTTCACCATGTTGGTCAGGCTGACCTCAAACTTCTGACCTCAAGTGATCTGCCCATCTCCGCCTCCCAAAGTGCTGAGAACACAGGCGTGAGCCACCACGCCCGGCCTATGCATTAGTTTTTCAATTAACTATTGTGTGTCCCCTAATCTTCCACTCTTCTTTAAAAATTCAGTTCCAGTCTTCCATTTGCAAATTTTCTCCCTGAGTGGGCTTATCCTCGCCTTTTTCCATGCAATCTATCTCCGAGATCTGTATCTTCGCCTCTACTATCTCCCTTGAGGCAGTTTCTCCCAGTTACCTGAAAGTTGTTTTTATTTGGATATTGTATAACCATCTCAAGCTGAACTTAGGGAAAAGAACCCCTCCTTTCCTTTAGGCTGCTCTCCATTTTGCCTCTAAAATACAGAAAGAGTCAGGACACAACATTTAAAGCATCTGTGCTTGACTACACTCTCTTCTCTCACTTTTTTTTTTTTTTTTTTTTTTTTTAGATGGAGTCTTACTCTGTCTCCCAGACTGGATTGCAGTGGTGCGATCTCAGCTCACTGCAACCTCCATCTCCCGGGTTCAAGCGGTTCTCCTGCCTCAGCCTCCCGAGTAGCTGGGATTACAGGTTTCCACTGCCACACCCAGCTAATTTTTCTATTTTTAGCAGAGACAGGGTTTCACCATGTTGGTCAGGCTGGTCTCGAACTCCTAACCTCAGGTGATCCACCTGCCTCGGTCTCCCAAAATGTCGGGATTACAGGCGTGAGCCACGGCGCCCAGCTCTTTTCTCAGTTTTAATCTTTCACCAAGCACTCCTGCCATCTCCACCCCACCTCCAAACAATACCGTCATCATATGTTCTTTTTCTCCTCTCCAGCTAGATCCTTGATCATTTTCTTTTTGCTTCCAAACTTTCTTTCTTTCTTTCTTTCTCTCTCTCTCTTTCTTTCTTTTTCTTGAGACATAGTTTCGTTCTTGTTGCCCAGGCTGGAGTGAAGTGGCGCAATCTCGGCTCACTGCAGCCTGCGCCTTCCGGGTTCAAGCAATTCTCCCGCCTCAGCCTCCCAAGTAGCTGAGATTACAGGCGCCCGCTGCCATGCCCAGCTAATTTTTGTATGTTTAGTAGAGAAGGAGTTTTGTCATGTTAGCCAGGATGGTCTTGAACCCCTGACCTCAGGGTCATCTGCCCGCCTCAGCCTCCCAAAGTGCTGGGATTACAGGTGTCCGGCCTGCTTCCAAACTTTGAATCCGAGCTGGGCCCAGTGACTCACGCCTGTAATCCCAGCACCTTGGGAGGCCAGGGTGGGTGGATCACTTGAGATCAGGAGTTCGAGACCGGCATGACCAACATGGTGAAATCCCGTCTCTACGAAAAATACAAAAATTAGCCAGGCATGGTGGCACATGCCTGTAATCCCAGCTACTCAGGAAGCTGAGGTGGGAGAATCACTTGAACCCGGGAGCCGGAGGTTGCAGTGATTCTCGATCATGGCATTGCACTCCAGCCTGGGAAACAGAGCGAGATTCCATTTCAAAGAACAAACAAACAAACAAACAAAACAAAAGAACTTTCGATCCATGCCTTGAAAACTAATCATTTGCCTTTTCCCACTTCTCATTGTTCTCCTCAACAATTGCTTTTCAAAATCTTTTTTTTTCTTTTTTTTTTAAATTTTATTATTATTATACTTTAAGTTTTAGGGTACATGTGGTGCACAACGTGCAGGTTTGTTACATATGTATACATGTGCCATATTGGTGTACTGCACCCATTAACTCGTCATTTAGCATTAGGTATATCTCCTAATGCTATCCCTCTCCCCTCCCCCCACCCCTCAACAGGCCCCAGTGCGTGATGTTCCCCTTCCTGTGTCCATGTGTTCTACTTTTATCTCCCCTCTCTTCTGCTGCCCAAACAAAAGCACTTCTCTCTTCTTTCTTTACCTAGCTTTTTCTCTCAATTCCAAATCTCTAGTACTATCCCTCAAGACACCCACATTGTCTTTTCAGAATTTACTTTAAACCCCAGAATCTTCCCTGATTAAATATTTAGAATCCCTTTTTATTTTCATGCTCAACTAGCAATGTCTCCCATTACCCACATTTCTCTGCCTTAACTTTTTTTTCCCTCTTTACGTGTGAGAAGAAAAACAAACCACCCCCAAGCACTGCTTTCTAGAAGTCCCTATCTTTGTCGTACTTCATTTGCTAAATGCTAGACTCTGTTAGAAATCAGGGTTTTTGTCTTAGGGGATATGTTCTGTGTTCACATACTTTAGTAACATGCACAGGACAGCACCCCATGAGAAATGAATTCTGAGTCAAATGAAATTTAACTGGAAGCTGCTAGAAAAATAGCAACAAAAGATGTAATGTCTTCATAAGACAAAAATTTGGCATGTGTCTCTTGAGATATCAGAATTTAATAATAAATCCTCCCTGGGTTTTGGGGGTCATACATTGAGAATGCTGTTTTGGTTTCACTTTTGTTTTTTTGGTTTTGTTTTTTTTTTTGAGACGGAGTCTCTCTTTGTTGCCCAGGCTAGAGTGCAGTGGTCCCATCTTGGCTCACTGCAACCTCCGCCTCCTGGGTTCAAGCGATTCTTCTGCCTCAGCCTCCCAAGTAGCTGTGATTACAGGCATACGCCATCACACCTGGCTAATTTTTTGTATTTTTAGTAGAGAGGGGGGTTTCACCACGTTGTCCAGGCTGGTCTCGAACTCCCAACCTCAGGTGATTCGCCTACCTCGGCCTCCCAAAGTGCTGGGATTACAAGGTGTGAGCCACCTCACCCAGCCAAGAATGCTTTTTTTTTTTTTGAAACAGAGTCTCGCTCTGTCACCAGGCTGGCGCGATCGGCTCACTGCAACCTCTGTGAGTACAGTGGCGCCATCTCAGCTTACCGCAACCTCTGACTTCCTGTTCAAGCGATTCTCCTGCCTCAGGCTCTCGAGTAGCTGGGATTACAGGCACGTGCCACCATGTCCAGCTAATTTTTGTTATTTATTAGGGATGGGGATTTCACCATGTTGGCCAGGATGGTCTCGATCTCCTGACCTTGTGATCTGCCTGCCTCGGCCTCCCAAAGTGCTGGGATTACAGGCGTGAACCACCGCACCTGGCGAGAATGTTGTTTTGAAATGACACTACTGTTTACTGCCTATCATGTGCCAGGCATTTTTCAGGCATTTAAATGTTATCTCACTTTATTCTGCATCTCCATGAGCTAATAATAATAAATATTATTAGCTTCATTTAGCAGAAGAGTAAGACTAAGGCACAAAGATTATCAGTAATTTGCCTAGTGGTTCCTGCCAAGTAATTGGCAGAGCTAAGAGTCTAATTCAGTCTCTTTGAGACCAAAGCCAGACACTTGGTTCATGTCTGAAGATGCAACTCAACTGCTCTATTAATCAGAGTTCTCTAGCGGGATAGAACTAATAGGATAGATGTATATATAAATCAGAGTTATTACGGAATATTGACTCAGATGATCACCAGATGAGGTCCCACAGTAGGCTGCCTGCAAGCTGAGGGGCAAGGAAGCCAGTCCGAATCCCAAAGTTGAAGACCTTGGAGTTCAATATTCGAGGGCAGGAAGCGTCCAGCATGGGAGAAAGACGTAGGCTCAGAGGCTAAACCAGTCTGGTCTTTCCACGTTCTTCTGTCTGCTTTTATTCTGGCCTAGCTGACAGTTGATTACATTGTGCCCATCCAGATTGAGGTGGGTCTGCCTTTCCTAGTCCATTGACTCAAATGTTAATCGCCTTTGGCAATACCCTCACAGACACACCCAGGAACAATACTTTGCATCTTTCAATCCAATCTAGTTGACAATATTAACCATCACCAGTCCACCCCTTGTCAACTTGAACCCATACACGTCTCCTGAAATCATACATGATCTTCAAATAAAGACAATAATAAGGTCATAATTACGCTTAACATAATACAGCTATCCTTTGTACAACCGGAAACGCACCAATCCCCAACCCAAATGCTATTACATAGAGTTAACAACACTTAAGTGCTGATATCAAGTCAGTAAGTCTTATGTCACATGATAAAGGCAAAAGAAAGGAAATAAAATGAAGATATTTTCTTAATACAAGTGTATATATGCACAAACATGTTCCTAACAAAAGGAGGAGGAAATACTCATGACAATTACAGTCCTCATTTTCTGCAGCTGGTCACATGGTCATAGTTCGTATTGATGACTACCTTCTTTGACTACCCATTCTGAATTCCGTTTGCCTTCAGCAAGCACCTCAGCAGATTATGTTTTTTTTACCTGGTGGAGTGACCCAAACCTTCATTCCTGAAGGGTCTGGGCCATTTGTCATCCTGCCTGGATTGGGCTGTTGCAGTTTCCCATTGACCTTAATCACAGGGCATGGTAATATTAAGAGACGCCCTACGTGATCTCCTGTATTCCACGCATACTTCCTTACCGCCATTGTGGAGTAGTAGACTGATTTCATCTTGATAGTCTGGGTCAAACACTGTAACTCCCTTCTTAGCAAGTTGGCTTAAAAGTAAGAAGAGCCCAAAGTGGCCAGGTGGCAATCTTAACTTCCAGTTTAATGGAATCATTGTTGTGTCTCTTGGTGGCAGCATTCCTCCCTCTGGAACTAAGACCTCTAGGCCAGCAGAACATAATGCCGCGGAAACAACTGCTATTTTGGAAACATCTAAATGCACGGGTCTGCACTGGACATTGCAGTCCTGGGATGTAGAGAGTAATTTCCCAGAAGGCCTGTCTCAGGAAGTTTACAGCCCAATAGAGAACTTCATATAACGTAGGTGTCTCCATTCATGAAGCACGCATAATATGGAGGTAGCTGTTAAGGGGTTCCTGCATGCAAAATGTCACATTGGGTCTATTACTCCTTCAGGAGTATTAAACCAAGGCTTTGAGGCTTGGTACAAGTTTGGGGGCACAGTTTGCCATCCATGACAATTAGTACATCTGTCTTTTCCCTGCTTCAGGGCTGGTGTCCAAGCTGAAATGGGAAAGTGTATCATCTTAAATGTGTGTGTGCTCCCTCACTCTGCATCCATCTCTTCCTTCACCAGCCTTGCCACCTCCTTTCCTCCAGCCCTGCCACCCTCACTGCATCCTTGCCCAGCCCTGTCCTTCCCCCAGGTTCTTCGTATCTCCTTGGCCCCACTGCCTTCCTCCTTAACAACCTGCCTCTCCCCTTGCCCACCATCGCCGCCTTGTCCCTCGGCCCCCACTCCTCTAGCCCCGTCCCTTGATGCCTACCCCCTCCCTTCCTTCCGACCCGCCTCCTGTGTCTCCCAGCCCTGCTCTGACGTGGGAGGTGAGGGGGGGTGGGGGGGATGGATGACTCACAGTGTTATGATGCAGTTCCACAACACACAGCCACATTCACCCACAGACCGAGGTACAGAACGAGAGACAACCTCTGCCCCCCCAGCAGCTGGCCAGCTTTGCAGCCCCAGTCTTGAGCCCCCAACTACCCTCCCCCCACCCACCCCCATCCCCTTCCCAATTGAAGGAGCGGAAAGAGAAGAGAGAAGAGTGAGCAGAGAGATTGAGAGATTGAGAGAGAGAGAGAGAGATAGACGGAGATCTCTGGAGCAGACCTCAAGGTGAGGGGGCAGCCCTTCTCCAAATGAATTTTTTTCTCTTTGCAAATTTCCTCCTCCTGCTGCGTGTTGCTTTCTCCCCTTTGCAAAAGCATTATTCATCCACCCTTTGTCCTCCCTTCCCCCTCCCCGCTGCCTCCGCTCCTCTCTCTCGGTTCCTCCATCCCTCTCCAAGCTCTGACGATTCCCGCACTTATTTCCCGGCAACTTTGGCTGCAGCATCAGGCATCACTGTTTATTGTTTTGCTGCTGGTGCAGACCCCCAAAGCCTGCCCTGGGAGCTGGCGGTGCTGCTAATTATTTGGACCATACCATACTGAGAATACCAGCCTGGGGGGTGCCAAAACCTCAGAGCAGATGAGAAAATCCATTGTGAGCAGGTGTCCCCCCCCTTTTCTTTTCCCCCCTGAGAAGCACGAGATTCGCACCTGGTTCCTCCAGCCTCCGCCTCGGCGCCTCTGCTGTCAGCTGTCAGTTGCCCCCGCCAGCCCTCCCTCTCCCCTTTCTCCTACGGTCCAGCCCCGTCTCACTTCAGGGGAACATCTCTCCCCAGCACTCGGCTTGCCTTTGTTTTTTCTCCAGTCATTTGCCCAACTTGCTTCTCCCTGTGATCCGAGATGGGTGAAAAAATGACCCCTACTCCCCTTTGTGATTCTCTGGCCTTCTGTGCAGCCTTTCCTTGGCTTGACTGGGAATTAGGGGAGAGGGAGGGAGGCGTGACGGCCGGAGGCTGGAGAAGGAGCTCAGGATTGGGGACCCAAGCTGCCCCATTCTCCATGCCCCTTGAAGAAGGTGTTTCAAGGTGGTGCATGTCAGAGGGGAACTCGCTGGCAAAGTTGAAGGCAAACCTGTGAAGCAGAGACTGAAAGGTGGTCTCTTGGCAAGGAGGGCCCGTTTCCTGCAGCCGGAGCCCAATGTCACCCTGAACTCAGCCCAAGGTGTCTTCCTGGGACCCAGCCCGGAGGAGAGGACCTGAAACTGAAGATAGTCTCTATGGAGGTTTTGCGGAGAGACTGCCTGGCGGCCTTCAGAGAGAGTGGAACAGCTGGGTGCCTGTGGCCACTGCGGAGGACAGGACGAGGAGAGCCTGTATGCCCTGGCTAACCAGAGCCAACACTGCCTCTTCTCTGCTTAGTGCTCTAGCATTGCCAGAGTGCCCAGCTGGCATCTCTGAACCAGACTTAGGCTAACCACCCACAGTGGGCTGGGAAGCCCTATGAAGGAGAAAGCAGCAGCTCACCTGCTTATCGGAGCCAACAGGGGCCACCTCCCTTCTTATCCTCTGCCTCCAGCACCTTCAGCCACTCGGAGGCTGGCGCGTGGGCAGAAGGCAATCTTCCTCTATTCCTAATCAGAACCCAGCAATTACTTCATCTTCAGTCACCCACAGAGTCACTGCTGTTTGTCCCTGCCCCTGGGAGAAGGTAGAAAGAAACATTTTCTGCCTTGTGCCCCAAAGCACAGCTGTTAAAAATAAGAGTCCCCCTTCTGCTGTTCGTTGTGGCCGTTGCTCTCACCCTACCACACAGCCCTGCCCAGCCCAGGAATCAGGCTCCTCTGACATGCTACCCATTTCCCATTGGCTCCAGCTGTCAGATTGCCTGAAGAAAATGTATTTTCTGCCTAAGTCTTTAACCAAGGGCTAAGGCAACAGTTAGTAAAGACTAGGAGAGAGAAAGACCAAGGGGCCCACAGGCTGGGAAGACAGGCAGGTGCTTATTCTGGGCCAGAATGAGTGAACCAAGGTGCGAGAATGGGCGGCCACACGTGAGGGCTTTGGTACTGTTGGAAACATCTATAAAGTTCTAGTGAAGAGTCCCAGAGCACAGGACCCTGACCTCAGGAGAGAACCGAATCAGGGTTTGTATACCTGCCTGCATGCTCTCCCTCCCCTCACCTTACACCTCCTGCCCCCCTCCCCAAAATGTATAAAGGACCAATTGTATTGCAAACAAAGACCATGTAAAAGAAAGACCTTCAGGCATCCCCAACTCTTAAAAGGCTCTGATCCCCTGAGACACAGTGCCTGTGCGATGCAGAGCCTCACGAAGAACTGAAAACCAAGGAGAGGGCACTTGCAGATGACGTTGCTCCCATGGCAGCGTCTGTGCCCGTGGGCTTCTCTCTGTGGAAAATGGTGGAGGCTGCTTCTGCCCCAGGAGGGAGAAACACCGACTCCCTGGCTTTGGCGCCAGAAGCCTGGATCGGCTGCCAGGTTTGCCAGAGCAGAATGGGGATCCAGGGGACAGGGCGACAATGCAACTGGATGCTGTGGGGGGGTCGATGGTGATGGGGAAAGTAGAGGTATGGGTGAGCTGATTCCCTTTTCCTCCATTCCCTCAGGAGGGGTCCTCCTGAGGTCGCAGCTCCCCTGATGTCCTTTCCCCTCTTCCCAGGTGACTTCTATTTCTATCTGGTTCTCGTCTGGGGGGGCCCTGGCCGGGCAGCCCCCCAACACTTCTCCTGCCCTGAAACACGGCTCTAGCCAACCTGCTCCGCTGCTTCACCTGCGACCGTCTCTGCGGGGGCTGCACGGCGCCAGCCCCTCCAGCCCACCAGGGCATTGTCCTCCAGCCCGTCATGCCCAGCTGTGACCCCGGTCCGGGCCCTGCCTGCCTCCCCACCAAGACTTTCCGCAGCTATCTGCCCCGCTGTCACCGCACTTACAGCTGTGTCCACTGCCGTGCACACCTGGCCAAACACGATGAGCTTATTTCCAAGGTACGCGAAGCGGGGACCTGCCATTCCCCTCCTCTCGCGCACCAGGCTAGCCTGAACATCACCCAGGGGTGAGGCAGCAAAGCTCTTCCTCTCTCCTACACACCCCTGCGGGGATTCAGGCAGTGGGGCTGAAGGCTGCTTGGTAGTCATTGTCTGTCCTATGTCTCCACAGTCCTTCCAAGGGAGCCATGGCCGAGCCTACCTGTTTAACTCCGTGTGAGTCTACCTCTTTCCTTGTGCGTGTGCTTGTGCTTGTGTGTGAGTGAGTAATTTTCCTCTGTGGAGAAAGGGGGGAATCCATCAGGTGATCTTGTGCCTTCAGTCTTTGCCTCCCCTTTTGCAAAGAGGGTCTCAATCTGAAGTTCTCACATGGGGAGCCGGGGGAGAATTGAAATCATAACGGTGGAAAAAGAAGGCCCAGGCTCTAGTCTTAAAGGGGTGGATTATCAAAGGCAGGGGCTGTCCAGTTCTCTCCAGATGGAAGTTCCCTTGGGCTGTCTGGGGACTGGACTGACAGTGCAACCCCACTGGGTGCTGGGTCCTTCCTGTTTCCTGAGACAGGGTCAACGTGGGTTGCGGGCCAGCTGAACAGCGCCTCTTGCTCACGGGGCTCCACTCGGTAGCTGACATTTTCTGTGAGAGCTGCAAAACCACACTGGGCTGGAAATATGTAAGTACCTGAGGAAGAGGGTCACCCTCTAAAGTGGCAGTCCCCATGGCCCTTCAAGCACCAGTGACCATGTCAGGTCCTTCCTTGCATGGTCCAAAGAGGAAAGAAAGAACTAGTCACTGGGTTGGGCTAGGTGGATGACCCTTGGGGTGGGGGCCATACAGGTGACAGTGGGGCCTGGAAGGAAACTGCTTTGTCCTACAATCACTGCTTTCTCCTTCACCAGGAGCAAGCTTTTGAGACGAGCCAGAAGTACAAGGAAGGGAAATACATCATTGAAATGTCACACATGGTGAAGGACAACGGCTGGGACTGAGGGGCTCAGGCAGGGTGTGCCCTTCCTCCGCATGCCCCTCCCTCCCCACGGCCCTGCCAAGCAGTCTATACCAGCATGAGTACTGCCCCACCCCTGGGGGAAACCTGGCTCCAACCAACCCCTCCCCTGCCTCCACCATATCCACTACCAGGCACCCTTTAGAACAGGGGTCTGGGGGTACCCCAGGGGTGTTAAGGCTCAGGAGTGGGCAGCAGTCAGGGAGAGACAGAACTGGGGGAAAGGGATGGTTGTGGGTCTTTCTGTTCCCAAGATCCTGAACATGGAAGCGATGGCAGGGCATAGACTCAGGCAGAGAGGATTGTGGGAGGAATCCGTTTTTGCTCCACCTCTTTTTGAGTGAACAGAGGACAAACCTTGGGTCACAGGGCAAGTAGATCATGGACCACAGAACAGCAGATGAGAAAAGACTTGGGTTGGAGTGAAATTCTGGTCTCAGACACCAGGAGACCAGAGTCTCTGAGGATGAAGTTTCCTACCCCTATTTGTAGGGAAAAGGACTTGAGTGCAGGGAAAACTCAAATCCCAGGCCCTGGGAAATAGTAAAATAATCAAAGGGTTTTCCATTTCACTCCACTTGTTAGTTTATCTTGGCACTGAAGAGGCACTTTCGAGTATCTAACTTTTGCCATTGGGTGGGGTGGGGACAGCTGCTCGCGGAACAGCCCCTAGTCGGCTGCTTCCAGAGTAAGCAGTCTTTATGGGCTTTCTCTGAGGCCCAGTCACTGCTCCTGGGACCCAGTCCCCTGGAGGGGAGGTGGAAAATCAGTGCTACGGGGCCAGTCTTTCCCGTGGCTGCCACCAGCGAATGAAACTTTTGTATGATACATAAAGTGCTTGAGTCTATTTTTAATAAAAAGGGAAAAAGCAACTTGAGGCAACCTGTCCTCTGACTTTCTTTCCCTGTGCATGTACCCATAAACTGTCCCCGTCACACACACACACCCCCACCCACCCGGGCCTGTCCCTTTATACCACTAGGGGGCAGCAGTTGCCCTGTCTATGGCAAGACTACTGCTTGAGCTTTTACCGGGGAATAAGCGTTCAGGTGAAGTTTTGCCTTAGTAAGAGGGGTGGGTTTTGTTAGCTACTCGGCGAGAGCATCCAAAACCGCTTGTGTCTGCTGGCACCCCTGACAGTAAGTCCATTTTGCCTAGATCCAGGATCGGGCTCTGAAAGAGGCTCATCTCAGAATAAGGATTTTCTTGAGTCCCGTGGCTTTTCAGCCTGGTTCTGTAATGCTCTGGTCAGTTCATGGGCACACTTAAGGCTAAAAGGAAAATCAGTCAGCCAAAGTGCTGCTCTGGCAGTTGATGGGAAGTGAAACAAAATAGCTCAAAAATTAGGCCGGGCGCGATGGCTCACGCCTGCAGTTCCAGCACTTTGAGAGGCCGAGGCTGGTGGATCACCTGATGTCAGGAGTTTGAGACCAGCCTGACCAACATGGCAAAACCCCGTCTCTACTAAAAATTCAAAAATTAGCCAGGCATGATGGCACGTGCCTGTAATCCCAGCTACTTGGGAGGCTGAGGCAGGAGAATCACTTGAACCCAGGAGGCAGAGGTTGCAGTGAGCCAAGATCGTGCTGCTGCACTCCAGCCTGGCGACAGGGCAAGACTCCGTCTCAAAAAAAAAAAAAAAAAAAAAAAAAAAAAGCTCAAAATCGCAACATCAATGCCACCATATGACCCAAGGGACATTTTATTGGCAGTGGTATGAAATCCCTACTGTTGTTGGGTGCCCAACAGTTACAGGGGAGACCATATACATCATAAAGATCATTTTTTGGTAAGCTATAATATTCTTTCCAGATTCATTCATTAATATTCCAAATATTTATAAAGCATCTATTACTTGCCAGGCATTGTGTTAAGCACTAGATGTTAAGCACATGGTGAAGATAAGGCAGCTGTGACCTGACTTCCTGGAGCTTTCTGTCCAGTAGGAGATGCAATAACCAGGAAATCCCAGTAGAAGATGATAATAAGGGATCTAAGCAGGGACGTGGAGGAAGCTTGGGAGCTCATAGGAAAGGAACTCAGCTTAGATGTAAGGAGTCAAGGAAGGCTTCACAAAAGCGATGACTACGATGGCATTTGAAAGATAAGAAGTTAGGTAGGCAAAGGCAAAAGTGATGGAAGTATTTCAGACAGAGTATGTGTCAAGTAACTTAAGTTTAGTTAATTGAAGGAAATAAAAGTTGCTTGTGGGCTGAAAGCAGTGGCTCACGCCTTAATTCCAGCACTTTAGGAAGCCAAGGCTGGAGGCTTGCTTGAGGCCAAACTTTGAGGTTAGCCTGGGCAATATAGCAAGATCTTGTCTCAAAAAAAAAAAAGCCATACCTGCACCTGTAGTCTCGACTACTCAGGAGGCTGAGCAGGAGGATCACTTGAGCCCAGGAGGCTGAGGTTGCAGTGAGCCATGATCACGCCACTGCACTCCAGCCTGGGCTGGAGCAAAACTTTGTCTCCTTAAAAAGTGGGTGAGAGGACATGAAAGGAAAGAGAAGCAGGAGCCATAAACTATTTAGGGAATCTAGATTTAATCCCAATGGTATTAGGGAAATATGGGAAAATTATTGTTTTTTAGAGTGGAGTGGCAGTATCAAATGGCTATTTGTGCCCAGACAAGAGGCTCAAATAGAAGTTTTAATAGACTGGAGAAAGTAAGGAACATATGGTAGGGTGCGGTGGCTCACACCCGTAATCCCAGCACTTTGGGAGGCTGAGGTGGGCGATCACTTGAGGCCAAGAGTTTCAGACCAGCTTGGACAACAAAAATTAGCCAGGCATGGTGGTGCACGCCTGTAATCCCAGCTACTCAGGAGGTTGAGGCAGGAGAATCACTTGAACCTGGTAGGCAGAGGTTGCAGTGGGCCGAGATCGCGCCACTGCACTCCAGCCTGGGCGACAGTGAGATTCTGTCTTAAAAAAAAAAAAAAAAGGGAAATAAAGCTAACTGTACTATCTCAAATACTGTTGTTGTGATCAGAATGGAGAGGCTGTCTGGGCAGGAGAAAGGAGGACTAGAACTGGAAGGCACAGAAGTAAAAGGGCAAGGGAAAAAGGCAAGCCATGGAGAGATGTCCAACATCCCTCAACTAAGGCCTCAGGGGAGTCTGACCCATCTTTCAGTTTCTACATGCCTCATGATGCCAAGATCCCTCTCAGGGTCCAGCAGAGGACCTCAAAACCCTATTCCTCTTGGACCCATTTCTTGCACCAAAGTTTAGGGAAGATTTCTCAAGTCCCAAACTCTGCTGTTGAAAACCAGGCACAAACTAGCTGCCTTCTTCACTTGATCTTAGCCAAAAGACCAGGAATACTAGCTGCCTTCTTAAAGAAGCTCCCCAAATATTCCTCTCATTCAATTTATTTTAACAAGTTTTAATTAAGCCTACTAGGCACTGTGGGAGACAGAGAAGTAAATGGCTGAGTCATTGCTCTCAAATTTTTCTTTCTTTTTTTTTTTTTTTGAGATGGAGTCTCGCTCTGTTGCCCAGGCTGGAGTGCAGTGGCGCAATCTCGGCTCACTTCAACTTCTGCCTCCAAGATTCATTCAAGAGTCTCCTGCCTCAGCCACCCAAGTAGCTGAGACTACAGGCGTGCATTACCACGCCTGGCTAATTTTTGTATTTTTAGTAGAGACGAGGTTTCACCATGTTGGCCAGGCTGGTCTTGAACCCCTGACCTCAGGTGATCCGCCCGCCTCGGCCTCCCAAAGTGTTGGGATTACAGGCGTGAGCCACCGCACCCGGCCTCAATTTCCTTGTAATTGGTCCTGGGAGAATCATTCTGTGGGTTGATTCAAGGGATCCTATTAATCTTTAAGATTAAGTCATGGGCAACGCTGTCCAAATCTTGGATGCCCAGACAGGTGTGCCCTCAAGCAGCATTACCATCAAACACCCCGTGACCAAGAGGGAGTGGTGCTGAGAAAGGTAAGTGGATTCAGGGAAGGAGTGAGGTCTTTCCATGCCTCATGAGCCAGGGAAGGAGCTGTAGGTATGGGATGCCAGCAGCACACAGGTCCTTTTCTTTGGGGAGCAATCCTCTCGAGTTAACCCCCTTTCCTTTCTGGTGCATTCCTTTTTTTCTCAAGGAGGCCTACTCTGTACCTAATAGTGATTCTCCTAATCTTTTTCCACTCACTCTCCATTCCGGGCTGAGTCTGGGAATGCTTATCCTTCTTAGCCTAAGGAGTTGCCACCACTTCTGGTCCTTAAAGGTTTGAGGCTTTGGAAGATATCCTCATACAACCAGCAGATGGCATCAAAACCTTCCACCCCTCAGCTCAGGAAATCTCCCAGTTTGAAGAACCTATTCAGATCTCTCCAGATGGGTCTACAAAAAGATGAGTGAGCTGTCAAGACTTAACACAGGGTTGTATCTAGGCTTTGCAACCTAAGAGCTACACAATCTTAGCCAAACTGTTTAAACCTTTCTGACCCTCAGTTTTTCATCCATAAAATGGGGCTGTTACCTCCCAGAAGTTATTAGGTTTCACAGTAACGGAGGCAGTGTCTATCACAAGCACTGCATACAGAAGTAGTTCCATAAATGAGAGCTATTAGTATAACTAACAAGTGAGGCTACCCAGATTCCCACCAGGGTAGCTGACTGGTGCCCAGATGGGAGAGGAATTGCAATGCTGAGGAGGCAGCCAGCGCTGGGTAGCACTACACGGCCAATGCCCTTTTAACATTGCACTGCTAGTGACAGGTGCAGACAGTAGCACAATGTGAAAAGAGCTCTGGCCAGCAGCAGAGGCATGCCGGCCCTGCCTCCTCACTCCTTCTCCCAGTCCCTGGCCCACTCAGCTCACGGGCTCCCTCTGCCCCTTCTTTGCTTCAATACAGCTTTTTTCCCTTTTATTCCATTCTTAGTGTTCATTCTATTTTTTCACCACTCTTCCTTTTGCCGCCTTCTTCACCAACCCCCTGACCCCCAGCACAGAGACCACCTTTTTCTTGGAGGTTTTGGCATGGGAGGACAGGACCCACTAAAGCAGCTGCAGGGATACTTCGGGCTTGATGCTCAGTCCTCAAAGAAAACGGCTATTAGCAATCCCCAAAGTCTGGAGGTCACTCGTATGAGGCTGTGTTCATCTGGATTTGCATTTCCGCTAGCTTACCTTCTAGAGAGGAGCTTGCTGCCCAAGACTACAGAACCCTCTACTCTTCTCTAAGTTTCCATCTCCTTTTAAATTTAGATAAAGCAGAGCTCTAGGCCTCAAGGCAACACTCTCAGATGACCTTCCAGGACCAGAGAGGTGGGAGCCTGTAGTCACAGCTCCCCACGCAGTAGAGAGAAGCTTCCAGGCGGGGAGGTGAAAGCTGCTGGTGAAGCCCCACCCCTGCATCTCCTTTTGGAGGTCCTGAAAGCACTTTGCAGATTCAGCATTAAAATGGTGAGGGTGATTCGCTCACAGTTACTGAGAGTTAGGGATAGGCTTTCACTGGCAGTGGGATTCACATCTGAGTTATTTCCTGTCTTATCCAGGGACCCTTGGTTGGGGAGTCTTCAAGCTCATCCTAGCACTTCCCCATCCTATCCAACCCTAAGGGGGCTTAAATACAGGACAAACAGTCCCCGGAAGATTAACACCCAAAGCCAGAAAGCTGCCCTGGAAGGACACCTGGATATCTGGAGGCTCAGACCCAGGCAGGCTCTATTGTGGCACATTCCAGCTAGGGCCACAGCCCCGGAGCCCAGCTCCAGTTCTGACCCAGTGAACTTTGGGCAGCCCAGAGAAACAGAGGCTGGAGGGTGATTCCTCCAGTGCCCCGATCAACGAAGGGGAGATGCCTTCTTCCCTAATCCACAGCCACCGTAAGGAATAGAGGACAGAATTCCAGTTGGGAGCTCTTCCTCTGGGCTTCCCTCTAGCCTCGTCCCACCCCCTCAGGAAGCAGGAGACGTTCCCTCCCGCTCTCCCCGGCAGAGTTTGTTCCCGTAATCTGCAAACATGGGGCCCTGCCCTACAGTTTTAATGGGCGGAAACCAAGACCCCTCGAGGGTCAGTGACCTCTCTGCTCTGGGGTTGGGCAAACCAGGCCCAGCTGGGAACTGGATCACACCAACAGGGGGCAGAGGGGCAAAGATAAGGCTGCACAGCAAGCTTCAGGGAGGCCAGGGGAAGATTCTTCCCCAAGAAGTTTCCAGGTCTCTCCTTAGGGAGTGCAGGGAGAAAGGGCCAAGAGCCCCTCAGCTCTCACACACCCAACTCATTCCTGAGGAGCAGGCCCAGCGACTCACCAGCCAGCAGGACCCCTCCCCCACCTTGGGCCCAGGAGCCAGCCCCCAGCTCCTTCCAGAAGCGAGTGTAGAGACCGAGGAGGAAATGGGGGAGGGGAGGCCCCGGCTCAAGTTCTCTCCTCTCCCCCTCCTCATTGGCCACCATCTTCCGGCCCCTGCCCCCAGAGCAGCAGGGGATGGGGCCCAGCCTGTGAAAGGGAGAGAAAGGGCAGGTGGGGGGTTAGCTGGAGCAGCAGGGGCAGGGGGCTGGCCCCAACTGTCTCCTCCCACCCCCTCCTCGCAGCCATGGCGACGGGAGGAGGAGACCAGGAGGGTCCTGAAAGCCATGTTCTGTGAATGGGATGAGAGAGGCAGCTGGGAAGTGGGGGGTGAGGGGCGCTCTCCTTCAACACCCAACTGTGCTCCCCCCGAACACACACACCTCGAGGCTGGACCACACAGGCGCACGTACACACCACACACACACACACACACACACACAAACTCTCAGCCATACTTGCTGCACAACTCAGCCCTCATTACACACCCAAACAACAAGAACTGGAGTGTGAGCGCACGCCCCCCACACACACACATCCCCGCACCCCTCAACACCCCACAACTATCAGCTCGAAAACCAGCCTCACACCCCCACACCGCCCCTGGCTCACCCTACAACTTCTGGAGGTGCAGAACTCCCTGCCCTGCTCCAGCCCTTCGGCCCCCGGTCCCCCTCGGAACACTCCACGCCCTCGCACACAACCCAGGTGGAGACAGATGGCCCAGCTCGGCCGTGCCCAGCGGAGCCCCCCATCCCTACCCCACCACGCCCCCCACTGGAAAATGACAGTGAGGCCACCTCAGAAAGACACGCCTGGTGCTTCCCAGTTACAGTGTTTCCAAAGGAAAAAATAGAAAAGATGCCCACGAGTGGAGAATGAGGAGGGAAAAAGGAAGACGAGAGAAAGAGCCCAGACCGTCCCCCTCCCTTCCCCAAGAGAGAATAAAACCGAAAATCGGTGTCGTTACCCTTCGGGAAGCTCTCGATACCTACACATTGCTCTTCGTTAGGATCCTCTGCCTGCCACCTCCTTCTTCCCGGGCTCTTTCTCTGCCCTTCCCTCCCTCTTGGCTCCCCTCCCTGGCCTCGCTCCCCCTCGCTCACGCCCTCTCGCACCCCGCCAGCCCCTCTCCCGGGCCGGGCTTGGATCCCCAGCGGCCGCCCCGCCACCCGCCGGCCGGGACCGAGGTTGCGAGGCCGGTGGGCCGCGGAGACCCTCTCCTCTGCCGATCTCGCTCTTCCCCCCTCGCCCCCTTTCTCCTTCCACACTCCCTGCCGTCCATCTTGAATACTTGGGATTCTTGAATGGAGTGAGCAGGATCCGCTCCCCCAGGCTCCCATTGGCTGTGGGTTAACCCTTTTGAAACGAGATCCTCCCTCCCATTGGCTGCCAGGCTCCCCTCTTCTCCCCCAACCCCCATCCCCTCCGCCTCCCAACAGTCCGCGAGGTCAGGGCGCTCCCGGAGCCCCCTCCCCTGGCTTCTCACCTCAACAACCCCCGCACCAGGACGCCCCTCTCCCCGCTCTTTCCGTCACGCCCCGCACAGGGCTGCAGGTGAAGGCAGATCCAGTTCCCGCCAAATGCGGCCCCAAGGTGGGGCTGGCAGAAACCCTGTTCCCAGATGCCCCTCGTGCTGGATTTGGAGACCTTGGAAGATACAAGGGGTGCAATTTCCTGCCCGTCTCCAACCCCTCCTTGACCAGAAGTACTTCTGCAACAGGGGATCCACTCAGCCTTTCAGCCTCACCCAAGGCGGTGGGAGAGCGTTCCTGAACGCCCGCGCTTCTTGGGCTGGCCAGGAAGAGGGCAGCTCTAGAAAGAAGATCTGGGGCTCTTCACCGAAGCTAATTCCCCGAGTGCCGCAGGGCAGGCCTGACCCGATCAGGAATGTGCAGCATCTGGAGCTCCGCTCCGTCAAAAACATCCCCTCAGACCAGCCCTGCCCCGCCTGGGCCAACGTGCTGTGCGCCCACAAGGGGCTCTGAGGTGGGGGAGCCCAGAGAGGAAGGCGGCAGCAAGGACGAGGGCGATATGTCAGGCCTTGGAGTAAGGTCCGGGGTTTTAGGCCTAGATCTGCCATTAAGATGCAGGGCGAGGCTGGGCGCGGTGGCTAACGCCTATAATCCAAGCACTTTGAGAGGCTGAGGTGGGAGGATTGCTTGAGCCCAGGAGTTCCAGACCACCCTGGGCAACACACTGAGACTCTATCTCTACGAAAAATAAAAAAATTAGCTGGGCGTCGTGGTGTGGCCTATGGTCCCAGCTACTAGGGAGGCTGAGATGGGAGGATCGCTTAAGCCTAGGAGTTCCAGGTTGCAGTGAGCTATGATCGGGCTCGGTGGCTCATGCCTGTAATCCTAGCATTCTGGGAGGCCGAGGCGGGTGGATCACCTGAGTTCAGGAGTTAAAGACCAGCCTGGCCAACATGGTGAAAACCCGTCTCTACTAAAAATACCAAAATTATCTGGGCGTGGTGGTGCTTGCCTGTAATCCCAGTTACTTGGGAGACTGAGGCAGGAGAATCGCTTGAACCCAGGAGGCAGAAGTTACAGTGAACCGAGATCAAATCATTGTACTCCAGTCTGGGTGAAAAGAGCGAAACTCTATCTCAAAAAAAAAGCTTGGCGAGGTCATGTTTCCTTTTTAGCTTCAGTTTCCTCGTTTGCAAAACGTTGGTCTAGGACAGCGCAGTCCTGATAGAAGTTTCTGTGAGAAGATGGAAATGTTCTATATCTGCATCATTGTAGAAAATTACATATATCGTGGTCCCTTTTCAAAATAAAATGTCTCAGATAGGCTTGGGTCCACAAACCACAGGAGAACAAGATCCACTAAGCCCCTACCTTAATAGCTGGCATCTGCTGGTTGGGGCCCCTTAGCTGCCCTCACCCGAACCAAACAGTTTAGTTGAGCTTGAAAGATAGCTAACTTTATCAGCTTGCCTTAACTACCTGGGTCATAAGTCAAACAGTTGAAGGACCCCCCAAGATGGCTGCAATGCATTATGGGCTGCAACAAAATGCAATGGGGCAACCCTAAAGAAAACACCTAAAGCCCCAACCCAACAACCAACAGGCGACGCTGGGGAAGATTGTGACCCCATAGTACTCAGCCTATGAGGAACGGGGGGAGGGATTTGTGCACTAGGGGATAAATTGCTTGTTGTAACTGTCCTGGGTGTGCCTGCCTACCACACACCTGATCTTGCAAGACTGTCATTAAAAGTCTCACTTTCGCTGTTCCTCGTGCCTCTAGGTCCATTCTTTGGGTTTAGATGGGTGAGCATGTTTCTCTCAGTCATCAAACAATATGGTAGCCACTAGCTACGTGTGACTGTTGAGCCCTTAAATGTGCTACCGTGACTGAGGAAGTGGCTTTTTAATTTTATTTCATTTTAATTACTTTCATACAGCCACATGAGGCTAGTGGCTACTATATTAAACGGTCTAGAAAATCTTTGTGGTGTTGCTAATAAGAATAAAATTCTATGACCCTTTTTTTTTTTTTTTTTTGGAGACAAGGTCTTGATGTGTTGCCCAAGTTCAGTGGCGCCATCACAGCTCACTGCAGTCTAGACCTCTTGGGCTCAAGTGATTTTCCTGCCTCAGTCTCCCAAGTAGCTGAGACTTCAGGTACGTGCCATCACATCCAACTAATTTTTTTTTTTTTTTTTTTTAAGAAAGACTTGCTATGTTGCCCAGGCTGGTGTTGAACTCCTGGGCTCAAGCAATCCTCCCACCTTGGCCTCCCAAAGTGCTGGGATTACAGGCATGAGCCACCCCACCTACTGGCCCATTTTATGATCCTTTTCTTTTTTTGAGACAGAGTCTGGTTTTGTTGCCCAGGCTGGAGTGCAGTGGCGCGATCTGCAACCTCTGCCTCCTGGGTTCAAGTGATTCTCCTGCCTCAGCCTCCTAAGTAGCTGGGATTACAGGTGTGCACCACCAGGCCTGGCTAATTTTGTATTTTTAGTAGAGATGGGGTTTCACCATGTTGGTCAGGCTGGTCTCAAACTACTGACCTCGTGATCTGACCACCTTGGCCTCCCAAAATGCTGGGATTACAGGTGTGAGCCACCACGCCCGGCCATGAGACACCGCGCCCAGTTCATTCTATGATTCTTGCTGGGGGAAAAAAAAAACCCTTTCTTTTCATCCTCAGGCATGAATTCCTACAGGTTCAAATCACAAATCATAAAGGGCATCAATTCCCCGGAAATGAGGTTCAAATTCCTGTCACCTTTGTCAGGAATCCTTTCCTTATGAATGTCAACCACTTCTCTGAGAAGGGAGCTGAGATACACCCACCCCACTACACAATGAAAGATTGTGGCTAAAAGGGAATTTGCAGGTTTGTCCAACCTTGTTTTTTCAAAAATAGAAACCAAGACGTTGACGGGGTGGGGATAGGGGCTGTCACTTGCCCAAGGACAGTCAGAACAGCAGGTTGATGTGTTCGCTCATGAGTTAACGTGCACCTGTAAACTTAGTCCATCTCTTTGGGGCTCCTGCGGGAGCACACACATACATGTACATCATTAACTTCATTCAAGAGATGTGCTTCTCTGACCTTGGCCAAATGAGAGCCGAGATTTAAGGGCCAGATGGGTCCTCCAATTGACATGTGGAAATCCAGAGCTCCTGGGTATGCCAGGATTACAAGAAGATGGACAGCCCAGAGCCCACTCCCTGAATATGGTTGAAGGACCCCCTTGTGGCATTGCCACCATGAGAAGAGGAAGCTGAGGGGCGGGAGAAGAAGGACTCTGAGTTTATCCTTGGACTGACCAAGAGACAGAATTAGCTGGGGGTTTTGGAGGATAAGGAGGGCAGGGTGCCCAGGATTTTGGTAGCTACAGGCTATGACTTGTGCATATAGGGCCCTAACCTAACAGAGAGACAACTGCTGCAGGGAGTTGATAAAGGAGATGGCTGCACTGGCCTGAGCTTATACAGTGTTTGTCCAGTCTTGCTTCTGGAGAGCCTTTGCCTGGGTAATGTGCATGAGGGGAAACACAGAGCTTCCTGGGAAATGGCTGCTATCTTGAATATTTCCTTACTACTAGGAGACATTGCTAAATGACTGCTCTGGTGAGAGATATAAGGAGTTCAGAGAAAAGAAGGATTGCTCCCAATGGGGAATGGAATCCAAGAAGGCTTCCTGGAGGAAGCAGCATCTGAGACTTGAAGAATAGAAAGTATTTAGACACAAGAAGATGGGAGAAAGGAAGACAAGGAAATGCCAAGGAGAGAGAACAACACAAAGGCTGAGAGGTGGGGAAATGGTGGGATTGGCTGGAGATTCAGTGGGAACCTGGGGTGTCTGAAGGGGAATAGAAAGGAAGAAAAGGCAGCTGGGACAGATCATGGAGGGCTTGGACACATCTCTCCAGCCTCTACTCTGCTCCAAAGACATCATTTTCCTTGAACATACTTTTATCTTTTCCTCACCAAGACAAACCCCGCAACTATTCATTCAGCTGCCCCAGGGCCTCCATGCTCAGCTCTCTGCCTCTTCTGCCTTAGTCTACGGGCCCGTCTGTTGTCCACAAACATCCTTCCCTGGGCAAAATGGGCTCCAATTGCTCAGTAGAGAATGGACTCTCATTGGTGTCTCTCAGTTCAGTCTCCTATCTCTGGATTCCCAGTGTGTAGGTATGAGCTGCATGAAGGACCCTCCTTTTTCACTCACCACCTTCCAAACCCCCACGTGGCCCCACCCCTTCTCAGGAGAGTCAGAAATGGAGGCCAGGAACAGCTAGACGTGGTCCAACCTGTTACAGGAGTGTAAAAAATGCACCCAGGAGCTACTTGGCTCCTAGCCACCCTACCCCACCTCCACATTCTTCACTCCTCTTATGGGAGTTTCAGAATGCACCTGGGCTTTGCAGGAACCTCCCTTTCCCACCACCCCCACAGCAATCCAAGACTATTCTGGAGGTGCTTCCTTTGCCTCCCTCCCTAACCTCCATTGTCATATACAGATATGGGTCCCTCCATGCCTATTTGGGTAAATCGTGTAGAAAAAAAGGATTGCTCCCAATGGAGAATGGAATCCACGAAGGCTTCCTGGAGGAAGCAGCATCTGAGTCTTGAAGAATAGAAAGTATCACGTAGAATACTATAAATGTGAGACAGGGAGACCATCTGCCCTAAACCTTTGCCTCTTGGAAGGACTGAATCTGAAACGCTGGAGAGAGTTGCCTCCTTGCTTAAACATCAGTGGAGGTAGGTAACTCAACTGCTAATAACACATGGCTTTTTTTTTTTTTTTTTTTTTTTTTTTTTTGAGACAGAGTCCTGCTCTGTCACCCAGGCTGAAGTGCAGTGGTGCCATCATGGCTCACTGCAGCCTTGACCTCCAGAGATCAAGCAACACTCCTGCTGCAGCCAACTAGATGGGACTACAGGCACATGCTACCACACCTAGCTAATTTTTGTATTTTTTGTAGAGACAGGGTCTCCTTATGTTGCCCAGGCTGGTCTCAAACCCCTTGAGATAGGGGATAGGTGATGGCTATCCCTATAGGGGATAGGGGATGGCTCAAGCCATCCCCTTGCCTCAGGCTCCCAAAGTGCTGGGATTATAGGTGTGAGCCACCATGTCTGGCTAACACAGCTCCTAGTTCACTTGAGATGATGATAGAGGCTTTTCCATATGAGCCTCTTTCATTTCCCCTCCTTCCACAGTAAGGTGCCTCTTCACCTTTACCATCCTGCTTCTCTCAAATGCTGCTGTGTCTGAGCACTGCCTGTATGCAAGGCTCTGGAACCATCGCTGGGAAACACTGCCAGCCCGGAAAGTGCTCACAGTTGAGGAGAATGCAAGGCAGACACATAAAGAGGAAGTCACGGCCGACTGCAGTGGCTCACGCCTGTAATCCCAGCACTTTGGGAAGCCGAGGATCACCTGAGGTTAGGAGTTCAAGACCAGTCTGACCAACATGGTGAAACCCCATCTCTACTAAAAATACAAAAATTAGCTGTGCCTGGTGGCACGTGCCTATAATCCCAGCTACTCTGGAGAATCGCTTGAACCCAGGAGGTGGAGGTTGCGGTGAGTTAAGATCGCACCATTGCTCTCCAACCTGGGCAACAAGAACGAAACTCCCTCTCAAAAAAAAAAAAAAAAAAAAAAAGAGAAAGTCACACAGGTGCCCAGGTAGACGTAAGTGCCTTCTTTCTGAGGTAAACCTCTTTCCTTGAGGTCTAGCTCTCATCCTTTACTCCATCAATTGCCCCATTTATTGCATCTCTAATCCCTTTCCATAAACCTAGGGCAAGGGTCAGCCAACTACAGCCCACAGGGCTAAATTCTGCCTCTGCCTGTTTTTTGGTAAATGAAGTTTATTGGAACACAGCCATGCTCACTTGTTTACACATCGTCTATGGCTGCTTTCTACAACCACGACAATGGCAGAGTTGAGTGGTTGCGACAGAGACCATACGACCAACAAAAGCCTGGCATATTTACTGCCCAGCTCTTCACAATAGAAGTTTGCCAACTCCTAAATTTATGGGCAGTTTTAGACCTTGCCATCTCAGAAAGATGTAATAGAACTCAAGAAACGCAACTGAAATTACTCCGAGATGGGAGTGGAAGGGCGAAGCCCAGACTTTTCATCTCAGTCTATACATATGCTCAAGTCTTCCCTCAACCTGTCGTGAAGCTTCTCGAAATGCTAGTCAGCTTTCTATATTATCTCTCCTTCATGGCTCACTCGTTCGTTTTTTTTTGTTTGTTTGTTTGTTTGTTTGTTTGTTTTGAGATAGAGTCTTACTCCAGGCTGGAGTGCAGTGGTGTGATCTCAGCTCACTGCAACCTCTGCCTCCTGGATCCAAGTGATTCTCCTGCCTCAGCCTCCTGAGTAGCTGGGATTATAGGTGCCCACCATCATACCCAGCTAATTTTTGTATTTTTAGTAGAGTTGGGGTTTCACCATGTTGGCCAGGCTGCTCTAAACTCCTGACCTAAAGTGATCCTCCCACCTCTGCCTCCCAAAGTGCTGGGATTACAGGTGTGAGCCACCACATCCAGCCCATGTCTCTCTCATTCTTAAATCTGCGCAATCTGACTTCTGCCCCCCAATTTCCACTGAAATGTTTCCTACTAGGATGCCAATGACTTCCTTATTACTGATCCACAATTCTCCTCTCAATTCTCATCACATGCATCTTCTCTTTAGCACTTGCCAGTACTGACTATATCAGTCTTGAAATGCCCATGACTTCTGGCAGACTGGCCTCTCCTGGATTCCCTCCTACCTCTCCAACTGTTCCTTCTCAGCTCCCTTCCTGTGAGTCCTCTTTACTCCCCTGTTGCCTAAATATACAGATTCTGTGTGGATTAGTCCTTGGTCTTCTTTTCCATCTATACTCTCTCGGTGAACAAAATCATCCACATGCCTGATTTCAACAGTCACTCATATAGACCCAGATTTCTAACAGAAGGTTGCAATTCCTCAGATGTATGTCTTACCAGCCAACTAAGCTGAATTTGGGCAACATCAAACATATGTCTTCCTACACCTCTGCCTTCACCTAATCACCTTTGTCTCTTTTTCCATCTGCCCCTTAATTGTTGCCATTCCTGAGAGATCTGTCCTTGACTCTCCTCTCTTTGGGGGAAATTTCATCCATTCTTACAGTTTTAACAATCACCCATACATGAATCACTGCCAAATCTATATCTCTAGTTGTATTGCCAGCTCCTTACATTCCCAAATAGATGTGTGAGGTGAGCAGCTGGTGCTTTTGCCTGCCCAGATATTCCATCCCCCTTCTGGTAACTACATCTTAGTTTTCCTTTGGGAAGACACCTATTCTCTGACCTCAGACCACATGGTTCACATGAGACTGGCCTCATCTGCCCCTTCAGGGACAGTCACACAATCCAGATATATTAGTTGTCTATTGCTGCATAACAAATTAGTCCAAAACGTAGTAGCTTAAAACAACACACATTTATTTTCTCTGTTTCTGTGGTTCAGGAATCTGGGCAGAGGTTAGCTGGGTCCCCTGATCATGGTCTCTCATGAGGCTGCAATCAAAGTATCATCCAGGGGTTGGGGTCTAATCTGAAGATTCAATGGGGATCAGATCTGCTTCCAAGCTCAGTTTCATAGTTTTTTGGGAAGATCCAGTTCCTCAAGGGCTGTTGGAATGTGGACCTCCGTTCTTTGCTGTTGGCTGGAGGCCATGCTAGGTTCCTTGCAATGTGGGCCTCTCCAACATGAAAGCTTGCATTGTCAAAGCCGGCAAGAGAGAGAGAGTCCACTAGCAGGATGAAGTCACAATATTTTGTAACCTAATCACAGAAGTGACAACCTCTCCACATTGCCATATTCTACTGGTTAGAAGTAAGTTACTCAAGAGGAGAGGATTACACAAAGGCATGATTACTAGGAGGTAGGATCACTGGGGGCTGTCTTAGAGGCTATCACCCACACCAGACTTAGCCAATTAAGTCATAATAATTGGATCAAGGATATCCAATCAGAGTCAATCACAATTAGGCCTAAGATGTTTGCTGTAATCTTTGGGAAAGTGGTATTGCCATCCCTGTTACGCTGGTAGACAAAGCTTGAAACTGCTGATGGCCATAACTGCTGCCGAATGGGGGAAGATCTGCCTAAAATGCCAACATAACAGAGCAAAGCAGAGGCAAGAGATGGAGAGAGACAGGTGCCTGGGAACCTGCTAGAGGCATGTCTACAGGTGAACCTCTTGAGTTTTTATTTATTTTATTTTATTTTTTATTTTTGAGACAGAGTTTTGCTCTTGTTGCCCAGGCTGGAGTACAGTGGCGCGATCTCGGCTCACTGCAAGCGCCGCCTCCCAGGTTCATGCCGTTCTCCTGCCTCAGCCTCCCGAGTAGCTGGGACTACAGGCGCCTGCCACCACCCCCAGCTAATTTTTTTGTATTTTTAGTAGAGACAGGGTTTCACTGTGTTAGCCAGATGGTCTCAATCTCCTGACCTCATGGTCCGCCTCCCTCGGCCTCCCAAAGTGCTGGGATTACAGGCATGAGCCACTGTGCCTGGCCCTCTTGAGTTTTTAATTATGTAAACCACAACATTTCCTCTTCTCCTTATGTTAGTCTCAGTTGGCTTCTGTCACTCATAACCAAAAAAATTCCTGACTGATAAAATGTCACAGAGATGTCTTGGATGCAGTTTGCCCAAACCCAGTTTCATTGTCTTACCTTCACCTTCCCCATCCCCACAAACCTGCTTTTCTTCTTAGATTCTATTTCACAGTTAAAAGCCTACCACAGTTGTTTAGGCTGAAAACCATCACAGGATCATCTTTACCCTTCCTCATTGGCTGCGCCAGTAAGGAGGAGTAGCCCATGCAACATGGGTTGCAGATTGGAGTGTCCCATGAAACATGATCTTAAATACTGATAAACAAGTTACTCTAGGCTATTAGAATCTTACAGAATTTCTGGCTGTGGAGTCACATGATTTAGAGGATAGTAGTGTATCTGACTCTCCTATCTGAATACACCACGTACTAAAATGAAATTCTGAGAAACTGCCTGATGACCTTGTGGATCAGAAGACACCTGGGGTTTGATTTGTGAAACTTTCTATCTCCAGGCAGATTAAAAGAATTTGTGTTTCAAAGTCAATCAAAATTTCTTTTACATCTTTTATCTTAGGGTTGCAATCATAATTCTAATCCTTACTTCTCTTACTCTCTGCCACCTTCACCCAAATTGCCCTAAATCCTGTGCATTCTACCTCTTAGATGACTCCTTTTCTCTCCATTCCCCTGCCCCTTGAGGGTTTGTGTCATCCTCTGAATAACTTTCCTTTCAAGTCCCATTCCATCAGCGTGTAAGTCTAAAACACAAACCTCAGATCATTCGTGTGTCCCGAATTATGATGGCTCTCTAGTATTTATTTATTTTAATTTATTTTATTTTTTGAGACAGGGTCTCACTCTGTTGCCCAGGCTGGAGTGCAGTGATGCAATCTCAGCTCACCGCAACTTCTGCCTCCCGGGTTCAAGCGATTCTCCTGCCTCAGCCTCTGGAGTAGCTGGGACTATAGGCGCTTGCCACCACACCCAGCTAATTTTTGTATTTTTAGTGGAGATGGGATTTCGCCATGTTGGCCAGGCTGGTCTCCAACTCCTGACCTCAAGTGATCCGCCCTCTTCGGCCTCCCGAAGTGCTGGGATTACAGGTGTGAGTGACCACACCTGGCCTAATTTTTGTATTTTTTTAGTAGAGACAGGGTTTTGCCATGTTGGCCAGGCTGGTCTCGAACTCCTGGCCTCAGGTGATTTGCCCTCCTCAGCCTCCCAAAGTGCTGGGATTACAGGTGTGAGCCACCATGCCTGGCCCCTAGTATTTAGATAATGCTTCCTAAACATTATTGGATCACGGACACTTAAAAAAAAAAAGCTGATGAAACCTATGGGTGACTCTTTCTAGAAAAATGTTTTTTGTTTTTTTTTTGTATTACGGTATTGATATGGTTTGGCTCCCTGTCCCCATTGAAATCTCATGTTGAATTATAATTCCCAGTGTTGGGGGAGGAACCTGGTGGGAGGAGATTGGATCATGGGGGTGGATTTCCCCCTTGCTGTTCTGGTGATAGTGATTGAGTTCTCACAAGATCTGATGGTTTAAACTTGTGTAGCCTTTCTCCCCTTGCTCTCTCTCTCTCCTGCCACCATGTGAAGAAGGAGCTTGTTTCCCCTTCGACTTCTGCCATCATTGTACATTAACTAAGGCCTCACAGTCATGCTTCCTGTTAAGCCTGTAAAACTGTGAGTCAATTAAACCTCTTTTCTTCATAAATTACCGAGTCTTATGTAGTTCTTTATGGCAATGTGAGAATGGACTAATACAGGTATACATCTCAAGGGGATCGTGAACCCTCTGGAGTTCATTCACATACCACTGCCCCCAACACACGCTCTAATCTCCTCCAGGTCAGAACTTCTTCAAGAGGATACATTCCAAACTTCTTAGCATGGAACTCAAGGCCTTCCAAACTTATTCCGAGTTGCCTGTCTAGCTGCACCTACCACCTGTGCTGTTATGATTATTTTGTGTCTAATTCCTCATCAGACCAAGATGCTCCCTGAGAGCAGAGATTGTGCCCTTTCATTTTTCCTTTTTACATTTCCCCAGATCAAATGAAAGTTTCTCAGGAGGAGTAATCTGAACCCTTGGCCTAGCTAGAAAAATCGTTGATTGACTGCTAGACATGACTAATTTCCAGCCAGCCAGAGGGTTTTAGGGTCATGAGCCTAGTGAATATAACTACAATGTTCTATTCTCCAAATATATTTGGGGAGAGCTTTGATTCAAAATTTTCAGTTTTAGCGGATCCCATAAATATGGAGACTTCTGAGACCTTGTGCCATGATTTTAGTTTAGAAAATGTAGGTCCTCAGTGGTGAACTTACCACATTTGCCAGTTAATTAGTGCCAGGGATCTCTTTTTGGTAGCTACAGCTCTTTGGACCCTGGAGAAACTGAAAGAACTAGTCTGGTTTGTGGATTCTTAGGAGAATTTACTGATTTCATAATGTAGCCCTGACCTAATCCCAAACCCCAAGATAAGCCAGGGCAGGACTGTCTCCCACATTACTCCAAAGTGGACATTCTAAGGAAATCTTAGGCAAGAGAAAATCAGTCTTCCACGGCCACATTTCAAAATTTTCCCCACATTTCAATTGTTTTCCCACATCCCCTACACACACTGGGACACTTCATATCACATGGAGAGAAGTGAAGGGAGACATTACCAGTCCATTAAAGTTCAGAGAACAAGAGCTCTGTCTTGTTGAACAGTTTGTCCGCTGCCACAACAGTGCCTAGCACAAGTAAGTACTCAATTAAAACTTGAATAAATGAATGGGAAAATGGCAGAAGTCCTGACCTCAGAGGATCCACCCGCCTTGGCCTCCCAAAGTGCTGGGATTACAGGTGTGAGCCACCACACCTGGCCTCTTAAAAAAAAAAAATAGGACTTTAGGAGGCTGAGGCGTGCGGATCATAAGGTTAGGAGTTCGAGACCAGCCTGGCCAATATGGTGAAACCCCGTCTCTACTAAAAATACGAAAATTAGCTGGGCGTGGTGGTGGGCGCCTGTAGTCCCAGCTATTCGGGAGGCTGAGGCAAGAGAATTGCTTGAATCCAGGAGGCGGAGGTTGCAGTGAGCCGAGATCGCAACACTGCACTCCAACCTGGGCGACAGAGCAAGATTCCATCTCAAAAAAAAAAAAATTAAAATAGCTGGGCATGGTGGTGCGGGCCTGTGGTCCCAGCTACTCAGGAAGCTGAGGTGGGACCTGAGCTTGAGCCCAGGACCTCAAGGCTGCAGTGATCTATGATTGAGGCAGGAGAATAGGGCCTGGAGGCAGAGAACCTAAGGACTTTCTAGAACTAAATCAAATGGAAACACTTCAGCTGTGACAGGAAATATCCTCTTGTTTACATAGGGTGTACACAGAGTAAATGACTTTGTAACTTTCCTTCATCCTCTTCATTTACATAAGGCGTACACCAAGTAACCAATGGAAACCTCGGCTCACTGCAACCTTGGCCTCCCAGGTTCTAGCGATTCTCCTGCTTCAGCCTCTTGAGTAGCTGGGATTACAGGTGTGCACCACCACACCTGACTAATATTTGTATTTTTAGTAGGGATGGGCTTTCTCCATGTTGGCCAGGCTGGTCTTGAACACATGACCTCAGGTGATCCACCCGCCTTGGCCTCCCAAAGTTCTGGGATTACAGGCGTGAGCCACCGCACCTGGCCAGTAGATAATATGTATAAATTAGTGGAAAGCAAGAAGGCCTCTAGGACGATAACAAAGTATAGATTCTCTTTAGACGGCCTATTTGAGTAGATAAGGCAATTCACAGGGCTGTGGCCTTGTTTAATCCTAGAACAATTCCAGACTCCAGGTGCTTACTTACTTAAAGGGTAAGAATCATCTTCACCCCTTCTGACTAAAGCCATGGAGTCCTGATCCCAAGAATCAAAGACACGGGGCAGCAGGGAGGAGGAAAGAACATCCAAACACAGAGGTATAATTCCTCTAGTTGAAAGATAATTTGTAAGGCAAAACCCTAGCTGATAATGACTATGAGAAGCTATGCTTTGGTATTCCTAGCTCCACCAGTCTCCAGAGGAGATACATAAAATAAGAATAACATTAATGTCATCATTGTAAAATAAAAAACTTTGCTTGGCCATGTGCGGTGGCTCACACTTGTAATCCCAGCACTTTGGGAGGCTGAGGCGGGTGGATCATCTGAGGTCAGGAGTTTGAGAGCAGCCTGGCCAACGTAGTGAAACCCCATCTCTACTAAAAATACAAAAAATTAGCCGGGCATGGTGGCAGGTGCCTGTAATCCCAGCTACTTGGGAGGCAGAGGCAGGAGAATTGCTTGAACCCAGGAGGCGGAGCTTGCAGTGAGCCAAGATTGTGCCAACTCCAGCCTGGGCAACAAGTGCAAAACTTTGTCTCTAAACAAAACGAAACAAAACAAAACAAAACTTTGCTCAAATATAGACACTGCACACTTTGAATCAAAAGTGTTTGCTGACCATTTATAGGCATAGGTGGGACCAGAGATGTCCTGAATCAGATTCACAAGGAGTTTCCTAGTGGTTGGAGGGGAAAGCCAAATATTTGTGTACATGCTACTGATTTTACATGGCAGTGTAAGTTCAGCACTATGTCTAAAGATGGAGGAGGTGCTATTGGCTGGGAAAAGCAGAAAACACTGTTGGAGAATTGCACTGGGCTTAGAAGAATGGCAGCATTTAAATGAACAGGATCTGTAGAGACCAGGCTGGTGGCTCATGCCTGTAATCCCAGCACTTTGGGAGGCCAAGGCGGGCAGATCACTTGAGGTCAGGAGTTCGAGACCAGCCTGGCCAACGTGGTGAAACCCTGTCTCTACTAAAAATGCAAAAATTAGTCGGGCGTGGTGGCGTGTGCCTCTAATCCCAGCTACTTGGGAGGCTGAGGCAAGAGAATCACTTGAACCCAGGAGGCCAGAGGTTGCAGTGAGCTAAGATCGTGCCACTGCACTCCAGTCTGGGCAACAGAGCGAAACTCTGTCTCAATAAATAAATAAATAAATAAATAAATAAATAAATAGGATCTGGAAATGCATTTTTGTTCTGTTTTGTTTTGCTTCATTTTATTTTAGCTAATATGTACTGAGTGTCAACTCTGTAGGTTCCAGGCTCCATGCTCAGAACAGAGGATAATGACAAAAAGATACGGTCCCTGCCTCCTAGGAGATTTTAAAAATTATTTCAGCAAGAGGGCAAGTGTTCTAGTGAGGTTCACTCTGGGCCCCAGAGGAATCGCCAGGAAACTCAGTTCTGATGAAGCAGAGCTAGATGGCCAGGGACTGGGGCTCCAGGCCTGACAGTCTGGCTGTAGCAGCAGAGTAGGAATCGGCTCTGATGCTGCTCCCTGAAGCCAGCCGGCAGACAGGCTCACTGTGACCATGACCACACCATCGTGGTCCATGGACAGGAACCATCCTCACCCTGGTGGTCCTGTTGCCATGCATTTTCTGCTAAGCCCCTAACCCATAGCCCTTGGGAATGGTATTTGGTCTACTATATTAGTCTACTCTGGGACTAATATAGACTTTGGTTCTTTTTATTTATTTATTTTTTGAGACAGGGTCTCACTCTGTTGCCCAGGCTGGAGTGCAGTGATGTGATCTCGGCTCACTGCAATCTCCACCTCCCAGGACTCAGGTGATCTTCCCACCTCAGCCTCCTGAGTACCTGGGACCACAGAGTAGCTGTGTGCACGACCACACCCATCTAATTTTTGTACTTTCTGTGGAGATGGGTTTTTGCCATGTTGCCCAGGCTGGTCTCGAACTCCTGGGCTCAAGCAATCTGCCCACCTCAGCCTCCTGAAGTGCTGGGATTACAGGTGTGAGCCACCACACCTGGCCAACTTCGGCTTTTTAAAAAATTACTATTATAAGCAGACGCGTTCTGCCTTTGTTGCCCAGGCTGGAGTGCAGTACCTATTCTTAGGCACAATCCTGCTACTGATCAGCAAGAAGGTTTTGAAAGACTTTGACTTTTAAGTTGACTTAGGAGACAAGATGAGGAAGAGGTACTTGTGGGACTTCCAAGAGGAAATGCCCAGTCACAGAGCAGGCCCTTTAAACCTAAGATAGTGAATTGGGGCATCCTGGGGTAGGAGAAGGACTGGAGAAGACCCAGGGGTGGGGTATGCAATTAGCAGACCTTGGTTTGAATGTCACCTCTGCCCTTCCCAGCTGAATCATCCTGGGCAAATTTTTTCCTTCCTTCTTTCCTTCCTTCCTTCCTCCCTTCCGTCCTTCCTTCTTTCCTTTCTTCCTTCCTTCTTTCCTTCCTTCCTTCCTTCTTTCATTCCTTCCTTCCTTTCTCTCTTCCTCCCTCCCTCCCTCCCTCCCTTCCTTCCTTCCTTCCTTCCTTCCTTCCTTCCTTCCTTCCTTCCTTCCTTCTCTCTCTCTCTCTTTCTCTCTTTCTTTCTTTCTTTTTTTGAGACAAGGTCTTTCTTTGTCATCCAGGCTGGAGTGCAGTGGTATGAACACAGCTCACTGCAACCTTGACCTCCCAGGCTCAGGTGATCCTCCCAACTGAGCCTCCTGAGTAGTTGGGCCCACAAGCATGTGCCACTACACCCAGCTAATTTTTGTATTATTTTGGTAGAAACAGGGTTTTGCCATGTTGCCCAGGCTGGTCTCAAACTCCTGGGCTTGAGCGATCCTTCTGCCTCAGCCTCTCAAAATGTTGGGATTACAGGCATGAGCCACTGTCCCCAGCCCAAATTATTTCTCAGAAGCTCCTTTTCTTCATTTGCAAATCTGGCAAAACAATACCAATAATGGGATTATTGCAAAGTTTCAATGAAATACTGAAAATAAAGGCTAGAGTGGGGCACATGTAAAAGCCAACTGAAAGTGGGCTCACACATGGGTAGAGGCTATTGGGGAGCTTCACAGGAGCTCTCAGGGTGTGTAGAGAGATGAGCAGAAGGTGTCCAGCTGAGCCTGGGCATGCCTATATTTATGTTTTTGGAGAGGATTGAATATTTGGCCAAAATGCTTTTCAGATCTGCAGTCACTCAAGGAGAAATGGAATGGAATGGGGGAGGGGGCTAGGAAGCCAAGAGGCAGGCTGCATGGCCAGCCTGTCACTCCAGGATGATGGATGAGCCTATTTCAAGGCTTGTAATTAGTGATGACTAGCTTGGAGATCCTTCCCGTGAAGACGCATGTATTCCCTGCTCCTCTGTGCCCAAGAGGCCCTCCTCAGGAATTGGGGCTGGGACTGGAATATAAAGTTTGTCCCCAAACTCTGGCACAGACTTCCAGAGGATGGTGTGCATGTGCTTTTGTACACGTGCATAAATACAAGTATGTGTATATTTTTGCTGCTTCTATCAGTGTGTGCCACTACGCCCAGCTAATTTTTGTATTATTTTGGTAGAGACAGGGTTTTGCCATGTTGCCCAGGCTGGTCTCAAACTCCTGGGCTCAAGTGACCCAGCCACGCTGGCCTCTCAAAGTGCTGGGATTACAGGCATCAGCCACTGAGTCTGGCCCAAGAGAAAGATTAAATAGGGTAAGAAATGGGAAGAATGGGTCAGATGTGGTGGCTCATGCCTATAATCCCAGCACTTTGGGAGGCCAAGCCAGGTGGATCACAAGGTCAGGAGTTCGAGACCAGCATGGCCAATATGGTGAAACTCCATCTCTACTAAAAGTACAAAAGTTAGCCAGGAGTGGTGGTGTGCGCCTGTAGTCCCAGCTGTGTGGGAGGCTGAGGCAGGAGAATTGCTTGAACCCGGGAGGCAGAGGTTGCAGTAAGCTGAGATTGCCTCACTGCACTCCAGCCTGGGTGACAGAGCAAGACTCAGTCTCAAAAAAAAAAAAAAGAAAAAGAAAAAAAGAAATTAGAAGAATGCTTAAAATCTATACTTTTGTCTGGGTCACGTGAAGCAGACTCTCAGTTTCAGAGAAGTTACCTGACTATGACTAGATCCTGTCAATATGCAAATGTGGTAGGCAGACCCTGCTCCAGTGGAGGAAATAATAGAAGCTTCTGTGCTTCTATGGAAGCTACCACTTGCTGCGGTCCCTGGTCGTCAAAGCAGGTCAGGAGAGAAGAGAGGTCCCAATTTGCAAAAGGAGTTTGTTTTTTTTTGGAATAAGGGGGATCCATATTTCCCCAACATTTCTTCCTAAGATTCAAAATTATGGAGAGCTTTGGGATGGATTGGTATAATTTCAACAAAAGCTCAGGACAAGGAATATCACTGAGTTCTCTAACATGAAATTACATTTTGAGAAATGAAAACTTGGTTACTGAGCACAAGTTCTAGAGTCAGATACTGGGGTCTATTCCTGCTTCCACTCTTTACCATCTCTGAGATCTTTTTTTTTGAGACGGAGTCTCACTGCATCGCCCAGGCTGGAGTGTAGTGGCATGATCTCAGTTCACTGCAACCTCTGCCTCCCAGATTTAAGTGATTCTCTTGCCTCAGCCTCCGGAGTAGCTGGGATTACAAATGCCCACCACCACCCCCGACTAATTTTTGGTAGAGATGTGGTTTCATCATGTTGGCCAGGCTGGTCTCGAACTCCTGACCTCAAGTGATCCACCCACCTTGGCATCCCAAAGTGCTAAGATTACAAGCATAAGCCACCACTTCTGGACTTCTGAGATCTTGAATGAGTAGATCAATTGCACTGTAAGGTTTCATTTTTCATCTATAAAAGAGGATAATAATGAGGTGGTACTACTGTATATTATATAAATTTGAATTATACAAACTTGAAAAATTGAAAATCTCCCTAAATTAAAAAAAATCATCAAGGGTTGCATAATTTCAAAATTGGTGGGCTGAGTGGATTGTAAACTATACTCATAACTATTGGTACATGATAGTGGCACTTGAGCTGGTGAAAGTAAATAACTGCCATCACTGCTCATAATTGTGTGAATCAGCTATTGTTTATGTGCATCATAAATTCTGACAGTGACATTTGTGACTAAGGTGCTGTTATTTTAACATTCAGCTTTATCATTTAAAATATTTCCTGTATTCTACAATGATGTCATCTCAGAGTTCATTCATTAAGTCATGGCACTAGTGCTAAAAACACCCTCCAAAATCAATAACTTTGTAATGAAAGTTAGATATGATAAGACACTATGAAAAAGCCCAAATAGCTGTCCTGATATGCCAAGCAGTTAATTTAAGAGTGCCTACTCTGAGAAATATTAGAGATTTTTGTATTTAGAAAATAAACAATAGTTTGAAGACAAGAAATTCTACAATGGTTGAAGATTCTCTCCCTACCTTTTACAGTTATTATTCTGGAAAACTTAGTATCAAATTATCTAAATTTTGAATTATCTAATATATTCAGTAACATATCCTTTTCTTAAGTCATGATCTCTCTTAAATGAAATAACATAATCCATGTAAAATTCTTAACACAGTGCCTGACAGCATGGCAAATGGTTAATGCATGTTAGGTAGATACATGGCTAATGTGGTTATCAACCATGAGTCAAGACAATGTCCTAAGGGTTCATAGGGATGAGGCTGATTCTGACATAGCCTATGGCTCATGTTGGAAGCCTTCTGCTATCCAGAGAGAACTAAAGGTATTGATCTTTGAGAAACAGTGGCTGAACAAGTGTAAAGTGTAAACTTTGGAATCAAAGTTTAAGTCCCCACATCAGCTGTTTAAGAATCTGGAACCGGCCAGGCACAGTGACTCACACCTGTAATTCTAACACTTTGGGAGGCCAAGATGGGTGGATCACTTGAGGTCAGGAGTTTGAGACCAGCCTGGCCAACATGGTAAAACCCCATCTCTACTAAAAATACAAAAATTAGCTGGACACATGGTGGGTGCCTATAATTCCTGCTACTCAGGAAGCTGAGGCAGGAGAATCCCTTCAACCTGGGAAACAGAGGTTGCAGTGAGCCAAGATCGCACCATTGCACTCCAGTCTGGGCAACAGAGAGAGATTCTGTCTCAAAAAAAAAAAAAAAAAAGAATCTGGAACAGCAAAAACATCTCCCTGAAAAGGCAAGTGTCCATGGGGCTATGCAGGACAAGCCTTCAACAATGACACCAAGTGGCAGCAAAGACTCATTGCAATGGAACCCTAATCTCACCTTAAGGTTCTTCCCCAGACAAATCCACGTGTGGAGGGGTCTACAGTTGGGGACAGGAAACAGATCACTGAAAATGGATCTGTGGACATACAGGCCTTTGTCTACCCCAGAGTAGAATTGCAAGGCAGGGCAGAAAGGTGGGGGTTGTAAGGGTGTGTGTGTGTGTGTGTGTGTGTGTGTGTGTCTATGAGTGCATAGCCCTCTGTCCATCTTTCTCAAGGGAAATGGAAATGAAGATAATTTATTTATTTATTATTATAAATACTCAGGCAGCTCTGTATTTATAATAATTTATTCTACAACACAGGCAGCTGGAAGAGCCAGAGATTGTTAAATATGCCACAGAGATAGCAACAGAAGATTCAATTTATATGCAAACGACTTGAAACTTCATGTAACAAAGTGTTTCTAATATTATTATGATCTCGACAAAAGCCCTTGATTCTTTAGGGAAAAACAGAGTGGCAGGTTGCTGGGGAAAGTTGCTAATAGTTGTTTGCAACTATGTAAGACCACATATGGTATACTGGAAAAGTGGCCAGAATTATTCACATTTCGTTATATTAATGCCCTTAGCAGAATGACTTTGCAGGTCTTTTCTTTAACAGGTAGAGATTCTTTCCTTACCTTGAATCTAAACTGGTCTGGTGACTTGCTTTGGCTGCTAGAATGAGGCAGAAGTGATGTTCTAGTAGTTCCTAGCTTCGGATTCAAGAGGCCTTGCATGCATGCCTCTGCTTGCTTTCTTGGACTTTTGCAAACTTCGTATGAATAAGCCAGACTAGCTTCCTGGAAGACCAGAGATCACTTGGATCAGAATTGGTCATCTGGTTGATCCCAGCCAAAGTCTAAAACATGTGAAAGAGCCTATGCAAGCTCAGTGAAATCAAACCTCAACAAACCTTCAGCTAACCCCCAGCTGACTGTAGCAGGTACATAACTGAGGCTACCCTAGATTTGCCAAGCCCACACTGGGTCAATGACTCATTAGCAAAATAAATGTTCAGGCTGGGTGCAGTGGCTTATACCTGTAATCCCGGCACTTTGGGGGGCCAAGGAGGGCAGGTCACCTGAGGTCAGGAGTTCGAGACCAGCCTGGCCAACATAGTGAAACCTCGTTTCTACTAAAGATACAAAAATTAGCTAGGCATGGTGGCACAAGCCTGTAGTCCCAGCTACTCGGGAGGCTGAGACAGGAGAATTGTTTGAACCCAGGAGGCGGAGGCTGCAGTGAGCCGAGATTGTGTCACTGTACTCCAGCCTGGGCAAGACAGAGCAAGACTCCGTCTCAAAACAAAAACAAAAACAAAAAACCAAAACAAAGCAAAATAAATGTTCATTGTTTTAAACAAACGAAAAAAGTGACACATGCCCTCTTATAAGAAAAGCTTCAGAAGAGAAAATATTTAAATTATCTTGGGTGTGGTGGCTCACACCAGTAATCCCAACATTTTGGGAGGCCAAGGCTAGAGGATCTCTTGAGCCCAGGAGTTCCAGACCAGCTTGGGCAACACAGTGAGACTTTTTTTTTTTTTCTCCAAGGCGAAGTCTTGCTCCATCCCCCAGACTGGAGGAGTGCAGTGGCATGATCTCGGCTCACTGCAACCTCCACCTCTTGGGTTCAAGTGATTCTCCTGCCTCAGCCCGCAAGTAGCTGGGATTACATGTGCCTGCTGCCACGCCTTGTTAATTTTTGTATTTTTAATAGAGACGAGGTTTCACCATGTGGGCCAGGCTGGTCTCGAACTCCTGAGCTCAGGTGATCAGCCTGCCTTGGCCTCCCAAAGTGCTGGCATTACAGGCATGAGCCACCGTGCCCAGCTGAGACCCTGTCTTTATAAAAAACAAAAAATGTAGCCAGGTGTGGTGGTGCACACCTGTGGTCCCTGCTACTCAGGAGGCTGAAGTGGAAGGATCACCTGAGCCCAGGAGGTCAAGGCTGCAGTGAACCATGTTCAAGCCGCTGCACTCCAGCCTGGGTGATAGAGCAAGACTCTGTCTCAAAAAATAAAATAAATAAATAAATTCTCTTCATTTCCAGATTTTTCTATGCTTTCCAGATGGGTAGGTATCTCCTCTTTCCCTCTACCTGGATGTGATAACTCATTCATTTAATCATTCATTTCATAGTTTTTTTTTTTAGACAGTCTCTCACTCTGTCACCCAGGCTGGAGTGGAGTGGTACAATCTGGATTCACTGCAACCTCTGCCTTCCAGGTTAAAGTGATTCTCATGCCTCAGCCTCCCGAGTAGCTGGGATTACAGGCATGCACCTCAACACCTGGCTCATTTTTGTATTTTTTAATAGAGACAGGGTTTCGCCATGTTGCCCAGGCTGGTCTCAAAACCCTGGCCTCAAGTGATCTGCCTGCCTCCGTCTCCCAAAGTGCTGGCATTATAGGCATGAGCCACTATGCCCAGCCTCCATAGTTTTTTTTTTTTTAAGTGCAAGACACTTTGATAAGCTCTGTAGGGTCACATGGTGCAGGGAGTAAGAAGACACAGATTTAAGTTACAGTCAAGTTTGGGCAGAAAGGAAATAAGCCTGCCCAAATAAGTTATCTACTACACTTGAATTTGGATAATGTGGGATCGATTTGCAGCAGTCTGACCTTTGGATAGTTACTTAACCTCTCTGAGTTTTGGCTTCATCATTTCACAAACGGGAACATTACCGGGCTCAGCATGATTGGAAGGGTCAAAGAGATTTGACCCCCACAGGGGTCAGAATCACCTTCCACCTCCTGACTTTGTTGGTTCACAATTCAGGTTGGTGCTGAGCACCACCTTCATCATGTCAGGATCTCCCCAAGGAGAGGGGAATCTTCCTGAATTTGGGGGGTGCCTTTGCTTTCAACAGTTCCTCACATAAGAATCAAAGCGGGACCCACCCAGACAGGAATTTGGGGTCTTCCCAGCAGCCTGAGAGATTGACTTTGGGAAACTGAGAAGGGAAGGTGTGGGGTGGTTAAATTTATGTGTCAATTTTACTGGGCTAAGGGATGCCCAGACAACTGGTAAGATATCATTTCTGGGTGTGTCTGTGAGGTTGTTTCCTGAAGAGACTGGTATTTGAGCTGGTAGACTGAGTAAAGAAGATTGTTTTCACTAGGCCGGGCACAGTGGCTCACACCTGTAATGCCAGCACTTTGGGAGGCTGAGGTGGGAAGATCACTTGGAGTCAGGAGTTTGAGACCAGCCTGGTCCACATGGTGAAACCCCGTCTCTACTAAAAATACAAAAGTTAGCTGGGCTTGGTGGTGCACGCCTGTAATCCCAGCTACTTGGGAGGCTGAGGCAGAACTACTTGAACCCGGGAGGTGGAGGTTGAGTAAGCCAAGATTGCACCACTGCACTCCAGCCTGGCCGACAAAGCAAGACTCCATCTCGGAAAAAAAAAAAAAAAGAAAACCTGTCTCTACTAAAAATACAAAATTAGCCAGGTGTGGTAGTGCATGCTTGTAATCCCAGCTACTTGGGAGGCTGAGGCAGGAGAATCACTTGAACCCAGGAGGCAGAGGTTACAGTGAGCCGAGATTGTGCTATTATACTCAAGCCTTGGCAACAAAAGAGAAACTTTGTCTCAAAAAAAAAAGAGTCATAAGAGGTGCTATTAAATCTCAGTTTCATCATTTCCTAACTACAGGACTTTGAACAAGACTTAGCCTCTCTGAATTTACCATATAAATTTATTGTGAAGATTAAATGCCTGCAAAACTCTTAGCAGACTGCCTATGTTCCCAACGTTAGCTACTGTCATTATTGTTGTCAGAGTTGTTGCAGACAAATAAGCAAGATAGGGGCTGTGAGAAATGGACTGCATGAATAGTCCCCAATTAACGTCTCTTTGCCCTGTCACTTTGTAGTGCTTTTCCAGTCTAACTCTAGGTTTGGTCCTGTGATTTGCTTTGGCTGCAGGACAATGGTAAACAAAAAGAGACTGGCTGTTTGACTCTTTTCCATTACAGACTAGCCTGTTGGAAGGACATACAAGACATGTAGAAGAGCCAAGTTGTCCTGGTGTCATGGCTGAGGCCACAGAAGACCAGTCATCCCCTAACCAACCCAACAACTATACCTTACAGATGTATGAATGAGCCCAGGGAAGATCAGCCAGGTTCAGCCCAGATCAGCAAAACACCTAGTCAACTCTGAAACTTACATAAAATAACAAAGGGTTGCTGTTTGAAGCCACTAAGTTTAACGTGACTTACTATACAGCAATAGCTGGCTGATACAGGAACCATGGGCGCTCTTGTCCTTTAGTATTGAAGCAGCTGATATTCAAAGGCAAAGGAGAGGTATGGTGTGCCTACAATCCCAGCACTTCGGGAGGCTGTGTTAGGATGATTGCTTGAGCCCAGGAGTTGGAGACCAGCCTAGGCAACATAGTAAGACCCTGTCTTTACAAAAAATTTAAAAATTAGCTGGGCATGGTGGCAAGCCCATGTGGTCCCACCTACATAGGAGGCTGAGATGGGAGGATTGTTTGAGCTCAGGAGGTTAAGGCTGCAGTGAACCATGATCTCACCACTGTACTCTAGCCTGGGTGACAGATTGAGACCCTGCCTAAAAAAAATAAAAAATAAAAAATAAAAAAACAAAGGCAAAGCAGAGAAAGTCATGGTCTGTCAGGTTTTATTTATAGAGTCTGGTGAACTTGAACTAGAGAAAGCTGCAAAAAGTGGTTTGGAGAGCATGGCAGGGCCATGGAGAAGGGCTAATAGAAGCAGGTCCCTTGCCCAGACCCTCAGGGAGCCCTTTTGGTGGATAGCGGACACCTGAGGCAGGAGGTGGCAGGGGCCAAGTCCAGGCAGGCAGCAGCAGGGCTGCAACTGAGAGCTGAGGCTGGAGAGGTAGCGCTCGCCCTAACCTGATCCTGCAGGTCTCAGGCCCTGGGGTCATATACTCGCCCCATGAAGACAGGGAACTTGTGCTGCTGGTCCCAGAGCACGAAGAGGAAGGGCTGCTGCACTTCAAAGACCAGCAGGGTGCGGGCCACAGAGATGGCGGAGGCTGCAGCCGCCTCCACCCCAGTCTCTGTCAGTTCCAGCACTGTCTGGTGCTGCATCGCAGAAACCTGAAGATCTGGGTCCTCTGTCAGCCCACACAGGTTAAGGTCATAAGAAAAATCGAAGAATTCTAGGGCAAAACCAGAGAAAAACAGAGTCAGAAGCCAGCATGATACCCTCAGCTGATGGAGACCTTTGTCCTGAATTCTCTGGGTTCATCCTGAGTCCCAGTGCTCTCTTCCTCTTCCCTTGTTTGCCAGATTACATACTGTACCCTCTGGCAGTTCGTGGGATCCTCTATTAGTGGGCCCAACACTGCCACTCTCTCTCAAGGTGAGAGGCCTTGCCCCTCATCCCTAAAACAACCCTGAAAAATGATGTCATTGCCTCCTTATCTCCCAGGACCTTGGAAGTGAGGTAATAGATCAGAGATAGGTCATATATGAAAAAATGAGGTTATATGCAATGCCATGATGCTGTGAAATAATGGGAAAATATGCTATAGGAGCATCTTTAGCTCCAAATATTAGACCATCTAATATTTGGTCTCCGATCCCAGTTCCTGACACAGAGCTACTAGATCCCTTGGAATTTCCTGGGTCATAGGAATGCCTTTTGTGCTAATGAGGCTACTCCTGCTGGCTCCTGGATTGGGGCTGGTCACCAGAAAGACCAAGTGTGATTAGAAGCTTGGAACTTTCAGCCCCTCTCTCCATCCTCTGGGGAGAAGAGAGGAGCTGGAGATTGGGTAATAATCAATCATGCCTACATGATGACTTCTCCTAAAGTACAGGGTTCTGAGAGTTTCTGGTTGGTGAACACATACATGTGTCAGGAAGGTAGCAAACAGAACTCCACAGGATAGATGCTGCTGGGCCCAGGACCCTTCCAGATTTTGCCCTATGTATCTCTTCAACTGGCTGTTCATCTGTATCCTTTACTTAATCCTTTACATAATAAACCAGTAAATGTAAGTGTCTCCTGAGTTTTGTCAGCTATTCTAGCAAATGATGAAACCCTAGCAGGGAGTTGTGGGAATCTCCAAATTATAGCTGGTTGGTCTGATGCACAGGTGACAACCCAGTCTTGTAACTGACATTGGAAACGGGGGGAAATTTGCTGGGGCGGAGCACTTAAACTGCACGGGATCTGATGTTATTTCCAGGTAGAGTGTTAGAATTGGATTCAATTGTAGGACACCCAGTTGGTGTCCCCAGATAACTGGAGAATTGCTTAGAAAACACTCCCACACCTGTTTGGTGGCCAGAAGTGTTGAATGAAAATAAAAAAGAGGTTTTCTTCCTATACAGATGACATATACAAGGAAATGGAATCATGTGTTAGGCGGTCAAATTCTCTAACAAGAAATGAAGTGACAGGGCTGGACATGAGATCAAAGGTTAGAAAATGAGGCTGGGCACAGTGGCTCACACCTGTAATCCCAGCACTTTGGGAAGCCGAGGTGGGTGGATCACTTGAGCCCAGGAGTTCAAGACCAGCTTCACCAACATGGTGAAACCCCATCTCTACTAAAAATACAAAAAAATTAGCTGGGCGTGGTGGTAGGTGCCTGTAATCCCAGCTACTTGGGAGGCTGAGGTAGGAGAATCACTTGAACCCAGGAGGCGGAGGTTGCAGTGACCCAAGATCATGCCACTGCGCTCCAGCCTGGGTGACAGAGTGAGGCTCCGTCTCAAAAACAAACAAACAAAAAAACAAAGGTTAGAAAATGGAGTCTCTGGGCTGGGCGCGGTGACTCATGCCTGTAATCCCAGCACTTTGGGAGGCCGAGGCAGGTGGATCACAAGGTCCGGAGATTGTGACCATCCTGGTTAACACAGTGAAACCCCGTCTCTACTAAAAATACAAAAACAAAATTAGCCAGGCGTGGTGGCGGGCACCTGTAGTCCCAGCTACTCGGGAGGCTGAGGCGAGAGAATGGCATGGCGTGAATCTGGGAGGCGGATCTTGCAGTGAGCAGAGATCGCACCACTGCACTCCAGCCTGTCCTGGGTGACAGAGCAAGACTCCGTCTCAAAAAAAAAAAAAAAAAAGAAAATGGAGTCTCTGTTGCCTCTCGTAAACTCAGAAGCCTCCAGATCTGCACTTCCAGATAGCTTCTTGCATATTCCACGGGGTGGCTGACTGTTTTGAAATGTGTCTGGGGAAGGAGCATCCATAATTCACCTCGGTTACCTGTCCCACTGTTCCACTGCCTATGTCACAAGGAACCATAGAAAAAACTCAGGAGAGCTGGAGACCTGGGTCGGTGTTCTGGTTTGCCTCTGACTAGCTCAAGGGTAAATCATGGAATCTCTGGGTAAGTCACATAAAGCTTCTGAGCCTCCATTTCCACAATGATCCAATGGGATAATAGCACCTACCCCTCTAACTTGCAGGGTTGCAGGACAAACTGAGATTATGGATGTAAAAAATACTCTAGAGAATGCTAACTACATCTTAGGGATCCCCCCTTTCTCCTCTGATGGCCTGGGAGTAACCCTAAGCTGCCAGAGCTCACCCAATTTCTCCATGATTGAGAGCATATCCTGGCTGGTCGTCACTTTGATGCGGGGTAGTGTTAGGAGAGTGGGCTGGAACTTGGACATCTCCAGTTTCTCCATGATGGCCTTGAAAACAGAAGGGCTGAGAGCCTGTTCCATGTCTTCAAGACGATGTTTCAGGTTCTGGGGTACCAGGATCACCAAACTCAGATTGTGGGAGAGCTGCAGCTGCCCCACCTAGAAAATAAGAGATGCATCTTAACAGTCTTCCTACCGCATCTCTCTCCTGGCCCCACCCTCTGTCACAATGCTGTCCTGCAGTCTGCTCCCACAGTCTGTATTTCAACAAGCATCAGTCAGACCTAAGCTTCCAGGCTTTACCATGAAATGGGGATACCAGCTGGGTGAACAGTGCTGATCCAACTCTGTGCTGGGGAGAGGTAGAGGAAGGAGCATGAGTTTCTGATTATACCCTGACTCCACCACTGACGAGCTATGTAATATGGGCAAGTGATTTGATTTCTCTGAGCGCTGTTCCCTTCCTTCCTAATGTGTTGTGCATATAGTATATAGCATGCACATTGAACCGCCAGAGTTATCAGGTCAGCCTCTGTAAAAACTATTGATGGCTCTTCACTGCCTATGAGAATAAGTACAAATCTTAGTATGGCATTCAAGATTGTTCACAGCCTACCTTTCCACTTTGCTATTAGAAGGACTTTTGGTCATGCACGGTGGCTCACACCTGTAATCCCAGCACTTTGGGAGGCCGAGGTGGGCGGATCACGAGGTCAAGAGATTGAGACCATCCTGGCCACCATGATGAAACCCCACCTCTACTAAAAATACAAAAATTAGCTGGGTGGTGGCACGTGCCTGTAATCCCAGCTACTCAGGAGGCTGAGGCAGGAGAATTGCTTGAACCCGGGAGGTGGAGGCTGCAGTGAGCCGAGATCATGCCACTGCACTCCAGCCTGGTGACAGAGCGAGACTCCATCTCAAAAAGAGAAAAAAAAAAGAAGAAGGACTTTCAACTGGTGACCAGACAAAAGTATGTAAGAAGTGCAGGGCCCCTGGGTTTAATACAGGGGTTGTCAACTCGGAGTGAATTTGCCTCTCAGTGGACATTTGGTAATGTCTGGAGACATTTTGGTTGTCATAGCTGGCAGGGGGCAAGGAGGATGTGCACACAGTGCTACTGGCTTCTAGTGAGTAGAAGCTAAGGAAGATGCTAAATTCTACAATGCACAGGACAAAGAATTATCTGACCCAATATGTCAATAGTGCCAAGGCTGAGAAACCCTAGTCTAATAGGATATGAGACTGTCATTAAATGGTATTATGATTGAGGCTGAAGGAACAAAAAGAATCTAGAAGAATGCAGAATTCAACTGGGCAATAAAGAAATTAACTGAAAGCAATCAATTGTCGGAACCTGAATAGCCCAGAAGAAGTAGATAGTAAGCCAATTTCGACTGAAAAGAGTGGACATGGGGTCCCTGTTGATGTAGCACTCAAGTTGGATATACTCATTTGAGTAGCATGTGCCCTTCAAGTCCTATGTATGAACCTTGAATCTCTGAAGAAAAATTTACCATGCTGTGGTCTTGAATTTTCAAGCCAGTAACCTCGGTGTACCTGAGCCGGTAAATCTCACCCCCTTCCTTGGGTAAATATCCTTAAGTGCCAGGAAGATTTAGAATTTAGTATAAGAATGACAAAAGAAACCAACTTCATCATGTTAAAACCAGGTGTTAAGTTCAGGGTAACCTGTATGTTTGTTATTTAAAATAGTGATTGTAATTTTTAAGAGACTCTGACATGCTAGTTTTATGCTTTTAAGCAAAGTTGTAGGATAATTTCATTAAATGTGAGAATGATATTGGAATGTTGGCTAGAAGTTAATTCACCCTTCAAATTTAATTTTCAGTTTACAAGTGAGCTTTAGGTGTTAGGATGATATGGCCAAGCACAGTCGTAATTACGACCTGTCAGGTATTAGATGTGTTTAAAAAGAAAATCAGCTGGGTGAGGTGGCTCATGCCTGGAATCTCAGCTACTTAAGAGGCTAGGGTGGGAGGACTGCTTCATCCCAAGGAGCTTGAGGTTACAGTAAGTGAGGATTGTGTCACTGTACTCCAGACTGGGTGATAGAGTAAGACCCTGTCTGGGAAAACTACATAAATAAATAAAAGAAAAAAGAAAATCGAGCATATTAAATTTTTAAAGGGAGCTTAAAATGCTTATGGGAATACTAATTATGTTTGTAGATAGAAAAAATGGTTTAAAGGAGTTTAATCTGTTCAATATGGCAATTAATTCAAGAACAAATGAGAGTGTTTTTATATAAAAATCACCCTATTTTTTTTTTTCTGAGACAAGGTCTCACTCTGTCGCTCAGGCTGGAATGCAGTGGCATGATCTCGGCTCACTGCAACCTTCGCCTCCCGGGTTCAAGCGATTCTTCTGTCCCAGCCTCACAAGTATCTGGGATTACAGGCGTGCACCATCACACCCGGCTTATTTTTTGTATTTTTAATGGAGATGGGGTTTCACAATGTTGGCCAAGCTGGTCTCGAACTCCTGACCTCAGGTGATTCACCTGCCTCGGCCTCCCAAAGTGCTGGGATTACAGGCGTGAGCCACTGTACCCAGCCTATTCTTTTTTTGTGTTTTGAGACAGAGTCTTGCTGTGTTGCCCAGGTTGGAGTGCAGTGGCGCGATTTTGGCTCACTGTAACCTCTGCCTCCCAGGTTCAAGTGATTCTGTGCCTTAGCATCCTGAGTAGCTGGGATTACAGACATGTGCCACCATGCCTGGCTAATTTTTGTATTTTTAGTAGAGACAGAATTCCACCATGTTGGCCAGGCTGGTCTCAAACTCTTAGCTTCAAGTGATCCACCTGCCTCAGCCTCCTAAAGTGCTGGGATTATAGGCATGAGCCACTGCGCCCAGCCAAATCACCCTACTCTTAATGTAGCAAGTTCAGCTTAAAATTAAAAGGCATAAGTAAAATTTTAATTTTGCATTTGTTAGTACATTAAATTAATTATCTGTTTAAAACCTAAGGAACTCTAAATAGTGGCTTTTGTGCACAAAACTACTCCTCCTCCTTTGGCTTAAAAAAAAAAAAAAAACTCAGGCTGGGTGCAGTGGCTCACGCCTGTAATGCCAGCACTTTAGGAGGCCGAAGACGGACGAGCACTTGAGGTCAGGAGTTCATGACCAGCCTGGCCAACATGGTGAAACCCCATCTCTACTAAAAATACAAAAATTAGCTGGGAGTGGTGGCAGGCACCTATAATCCCAGCTACTAGGGAGGCTAAGGCAGGAGAATCGCTTGAACCTGGGAGGCAGAGGTTACAGAGAGCTGGGATTGTGCCACTGCACTCCGGCCTGGGCAACAGAATGAGACTTTATCTCAAAAGAAAAACAAACAAACAAACAAAACTCATATTGGCTTGGGGAGATAGAAATTACTCTTCATATTATACCTGCTTTGTATTTGAATATTTATTATTGATATTATATGTCCAGAATGCTCACCTTAACCTATCACCTCACCTCAATGGTTTCAACAGTCTACTCCCAAGGGATTTTTACAATGATTTTTGGTTTAGAGTTTTGTGTGAAACTTTAAAAACATTTTTAGAGAGGAAATACTTGTTCTTATAATTCGAATAGTTACATTTAAACCTAACTTGTTAAGTTCTTAATTCCTACTTTCCACCTAACATCTATGGCTTTGATTAAATAGCCATTCCAATTGATTTGAAAAAAATCTCATATTTATACCTCCCCCAACGTATCTTGAATTTGAACAATGCTCTGGACCTGTCACATATATTCACTCTTCTGTGCCTTATACAGGCTGTCCTGGTTCTGCTAAATGAGTCATGAATGGTCAAATACATTAGATAGGGATGGATAGATGGGTGGATAAGTCCATGAGTGGATAAATAACTGAGCAAAGAATGGTCAAAAATAACCTCCTCAGCTGGGCGCTGTGGCTCATGCCTGTAATCCCAGCCCTTTGGGAGGCTGAGGGTGTGGATCACTTGAGGTCAGGAGTTCGAGACCAGCTTGGCTAACATGGTGAAACCCCGTCTCTACTAAAAATACAAAAATTAGCCAGGTGTGGTGGCGGGCTCCTGTAGTCCCAGCTACTTGGGAGGCTGAGGCAGGAGAACTGCTTGAACTCGGGAGGCAGAGATTGCAGTGAGCTGAGATCATGTCAATGCACTGCAGCTTGAGTGACAGAGTGAGACCCTGTCTCGAAAAAAACCCTCCTCTATGAAGTCTTCCAGCCACTTTTACTGAGTAGCTCTCTTTGGCACCCTCTATTTCATTCATTCATTTATTCAGCAAACACTGAATGAGCACCTATGATAGGAGGCATTGTTCTAGGCACTACAGATACAGAAGGAAACAAGACAGGTTCCTGTATTCAAGTAGAGAGACAGTATCTTAGGGAGACAGACAATGTCCTAGGCAAATAAGCAAATAAATGACATAATTTCAGATGGTGATGAGTGTAATGAATATAATAAAACAGGAGTGATATTACAGGGTGAGGAGGAGGCTGCTTTAATGGGGAGAAGACTTCTCCACCAAGGTGACCTCTGAGCTGACACCCAAATGACAAGAAGGAACAAGCTATGTGAGGATCTGAGTGAAGAGGGATACAGGCAGAAACAAAAGCTAAGGAAAGCTCCCAATGTGGAACCAAGCCTAGCATGTTCCAAGAACAGAGCCTTTGTTTCTCAGCCAGGTATTGAGACATTGTCTCTTACTGTTTTCTGTCTCATAGGTCTGTGTTTTGCCATCCTAAAAAGGTGGAAATATCTGGTAACTGGGGATGAGATAGCTTGCCAGTTGGGATCCTCTGGGCTCCATATTCTGTCTTCTCTCCCTCCCTACTCATCAAACTAAATTGTTCAATTTCTGCTAATGCACTTAAGCCATTTAACTCATGTGCACACATGCACTTACCACATATATGCATATACAAGGATATACTTATACACGTCTACACATGTATATGTATGCTGTACACAGGTACCCACATACACACAGGACTTGCTAAGCCACCAGAGTCTTCTGATGAGTTGACTGGAAAAAGAAACAGATGTGTAGAATAGGAACACGACTCACATTTTGCCATTCAATATAGTAGAGATGCATGAAGAAACTTGAGAATCCTGTTTCCAGCCTAAAATATACAATGTCTGCCTTGGCCAAGGCTAGAGAAAGGAGAAGGAGAAAAGATAGGGTGGAAATACAGATGGAAGGAGTAGAAGTGATGAATTTGTAAGCATGTACCCCAAAATGATGGGACTACAGCAGAAAAAAAGTCAGGAGACTCAAGTAGGTTTCAAACAGGAGAAGGAAAGGTTAAGAACTTACCTTGGCTTTCAAAGTTTGGTCAATGAAATGGGCCACAGGGTACTTCTTGCTATTCATCATGGGCACTTTTATAACTGAGTTTTTGAAGTGAAAGGGTTCCATTCTGGTTTTCTTGGGATCAAATGTTGTCTTCCACTTGGCTAGAGGGAAGAGGTGGGAGGGTTGCTCTAATGCAGGTAGGAAAAGGATGAAGAGGAGCTAAAAGCCTTGTTAGCAAAGAGTAGTGCAGGGACATTGAGATCCGATTGTAGAACTTGGGGTTAAGTGGGCTTTGAAGCCAGGAGGGGAAGAAGGACCCAGAATGGGAAGACTAACTGGCTAAGGGCACCCTTACCACTCAGGTAGATAGCATTGAGGAGGACAAGGCGGGTATCGGAGGGCAGACTGTCTAGCAGCCGGCTGATCTTGTTGTTGGTGTTCTTGGCCACCCAGGTGTTGATGAGCTCCAAGTTGGCGTCACTGTTGTTGCTTAGGACTCTGGGGCTGCTGCTGTACAGGGTCCGAGAGGCATTCACAAAGGTGTCCCTTATGGCCAGGTCTGGGGGTATGTTGAGAAAGGGAGGCATGAGTCCTGAACACGTCGTTCTTTCCATGAGCACGATTTGAGAGTGAGCATGCTTTCTATGGTTCTATCTGCTCACTTAGTGAATACGGCATGGTGGAGCGCGGTCCAGCCCACTCCTCTTACAGATGTGGCAAATAAGGCCCAAAGAAGGTAAACCCAGAACCAAGAACAAGAGAAGTAGCCCCAAGCCTCCGCTGCCTCAGCTTGCTATGTGACTATGGCTCGGCAAGATAATCTTTTTGAGATATTAAATTCCATTTGCCTAGATTTTCCCTCTTTTCTTCCCTTAATTTTGGCACGGAATAGACTCTGCTTCCTGGCCTTGGTGGAAGTTTGTGACAAAACTTCCTGGCTTTTGCTCTGCAAAAGCCTTCAGTCCACTGAAAAAAAAAAAAAAAAAGCACTTGAAAGATAATTTTTCTAGGACTAAGTAGATTAAAGATATTTTCCCCAGCTGGGCATGGTGGCTCACACCTGTAATCGCAGCACTTTGGGAGGCCAAGGTGGGTGGATCACTGGAGGCCAGGAGTTCAAGACCAGCCTGTAATCCCAGCTATTCGGGAGGCTGAGGCAGGAGAATCACTTGAATCTGGGAGACGGAGGTTGCAGTGAGCTGAGATGGTGCCACTGCATTCCAGCCTGGGCGACAGAGCGAGATTCTGTCTCAAAAAAAAAAAAAAGATATTTTCCCAGGCTTTGCTGATGCCTAAGTACAACATAAGACCAAGAACCTTGCTTGGCACAGCTCCAGTGTGCAGCTAGATGGGGATAGAAGCCCTAATATTGAATGCTGTTACGTATTTTTCACCAACCTAGCAAGACAGCGGATAAAGCTGACTTACAGCTTTGTAAGTAATAAATAAATGCAACATTTCTTGAACACCTCTGAGCCATGTTTTTCCCACATCTGAAAGAGGGTGTTTTTCAGATGATGGGGTGATAGGTGAGTTTTTAAAATTTAAATTAAATTTTTTTTTTTTTAGAGACAGGGTCCTACTCTGTTACCCAACCTAGAGTACAGAGGCATAAACATAGCTCACTCTAACTTCGAATTCCTTGGCTCAAGCAATCCTCCCGTCTCAGTCCTTCATAGCTGGAACTACAGACACGTACCACACCCGGATAATTTTTAAAATTTTTTGTAGAGATGAGGTCTGTCTATGTTGCCCAGAGGCTAGTCTCGAAATTCTAGCCTCAAGCAATCCTCCTACCTCAGCCTCTCAGTGTTGGAATTACAGGCACACTGAGCCAGACCTAAGTATTGTTTTTACAGTTTAAAAAAAAACAAAAAACAAAAAAAACAGCTTAAAAAAAAGTTTTCCTTTTTTTTTTAAAAAGGGAGGTGGGTAGATTAGTTCAATGGTTATCAAACATTTTAAAGCAGCAGAACTGCTTTCAAACAAAGGCATGTCTGAAGCCCACAATATAAAATGGACCCTGGCTGAGGCTGGGTGGGGAGCTCAGAGCCCAGCTGGTCCGTTTCCCTCTCACAGGAAGTGGTGAACCCTTCCCCACTGCTCAGGCTCCCCACACCCCACTCCCACCATGACTCCAGAAACAGCTTTGCAAAGTCCTAGGGCTCCGAGGAACAAAGTCTGAAAACAACTACATTGGATCGTTTTGTAAGTTTATTATTAGTATTATCATTATTACCTACTTAATAACATAATACATGTAAATGATAACAAATTCACATAACACAAAAATTAAAAGAATTAGAGTCCCAAGACTCCTTTGACCCAAAAATGAGCAAAAAAATTTTTTGTCTATTTTATGTCTATAGCTCTCTAGCCCTCTAGCCCTATATATTAATGAATGCATATGGGTATTCTTCTTTTTTTTTTTTTTTTTGAGACAGAGTCTCGGTCTGTCACCCAGGCTGGAATGCAGTGGTGCGATCTCAGCTGACTGCAACCTCTGTCTCCCAGGTTGAAGTTATTCTCCTGCTGGGACTACAGGCGCGTGCCACCACACCTGGCTAATTTTTGTATTTTTAACAGAGACAGGGTTTCCTGGTGTTGGCCAGGCTGGTCTTGAACTCCTGACCTCAAGTGATCCGCCCACCTCAGCCTCCCAAAGTGCTGGGATTACAGGTGTGAGACACCGCGCCTGGCCCGCCCGCCCCATTTTTTTTTTTTTTTTTTGAGATGGTGTCTCGCTCTGTTGCCCAGGCTGGAGTGCAGTGGCGCAATCTCGGCTCACTGCAAGCTCCGCCTCCCGGGTTCATGCCATTCTCCTGCCTCAGCCTCCCAAGTAGTTGGGACCACAGGCGCCTGCCACCATGCCCGGCTAAGTTTTGTATTTTTTTGGCAGAGACAGGGTTTCATCTTGTTAGCCAGGATGGTCTTGATCTTCTGACCTCGTGGTCCGCCCGCCTCAGCCTCCCAAAGTGCTGGGATTACAGGCATGAGCCACCGCGCCCGGCCTTTTTTTTTTGAGACAGAGTCTTGCTCTGTCATCCAGGCTGGAGTGCAGTGGCGCGATCTCGGCTCACTGCAGCCTCTGCCTCCCAGGTTCAAGCGATTCTCCTGCCTCAGCCTCCTGAGTAGCTGGGATTACAGGTGCACACCACCATGCCAGGGTAATTTCTTGTATTTTCAGTAGAGACGGAGTTTCACTATGTTAGTTAGCCAGACTGGTCTCGAACTCCTGACCTTGTGAATCGCCTGCCTCGGCCTGCCAAAGTGTTGCGATTACAGGCGTGAGTCACCGCGCCTGGCCTTTTTTCTTTCTTCCTTTTTTTTTTTTTGAGACAGAGTTTTGCTGTTTCACTCAGGCTGGAGTGAAGTGGCATGATCTCAGCTCACTGCAACCTTCACTCTCTTGGGTTCAAGCGATTCTCCTGCCTCAGCCTCCTGAGTAGTTGGGATTATAGGCGCCTGCCACCATGCCAGGCTAATTTTTGTGTTTTTAATAGAGACAGGGTTTTGCCATGTTGGCCAGGCTGGTCTTGAACTCCTGACCTCAGGTGTTCCACCCACCTCAGCCTCCCAAAGTGCTGGGATTACAGGTGTGAGCCACCATGCCCAGCCGTACCCCCAACTTTTTTTTTTTTAATGGAGACAGGTTTCGCCATGCTGCCCAGGCTGGTCTTGAAGGCCTTGGCCTCCCAAAGTCCTAGCATACCTTCAACTCCTTGAACTTACAGATGAGAGCCACCATGCCCGGCCCGGCTTTCTCCTTCTTTGTTTTTTTTTTTGTTTTTGTTTTGTTTTTGTTTTTTTTTTTGAGACGGAGTCTTGCTCTGTCGCCCAGGCTGGAGTGCAGTGGCGTCATCTCGGCTCACTGCAACCTCCGCCTCCCAGGTTCAAGCAATTCTCCTGCCTCAGCCTCCTGAATAGCTGGGATTACAGGTGCCCGCCACCATGCCCAGCTAATTTTTGTATTTTTAGTAGAGACAGGGTTTCACCATGTTGGTCAGGCTGGTCTCGAACCCCTGACCTCGTGATCCACCTGCCTCGGCCTCCCAAAGTGCTGGGATTACAGGTGTGAGCCACCACGCCCAGCCTGGCTTTCTGCTTCTTAATCTTTTGAGGTAGATAGCATCATCACTATTTTACTGTACCTGCCCGGTTATTTTTATTCTAAAGCAGTTGATGAATGCCAGAGACTTGTCTAAGGTCTCATTAGAAGAACAGTCTAGTTCCTGGAGTGACCTAATGCTCCTGCCAAGGTCTTCACCTGCTCTGCAGTCCATCCCTGATACTGTAGCTCCAACATTCCCTCTGTCCTTTCTTTCCCCAGCGCTGGGTCCCCCTTCAGAGTCCTCTCAGGACCCTCCTCTGCAGACACTGCCCATTCCTGGGCACTCACCTGGGCTGTGGAAGATCTGAGAGACTGAGGTGACACCTTTGGTCGTGAAGCCCTTCAGGGCCTGGTGGACACAGGTGAAGTCCTTGGGGTAAGAGAGGATGCTCTCCAGGTTTGTTTTGGTGTTCTCCCCAGCCCCTGCAACAAAGGGCAGAGATGAAAGATACTTGCAGGATGAGTCGGGGGCCTTCCTTGGGAATGAGGGTTGGGGACCAGGCTGGAATGGAGGGTATTCCCTGCTTTGGAGGGGATCACAGATCATCTGAGCTGGAAGTGTTCTCTCAATCTCTCTTTTTTTTTTTTTTTTTTTTTTTTTTGAGACAGAGTCTTGCTTTGTTGCCCAGGCTGGAATGCAGTGGTGCAATCTCAGCTCACTTGAATCTCCAGGTTCAAGCAATCCTCCCACCTCTGCCTCCCAAGTAGCTGGGACAATAAGCATGCATCACTATGCCTGGCTAATTTTTGCATTTTTAGTAGAGATGGGGTTTCAACATGTTGGCCAGGCTGGTCTTGAACTCCTGCCTTGGCCTCCCAAAGTGCCAGGATTATAGGTGTGAGTCACCGTGCCCAGCCAAGAAAGATTCTGTAGCCTTTTTAGAATTCTCTCTGGGGAGTAATAGCTCTGTCCCCACTGCTTGTAGTAATTTGTTTGTGCCATTCCTAGGGTAATTACCAAATGGGACTTGACAGTAATCCCTCAAGATGGCAGAGGATTTACATTTTTTTGACCTCCCACTAAGTCAGACACTAGGCTGCTTCTTTTTTTTTTTTGAGACAGAGTCTTGCTCAGTCTTCCCAGGCTGGAGTGCAGTGGCATGATTTCGGCTCACTGCAACCTCTGCCTCCCGTGTTCAAGTGATTCTCCTGCCTCAGCCTCCTGAGTAGCTGGGGTTACAGGTGTGCACCACCATGCCTAGCTAATTTCTTTTTATTTTTAGTAGAGACGGGGTTTCACCATGTTAGTCAGGCTGGTCTCGAACTCCTGACCTCGTGATCTGCCCGCCTCGGCCTCCTAAAATGCTGGGATTACAGGTGTGAACCACCGCATCCGGCCTGGCTTTCTGCTTCTTAATCTTTTGAGGTAGATAGCATCATCACTATTTTACACAAGAGGACTCAAGGCTCAGAGAGGTTAAAGTGATCTGCCCAAGGTCACAGAGCTAGAAGGCAGTACTAACCACATCTACTCTAGGTCTATCTCTGATAATTTTTTTTTTTTTTTGAGACAGAGTCTCGCTCTGTCACCCAGACTGTAGTGCAATGGTGCGGTCTCGGCTCACTGCAACCTCCACCTCCTGGGTTCAAGCGATTCTCCTGCCTCAGCTGCCCAAGTAGCTGGGATTACAGGCATGCACCACCACTCCCTGATAATTTTTGTATTTTTAGTAGAGACAGGGTTTCACCATGTTGGCCAGGCTGGTCTTGAACTCCTGACCTCAGGTGATCCACCCGCCTTGGCCTCCCAAAGTGCTGGGATTACAGGCGTGAGCCACTGCGCCTAATTTCATCTTTCTTATCACCTCTCCTTGCCATGAAACATGGTTAGTGGCTGCGACCTTATTTTATATGTTCTTGTATAGTCACAGAGTTTTACAAGCAATCGTGCCTATTACATCACTGTGAAATGATGGAATGTTCAAGAATGAAAAGATACATCCCTCTACCCCACCCCCAATATATAATAGCCCATTTTTACAGCTTCTTCCCAGAGGCATGGCTTTGTAAGTGTCTGGATTGGTGACTCTTATGGGAGTGTCCAACAAATGACCTGGAGAGAATTCAAGCAGGGTCTTACCGAGCAGGACCTGGGTAAGGAGGCTGGCGATGCTGAATGGGGAAAAGGCCATGTTGGTCTCCACCTTCTTCATTGCTGAGAAGGCGTGGTAGAGCTTCAGGGAGAAATCTACCAAAGCATCCCCCAACACGGCCTCTGTTGAATGACTCTCCAAGTCAGAGCAGAGAGTAACAGGTCCTGGGCAGAAGGACCCAGTAGTGGGCTGGGTAGGAGAATCTGTTGGGAGCTGGGTAGTTGGTTGGGTGGGTTGGATGGTGGGTTGGGTGGTGGGCTCTGTGGTGGGTTGTGTGGTGGGTTCATCAGTGGTATTAGCTGTTATTTTGGTGGCTGAATTGGTTGTTGAGTTGGTTGTCGGCAAGCTGGAAACCTCCAGGATGGGTTCAACGAATAGCATCTTGGAGATAACTGTTGTTGCGACCTTCCCTTCGCCTCTGTCTTGCAAACTCTCTGGATCCTGGGAGCTGGAGCTGGTAGCATTTGGATTTGAGGAGGCTCTATCCTGTGGTTCAAGAAACTGAGTTTCATTTTTTTCTTACTACGAGGCACAGTCCTCTAAAATACTCAAAGCAGGAAGAGAAGGTGTGGATGTGGAAAATGTCCTGTACAAGAGAGTAATTTCTGACAGTGCGGCAGATGAGCAATCTGTCTTAGAACCACCACCACTAATTCCTCAGAGAAGGGGCAATACAGGGTGAGGGTGGGGGTGCACAGGAATGTGCTCTGCAGAAGATGAGGGATAGTCAGGGACTCTGTAATCTCTGACCAATTACTGCCCTGTAGGAAGTTGTTTTCCAAACAGTGAAGCTGAGTGTTGTCATTTATCTATGTTCTTGCAATTTCCTGTAAATATCTACCTGTTTGACTCACTTGCTTGGCTAGTACAGACATTTGAACTTGTGCTCCTTGATTTAGAACAGTAAATTTTTAAACTGTGGGTTGCAACCCATTAGTGGGTGTGGAAAAACAGTACACATTAGGAAGGGAACGAAGAAAGGGAAGGAGGAAAGAAGGGAGGCAGGAAGGGAGGGAGAGAGAAGTAGTATAGGCCAGCGGCTCTGAAACAATTTTGACTCCCAGGGGATATTTGGCAATGTCCAGAGACATTTTTGGTTGTCACAGGGAGACAGCAGGGAAGATGCTACCGGAATCTAGTGCGTAGAGGCTAGAGATATACTGCAAAACATCCTAAAATGCGCAGGGTAGCCCCTCAGCAATGAATTATCCAGCCCCAATGTCAACAGATCCTCCACTGAGAAACCACGCATTAGCTCCATTTCACAGGTAGAGAAACTCATACCGACACATATTAACTAGTCCAGGGTCTCACAGAAATGGGAGAAACAGCTAGGGGTCAAAACAAGGTCTCTGATTCCAAACTCCCTGCTCATAACTACATCATCTGCTGAGTATGTGATACCAACTTGCGCGTGCACACACACACACACGCACATACACACACCCCTACCTACCTTTCTCCTGGGATCCTGCACTTCTTAGCCTTATTTCTAGTCCATGACCTCCCAGACCACTGGGACCTCTCACTGCTATTGACCCCCACCCAGACCCACGTATGTTTGCTACCATTCTTCCCTGTCTTCACAGGCCCTAGCCTGGGACCACCGTCTGTGTCACAGCAGCCAAACCTCTCCTCCCCACAGCTCTTTTCTACAACAAACTCTTGCTTTGATATCACAAAATGCTTCCCATCTCCTTGCCCTATGTGATCCTCCTGCCAAGCCTGCTTGGTGGACAGGGTGGGATCTGTTTATTCAACATTTTATAAATCAGGAGGAGTAGGCTGAGAAAAGTGACGTCCTCAGGACCACGCTGCGCAGCTCCTACATGGCCCGCCAAGATTAGAACTTGCATCTGTCTGAGTCCTGAGCTCTTTCCACCATCTACGAGTGCGTGTGCAAGGATCACACTCAATGATCCCAAGAGGAGCTCTCCTCATTCCCCGGAGCCTGAAGGGTTAATCCTCAGCCACCGCCCGCACCCCGCACCATCCCGCCTCCCGTCTCCACCCCCGTCCCCCATCCCACAAGGGACCACATACCCCAGCCAGCAGCAGCAGCAGGAGGGTCAGCAGGGTCAGCCTGGAGGCCATCTGGGCGGCGACGTCAGCGGACCTGCGGAGCCAGCCAGCCTCGGAGCCAGCTCCCACCCTGGGAGCCCAGGGGCCCCCACCCCGCCCGGGGCCCGCCCCCATTCCGTCTCAGGCCCCAGTCCCTCTTAGCGAATTCCCTCCTCCTCCCTCCTGGGGCCACCTTCTCCCTGGCTCCTCCCTCTGTTTTGTTTTCCCCAAACCGCTTCCCTTTCCCGGCACCGGCTGGCCCTTCCTCTCCCCGTGGGCCCGGGTCTCTGTCCATCTGTTCAGTCGGAGGGGAGGTGGTGGGAGGGGGAGGGGGTCCTGCTTTAACCAAACAATGAGGCCAGAGGCGTGGGGGAGGGGAGGTCCTGGGGGGCTGAGCACAACAGGCCTGAGGCGGGAGGGGCTGGGGTAGGAGGAGGCAGAAGTCCCAGGTGGAAGCAAGCCTATAGAGACCCCCGAGATCAAGGCGGGCAGGAAGGCGGGGGTGAGGAGACCCCCTCCCTAGACCTCTTCACTCCATGCTTTCCACCCTACTCCCCACCCCTGCCCAGCACCAAACCTACTCCAAACTTCTGGTCACCAGGCAGCTCCAGTGCAGACTGAGTAGAGAGTCCCCCAGGGTCAGGGAGGGTGGGGTGCGGGGGGGGCAGTCTTAGCTATTGGCTGGCCCGGGACACTGCCCAGTTACAAATTAAGGAAGATTGATCGCTGGTGTGAGTTCCTGTAAATCAGGATGGGACGGAATGGGACTGACCGCTTGGTCTTCTTTGTGGGCCAGGCCAGGAATTTAGCCCAAATCCCCTGGTAGGTGGGGTGAACGGGGAAGCTTGGGTGCAGTTCTCAGCTTTACACAACCAAAGCTTCCCCCGCGTCTTCATGAGTAACAATAAAAACAGCATGTACACAAAATGTGCTCCGCAGTTTTTAAAGGAATGAACTTTTTGGAAATTGCTCACCTCCGTTATTCCTCAAAGTAACCCTTTGTGCCCCATTGTACCCATTTGATAGTTAAGATACTGAGCCTTAGAGCAGTGAAATGTCGGGCCCTGATCACCCTCATTTGGAGAAGTATTCTGAAGCCTAATCCCTGCTCCCATCTCCCCTGTGCCCTGTAGGTGTTCTGCCATTTTTGCTCGTAGAGACCCATAATCAGTAGTTCTTTGTATAACAGACAACGGATGTGAGGCACCCAGCTCAACAAGCATTCAACCTAATTAAAAAAAAAAAAAAAAAAAAAGCTAGCCGGGCACGGTGGCTCACGCCTGTAATCCCAGCACTTTGGGAGGCCGAGGTGGGTGGATCACTTGAGGTCAGGAGTTTGAGACCACTCTGGCCAATATGGGGAAACCCCGTTTCCGCTAAAAGTACAAAAATTAGCTGGGCAGTGCAGGCGCGCACATGTAGTCCCAGCTACTAGGGAGGCTGAGGCACAATCACTTGAATCTGGGAGGCAGAGGTTGCAGTGAGCTGAAATTGCACCACTGCACTCCAGCCTGGGTGACAGAGCAAGACTGTCTCAAAAAACAAATAACTAACTAAATAAATATTTAAAAACTTGAAAGCTGGGGTGTATGTGTTTGCGACTAGGGCTCCACAATAGACCTGGCTGGCTGTGTGAGCCAGCAAGTTGCTTTCCCCCTTGACGTCTGGCTGTCCTCGAAATCTGGCTGTCCTCGACATCTAGCTGTCCTCTCAGCATTGCCAGATAAAACACACGAAGTAGGCAGGCCTGGGGGTTCATACCTGTAATCCCAGCCTTTTAGGAGACTGAGGCAGGAGGATCCCTTGAGCCCAGGAGTTCAAGGCTGCAGTTAGCATTGATCATGCCACTGCACTCCAGCCTGGGCAACAGAGTAAGACACTTGCTGTCTCTAAAAAAAAAAAAAAAAACTTACATTGGGATATACTTATGGTAAAAATGCTTACATTGGAATATACTTATGGTAAAATAAATTTTGTTGTCATTGTTGTGTATCTGAAATTCAAATATAATTGGCATTTTGTATTTTTGCTAAATCTGATAACTCTGCCTCATCTGCAAAACAAACAGGTTGTCTCTGATGACCTAATATAGCTATCATGTTCTATCGTCATCTCACTGCAGGCCTATCCTCTGGCTGTGTTTGGAGCATTCAGGAAAGTTTGCTGCTAGCACCAGAACTGCTACTCTAAGGGACTGACCAAGGACAGAAACAGGAGAATATTTGTGTGTCTCCTCGGGGGTCCTTGGACAAGACCCAGAAAGAGTCTTCCCCAGCTTTGTGCTTTATTCTCTGAAGCCACTTGGGAACCTCCTAAACCATGGGAAAGTTATATAACATCAGAGCCATCGTTTGAACAGCTGCACACAAAACAACGTTTCTCCATCCCCAGTGCTCAAGCTGGTGGGCTCAAAGGGACTATGAGCTTGTGGATTCTGGGAAATGGGTCAGCCAAAGGAAAAGAAGGTGGTGGAAAGCAACCTAATTCACTGAGTGCTCACCATGCATTTACATTCATCCTCTCACTAATTCTCATCACCTATGAAGTAGGTGCTATATTAATCCCATCTTAAACAAGTTAAAATGAGGCTCAGAGAAATTAATTGATCTACCTAATATCACAAAGCCAGTAAGTGACAGAGCCAGGATGTGGACCAGGTCTGTTTGACCCAACAGTTCTTTATTAACCCTTACAAATTATTGACACACACCAGGGGCTAACCTGAAGCAGACAGCAAAGGGAATATTCTGGGTACAGCTGCAAGAGTACGATGCTTTGTGGGCCAAAGTTCCAGGGTGAAAAAGCCCCAGTGGAGAGGTTTTCCCAGCTTGTGGGTCTACCTCCTTCAGCCATCTATAATAGCTCTCTGGCCAAAGCCATTCCTGCACTCTGCACATTTAAATGATGTCTGCTTTGTGAAGTCTCCCCTGCCTGCTGAAGCTGGAGCTGAAACTGACTTAATCAGGATGTTTGCGGAATTTCTCCCTAGTGTGGATGTTGAGATATTCAATCAGTGTAAGGTTGTGAATTCAGTTCTCTTCCCACTGGGAGCAGGTCTAGGATTTCTCTGTAACAAGGACCTTTCCTTCTGGTGACTGAGGAGAGTTGAACCCACAGAATCCCTCTTCCCTCATGTTGTAGGTGCACATGGCTTCTCTCGCCTGTGAATTTCCTGATGTTGAATGAGGTACAAGTTCTCACTAAAGCTCTTCCTGTACTCAGAGCATTTTTATCAGGTTTTTTCCTAGTTGAGTCCTCTAATACTGAAGGTACAAGTTGCTGTAGCTGAACTCTCTCACATTATAGAGTGTGAAAAACTAAACACCTTTAGTTTTCCTTCTTAAGAGAAATTTTTCGGCTGGGCATGGTGGCTCATGCCTGTAATCCAGCACTTTGGGAGGCTGAGGTGGGCAGATCACTTGAGGTCAGGAGTTCGAGGTCAACCTGGCCAACATAGCAAAACCCCATCTCTACTAAAAATACAAAAATTAGCCAGGCATGCTGGTGCACGACTGTAGTACCAGCTACTTGGGAGGCTGAGGTGGGGGGATTGCTTGAACCCAGGAGGTGGAGGTTGCAGTGGGCCGAGATTGCGCCACTGCACTCCAGCCTGGGCAACAGAGTGAGACTGTCTCAAAAAAAAAGAAAAGAAAAGAAAAAAAGAAAAATTATCCAAAACTTGGAAACAGGGCAAAAGAATTCTGAGAAATCAGGGTCACTCCGTTCTTGGGACACAGAAAATGGTTGGAGGGACTATTTTCTCAACTCTCCCACAGATAGTACACAACTAGCACCACTCTAGTTTCAGAGGAGAGAAGTTGATTGATTATCAACAAATAATGCGCTGGGCAAATTAGGGCTCAGTCCTTTCTTTGGAATCTTGGTTGAGAAATGCTATTCTAGAGGAATAGAATTTTCTCTTTCTTATTTTTCTAGATTAGGGCTCAGAGTCTGTAATGTCAGATGTTGACCTGTCAAAAATGGATAAGATGCAAAGGGTTTTTGTCTGGTAGAGATGTGAATGAGATGATAATGATAACCCCAAAGGTAATGGTCTTGATGCAGGGCAGGTGAGCCCCAAAGTGGGGCTTAGCTGGTAAGCGTTCTTAGCTTTGCCCAGGAAAGAATTCAAGGGCAAGCCGGAGGTAGAAGAAAACAGTTTTTTTGAAGAGGCAGTGTTACAGCTCAGTGACTGCTCCTGCAAAGGAGGGGTACTCTGTAGGCAGAGAGTAGCAGTAGCTCAGGGCAGTTTTGCAGTCATATTTATACCCACTTTCCATTACATGCAGATTAAAAAGCAGTTTAAAGCCGGGCGCGGTGGTTCCTGCCTGTAATCCCAGCACTTTGGGAGGATAAGTTGGGTGAATCACCTGAGATCAGGAGTTTGAGACCAGGCTGGCCAACACAGTGAAGCCCCCTCTCTACTAAAAATACAAAAAATTAGCTGGCGTGCTGGCAGGCTTCTGTAATCCCAGCTATTCGGGAGGCTGAGACAGTAGAATCTCTTGAACCTGGAAGGTGGAGGTTGCAGTGAGCCGAGATCGCACCGTTGCATTCCAGTCTGGGCCACAAGAGCTAATCTCTGTCTCAAAAAACAAAACAAAACAAAACAACAACAACAAAACAAAACAAGAAGCAGTTTATGCAGAAATTTCTAGGGAAGGGAAAAGAACTTTTGGATCATCAGGTCATTGCCATGGAAAGAGGCAGTGACTCCCAGGTGTTTCCATGGCAATGGTAAACTGACATGGCGGACTGGCTGGCAAATCTTATGGAAAACTGCTTCTGCCCTGGCCCTGTTTTAGCTAGTCCTCAATCTGGTTGGTATCTGAGCCCCACCTCGGGAGTTGAGTCCTACCTCCTATTTCAGTCTTGTTGGCCTGCAGGGCAATAGCCAGTTTTGTAGGTAACTTAGCTGTGTTATTCCAGCACACACACACACACACACACACACACACACACACACACACCAGTTTCTCAAATCATTCTTTGAACCAACTTTGTCATCCTGACAGTTATCTTGTGAAGGTTCTCACTGTGTATTTGTGTGAGAATGACAGTTCTACCATTTTGAGAATTATGTTGTGGCACACCCTTTACGTGGGGCTGTTGATGCTTTGTAAGTAAGAACGGACCACAGGCTGAACTTTGTCCCTTATTTCCTACAAATACAGTAGTCCTCTCCGGAGAAGGGCACAGGTTTGGCAGCCATGAGTGAGGGAGCTGTGGGGGTTCCTGCTCCCACTGTATCCCCACCTTCTTCACTGATTCCCTTTCTCACCAGCCCTGACTCATTCACATGGGCTGTTTCCTGCCCAGCTCTCCAGGGACTGGACCTTCCCAGGAACCTCACTAGAGAGTCCTCATGCACAGTACCCTTCCACTAACGACCCTCTTCTCTTCCTCTTCCCTTCAGTCTTTAACTGGTATGAGGAGGTGGATGGGGATCAGAGATGAAGACAGAGATGAGATCCAAATAAGTGTTGAGACACAAAATCCCCAAACCTCAGGCTCACACCCTATTTGCAGATCCTGGCAGGCCGAGGAATACAAAGCTTCTTCGAGTAGAATAGAAACATTTGATGAGTCCTCATAGATATTCTAAATTGGTCCATTCAATCATTTTTCTAAGGATCTTTAAAATTATTCTTTTCCTGGGTGCAGTGGCTCATGCCTGTAATCCCAGCACTTTGGGAGGCTGAGACAGGGGGATTGTTTGAGCCCAGGAGTTTGAGAGCAGCCTGGACAACATGGTAAAACCCCGTTTCCACAAAAAATAAAAAAAATTAGCCAGGCTTGGTGGCTCATGCCTGCAGTCCCAGCTACTCAAGAGGCTGAGGTGGGAGGATTGCTTGAGCCTAGGAGTTCGAGGCTGGAGTGAGCCGTGATCACACCACTGCACTCCAGCCTGGGCGACAGAACAAGACCCTGTCTAAAAAAAAATTAAATGATTCTTTCAAAGTTATTGCTACAAAGTCATATACGTGCTTTGTAAAACTTTTCTGGCTGGGCGTGGTGGCTCACGCCTGTAATCCCAGCACTTTGGGAGACCCAAGTGGATGGATCACCTGAGGTCAGGAGTTCAAGACCAGCCTGGCCAACATGGTGAAACCCCGTCTCTACCAAAAATACAAAAATTAGGTGGACATGGTGGCACATGCCTGTAATCCCAACTACTCGGGAGGCTGAGGCAGGAGAATCGCTTGAACCCAGGAGGTGGAGTTTGCAGTGAGCCGAGATCGTGCCATTGCACTCCAGCCTGGGCAACAAGAGCAAAACTCTGTCTAACAAAACAAAACAAAACAAAACAAAACGTTTCTAACAATTCAGACACTTACAAAATTAAAAGTTACCACAGACAAAACTGCTGTTAATAATTCTGAGTGTATGCTTTTATATTTGCCTATTTATAAAATCATATCTACTTCATCTCTCCCCACACACATAATTATTACTCTTCCATAATTTCTTTTCTTTTTTTTGAGACGGGAGTCTTGCTCTGTCACCCAGGCTGGAGTGCAGTGGCCCTATCTCGGCTCACTGCAAGCGCTGTCTCCAGGGTTCACGCCATTCTCCTGCCTCAGCCTCCCGAGTAGCTGGGACTGCAGTCGCCCGCCACCACTCCCGGCTAATTTCTTTTGTGTTTTTAGTAGAGAGGGGGTTTCACCGTGTTAGCCAGGATGGGTCTCGATCTCCTGACCTCGTGATCCACCCGCCTCGGCCTCCAAAAGTGCTGGGATTACAGGCATGAGCCACTGTGCCTGGCCTAATTTCTTTTCTTAATAAAGTAGCATGGGCATTGTTCCATGTCACTGCAGGCAGCTCTATCTCATTCTTTCTTACAGCCGCACGGTATTCCATTGTATGGATGTATTACAAACTATTTCTTTGATCTCACCCTGAGAGAGACATTTGGATTGATTCCCAAACCAATCCCCTTAACTACATGCCGGTTCCAGAAGTTTCCCTCTCACTTACTATCTTTTCCACTTCTTGCACAGCAGCGTACCTGCTTTCTCTGCTACCTTTCTATTTCTAGCCTTTGTTTCCAATTCTCCGTTGCCAGCTCTGTAGATGGAAGCGCTAGGTTTGGACTGTTGACTCAGCTGTGAATTTGGCTCCATTCAGATTGTGGCCCCTTGCTTTGACCTGCTGTTTCTGCTTCCATGCACCTCTCCTGAGGGTAAAAATGCCTGCTCCACTTCCAGAAAAGCCAAAATTCACCTTGCGTTCCTCAATGCCTGTTGAGAAACAGGGAGCCACCCTCCTTGTTCTGCCCAACTTGAACATGAAGCCCCATGGTCACTTCTCCAGTTACAGACTTTTCTTTTCTTTTCTTTTCTTTTTTTTGGAGACAGAGTCTTGCTCTGTTGCCCAGGCTGGAGTGCAGTGGCATGATCTCGGCTCACTGCAAGCTCCGCCTCCCAGGTTCACGCCATTCTCCTGCCTCAGCCTCACAAGTAGCTGGGACTACAGGTGTCTGCCACCACGCCCAGCTAATTTTTTTTTTTTTTTGTATATTTAGTAGAGATGGGGTTTCACGTGTTAGCAGAGATAGAAACCCTGTCTCTACTAAAAATACAAAATTAGCTGGGTGTGGTGGTGCATGCCTGTAATCCCAGCTACTTGAGAGGCTGAGGCGGGAGAATTACTTGAACCAGGGAGGTAGAGGTTGAGCCTGGGCAACAAGAGCAAAACTCTGTCTCAAAAACAACAACAACAAAAAATTGTGACGGCACCATGTTTAAGTTCTGATATTCAGTAGACCAAGTCCTCACATTTTATTCTTCTTCAAGAAGATCTCTGCTATTCTTGATCCCTGAATTTCCATATATACTTAGAATCAGCTTACCAGGCTCCACAAAATAAAAGGGAAAAATATGTTGGGATTTTGACTGGTATTACCTTACATCTATAGATCATTTTGGGAGTGAATTGACATCTTTATAACAGTAAGTCTTCTAATCCATGAACATGTTATAGCTTTCCAACTATTTGGCTCTTCCTTAATGTTTCTCTGCTGGGATTACAGGTGGGAGCCACCACGCCTGGCCTGTTTCTCAATATACTTGTTGATATGTTTAGGCTTTGTGTCCCCACCCAAATCTCATCTTGAATTGTAATCCTCATAAACCCCATGTGTCAAAGGAGAGACCAAGTGGAAGCAATTGAATCATGGGGGCAGTTTCCCACATGCTGTTCTCTTGATAGTGAGTGAGTTCTCACGAGATCTGATGGTTTTATAAGGGGCTCTTCCCTCTTTGCTCAGCACTTCTTCCTGCCACCTTGTGAAGAGGGTTTCTTGCTTCCCCTTCACCTTCTGCCATGATTGTAAGTCTCCTGAGGCCTCCCCAGCCATGCACAACTGTGAGTCAACTAAACCTCTTTCCTTTCGAAATTACCCAGTCTTGAGCAGTTCTTTATAGCAGTGTGAAAACAGACTAATACAGTTATATAGTTTGCTCTGAAGACGTATTCCACCTATTTCTGTTTATTTCCAGGATCTTGATTTTTTTTTTCTGCTATTGAACACAGTGCATGTTTTAGTTCAATCTATGTCATTAAAAAATCATTTTTGTGGCAGGGCACGGTGGCTCATGCCTGTAATCCCAGACCTTTGGGAGGCTGAGGCAGGCAGATCACGAGGTCAGGAGTTTGAGACTAGCCTGGCCAACATGGTGAAACCCTGTTTCTACTAAAAATACAAAAATTAGCCAGACATGGTGGTGTGTGCCTGTAATCCCAGCTACTCAGGAGGCTGAGGAAGGAGAATTGCTTGAACCTGGGAGGCAGAGGTTGCAGTGAGCTGAGATCATGCCACTGCACTCCAGCCTGGGCAACAGAGCAAGACTCTGTCTCGAAAAAAGAAACAATAATTTCTGGGCCTCATTTTCTCTCTCCTTTATGTAACAAGGCCTAGTTTTATCACTGGCCTAAAAGTCTTAGATTTTGTATTTACTTTTCAGTTCCAGGTTCCTTGAACTTGATTGGGTTTAGGTCTTTAATCTTGGGTCCTAATTTGAGCCCTTTATCTCCACCTCAGGTCACTATAGGAGGTGGTAGAAGTTGAAATAGCCTCTCACCCAGAGGGATTAGAGGAGCTTGATCTTTCCCTACATCCAGCCCATCATCAGACCTTTTGGTAGTATCTTCAAAATGTATCCTGAATCCACTCAGTTCTCTCAATCATTGAGGCCATGAACCCAATCTAGCCACAACCATCTCTCACCTGGGCCACTGAATAGCCTCCTGCCTGGTTTCCATGCTTCCACTCTGTCCTTTCCAGATATTCTTCAATCCACAGACAGAATGATAATAACTAATATAATATAATATAATACATGATAATCAATATAAATTGGTTTTCCATGGGAGACCTTTTTTTTTTTTTTTTTGAGACAGGGTCTCGCTCAATTGCCCAGGCTGGAGTGCGGTGGCACAATCTCAGCTCACTGCAACTTCTGCCTCCTGGGTTCAAGCGATTCTCATGCCTCAGCCTCCCAAGTAGCTGGGATTACAGGTGCCCACCACCATGCCAGGATAATTTTTTATTTTTTATTTTTATTTTTTAGTTGAGACGGGGTTGGCCAGGCTGGTCTCACACTCCTGACTTCAGGTGATCCACTCACCTCAGCCTCCCAAACTGCTGGGATTACAGGCGAGCTACCGCACCCAGCCAGGAGACCACTCTTATAAGAAGTCACTTATGAGCCTTTCTCTTCACTCTTGTAATAAAATCTAAACTTTTGACCCTGGCCTACAAGACTAGGTCCAAGCTGACCTCTGCCTCCCTGTCCAACCTCTGCTTGTATTACACAACTCCTCTTATTACATCTAGTGCCTGGCCTTCTGAAAGTTTCTAGAATATCTGTATTAGTCCATTCTCACATTGCTATAAAGAACTACCTGAGACTGGGTAATTTATAAAGAAAAGAGGTTTAACTGACTCACAGTTCCACAGGCTGTACAGGAGGCATTGACTGGGGAGGCCTCAAAAAACTTACAGTCATGGCAGAAGGGCAAAGGGGAGGCAATTGTGTCTCCACATTGCAGCAGGAGAGAGAGCAAGTGAAAGGGGAAGTACTACACACTTTTAAACCATCAGATCTCATAAGAACTCACTCACTATCATGAGAACAGCAAGGGGGAAATCTGCCTCCGTGATCCAATCACCTCTCACCAGGTCCTTCCCCCAACACTGGGGATTATATTCAACAGGAGATTTGGGTGGAGACACAGAGTCAAAGCATATGATTCTGCCCCGACCCCTCCCAAATCTCATGTCCTTCTCATAGTTCAAAATACAACCATGTCTTCCCAGTGGTTCCCCAAAGTCTTAACTCATTCTGGCATTAACTCAAATGTCCAAGTCCTCTGCAGGGGTTGAGAGAATTCAAATAAAAAACAAAACAAAACAAAAAAGTCTAAGTCCAAAGTCTCATCTGAGACAAGGCAAGTCCCTTCCACCTATGAGCCTGTAAAATCAAAAACAAGTTAGTTACTTCCAAGGTACAATGGGGGTACAGGCATTGTGTAAATGCTTCCATTCCAAATGAGAGAAATTGGCCAAAACAAAGAGGCTACAGGCCCCATGCACATCCAAAATCCAGCAGGCAGTTATTAAATCTTAAAGCTCCAAAATAATCTCCTTTGACAACATGTCTCACATCCAGGGCATGCTGGTGCAAGGGGTGGGCTCCCAAGGCCTTGGGCAGCTCCTCCCCTGTGGCCCTGCAGGGTACAGCCCCTGTGGCTGCTTTCACAGGCTGACGTTGAGCACCTGTGGCTTTTCTAGGTGCACAGTGCAAGCTGTTGGCGGGTCTACCATTCTGGAGTCTGGAGGACAGTGGCCCTCTTCTCACAGCTCCACTAGGCAGTGCCCTAGTGGGGACTCTGTGTAAGGCTCCAACTCCACATTTCCCCTCCACACTGCCCTAGTAGAGGGTCTCCAGGAGGGCTGTGCCCTTACAGCAGACTTCTGCCTGGACACCAGGCATTTCCATACATCCTCTGAAATCTAAGTGGAGGTTCCCAAACTTCAACTCTTGCCTTCTGCGCATCCACAGGCCCAGCACAACATGGAAGCTTCCAAGGCTTGGGACTTGCACCCTCTGAAGCAGTGGCCTGAGCTAAAGCCCTTCATGGCAGAAGGGCAAAGGGGAGGCAAGCCTATTTTCACATGGTGGCAGGAGAGAAAGCTAGACAAGGGGGAAGTGCCACACACTTTTAAACTATCAGATCTTGTGAGGACTTACTCACTATCATGAGACCAGCAAGGGGGAAATCTGCCTCCATGATCCAATTACCTCCCACCAGGTCCCTCCCTCAACATAGAGGATTACAGTTCAACATGAGATTTGGGTGGGGACACAGAGCCAAACCACATCAATACCTTTGCTGTTCTCTGTGCCAGGACTGCTCTTTCAGCAACTTTCTACATAGTTGCTTCATCCTTCAGGTTGGGATTTTTTTTTTTTTTTTTTTGAGACAGCGTCTCCTCTGTCCCCCAGGTTGGAGTGCAGTGGCACCACCTAGGCTCACTGCAGCCTCCACTTCCCAGGCTCAAGCAATCCTCCCGCCTCAGCCCCCTGAGTAGCTGGGACTACAGGTGTGTACCCTCATGCCTGGCTAATTTTTTAAATTTTTTGTAGAGACAGGGTTTCACCATGTTGCCCAGGCTGCTCTCAAACTTCTGGGCTCAAGCAATACACCCGCCTCAGCCTCTAGAAGTGTTGGGATTACAGGCATGAGCCACTGTGCCAGTGGGGACTCTGTGTGGGGGCTCCAACCCCAAATTTCCCGTCCACAGGTTGAGATCTTTAAAAGTTTATCTGCAGGGAAACCTTTCTGACAACTCTCCTTATTCTCCACCATCATGTCTCTTTGGTTTTCCAAATCACATTTACCACAAGAGGGACAATCATTTCATTGCTCTGTGTTTGCTAGATTATTGTCTTCTTCACCAGACTGTGAACCACAGAAGAGCAGGGACCCTGTCTGTCTTATTTACCATTGTATCTTTGGCATATGGTACTGTGCTTACCATGTAGAAAGTATACACACACACACACACACACACACACACACACACACACATATATTAGACAGGGTCTCGCTCTGTCACCCAGGCTGGAGTGCAATGGTGCAATCTCAGCTCACTGCAGCCTCAACCTCCCAGGCTCAAATGATCCTCCCACCTCAGCCTTCTGAGTAGCTGGGACTACAGGCACACACCACCACACCTGGCTAATATTTGTATTTTTTCTAAAGACAAGGTTTCGCCATGTAGCCCAGGCTGGTCTCAAACTCCTGAGCTCAAGTGATCCACCCGCCTTGGCCTCCCGAAGTGCTGGAATTACAGGCATGAGTCACTGCGCCCGCTCTATAAGATATTTCATAAATGTCTGTTAAATGAATGTATACACCTTGCCTAAGCCAGAAGACAGAAGTTGGAGCACAGGGATCCCTGACAAAGGCCACAAGAAATCTTCCGAGAGGCTCAAGTGATTGTGCATAATGATTAGTAATGATGACATGTATGTCTGGGAGAGGGGATGGGTGAATTAATTGAGAATCAACCTAGCACAAAAAAGTTCTTCACCTAGTTAGAGGCCACTTGAGAGGCCCATCTGTTGGCCCCCTAACAATTCCATCTTTCTGATATGTCTCCCTCTTTCATCTGAATAAGTGAAAGGAAGAAGAATACCAAAAAACAGGAAGAGTGGGGTGTTAAAAGAAGCAGACTGTTTGCACACTGGTGCCACCTGCTAACTTCTGCTGTGGCTGGGGGCTACTGTGGGGCACTCATGGGGATGTCCATTGTGGTTCAGGGTCAGAATTCTTGCCTGCCTTGTGGGAGGCTCAGATTCCATTTCTGGTCTGTGCAACTTCCTTTCAGCCCACCACCTGGCACACAGCAGAAACTCAATAGATATTTGTTGAATGATTGAATAAGCAAGGTCCTTTGATATTGGCTATCAAGGACACAGATTAAATGGTCCAACTGTGCCTTCTAGCAGTTATTATCGCCTATACACTACCCATTTCTACAGCCTCTTCTAGCAGCTGCTGCCAGGAGACTGGTGGTGCTTGTTACCTCCTCTAGGTAACTGATAAGAAAAAGAAAGAGAGAGAAGAGACACAAAGATGTTGCATGGAGATGGGGATGGAGTGGGGAGAGCAGGACCTCCCCCAAATTCCAGAGAAACAGCTGCTCCAGGAGAATATTAACACTTCAGTTTGAAGGCATGTTTTGGACTCCACGGCCCCCACCCCAGTGTACTTCAGTCATCTGATCATTATGACTTCTTGTCTTGGGTTATTTTCATTTTCCACACCAGTTTATCAAATAGATACAGAAAATGTAAACACATGAGTTGCCTACATTTACGTGCAACAACAAAATGATCTTCTGGCAAAAATTGCTTTAAAAACCACCATAACACACAGAACCAGACCGATGCTTTCTCTCCAGCCCCTGGTTGTATTCTGTCATTGCTTAACTTCATCCCAGGTTTACTTGCTCGGTTTAGTGTTCATTTAGGATTCCAACCTGGCTGGGTCTTTTCATGTAGTCAGAAGCTTCGTAGGGCCTTTCTGGGTTCTGCTTCAGGCCACAGAACAGCTTAGACTAGTGGCAAAGCTCTTAACTCACAGGACTCTTTCTGTGTCCGCATTTTCACAGGGGACACTTTCATCTGCCACTGCCATTCTAATTTGCCATCCAGATAGCTGACCTGGAAAGCCGACCCGGAAAGCGCACCCATTGGTGGATTCCAGCTCTCCCGCTAGGCCTCTGGACTTTCTCTTCAGCCTCTTCTCCGTTAGGTTAAAATAGAAGAGTAGACAGAACAAAAAGCCCGGGGGGATGGGGAAGTCAGGGGCCCTGCTTTCTATCTCAGGGATGTGTCCTCTGATCAGGACGTGGCTACCTGGGTGACAGGAGTCAGTCTTCAGGCCTTTGAAGAAGCCCCCTAGTTTGAATGCTAATTTACGCTTCTTCAAAGCTCCCTCATTTTTTTTCTTTTTCTTTTTTTTTTTTTTTTTTGAGACGGAGTCTCGCTCTGTCGCCCAGGCTGGAGTGCAGTGGCATGATCTCGGCTCACTGCAACCTCCGCTTCCCGGGTTCACGCCATTCTCCTGCCTCAGCCTCCCGAGTAGATGGGACTACAGGCGCCCGCCATCACGCCTGGCTAATTTTTTGTATTTTTAGTAGAGATGGGGTTTCCCCGTGTTAGCCAGGATGGTCTCAATCTCCTGACCTCGTGAGCCGCTCACCTCGGCCTCCCAAAGTGCTGGGATTACAGGCGTGAGCCACTGCGCTCAGCCTCTTTTTTTTTTTTTTTTTAACAAGGTGAGTCAGCTTGGATTTAAAGGGACTTTGTCCTTTGTTGGCCTTTGAATGGTTTCAAAGCATGATCTGATGGAAGCAAAACCCAATTCTGAAGTAGTTTTCTCCAAGAGTCTTCTGGGAAGCCGACTACCTAGGCCTAGGTCTTGGCAAGGGCAGGCTGTGGGGTAACTTGGGAGCTTCCCGCATCACTGTGGAGTTGGTCCCTGGCTGCTAGGGAGGGATCATCTCCTTCCCAGGAATGTGCTGGGGGGAGCTGCAAAGTGTCCTGAAGGGTCTGGACAGCCTAGGAATTTCTGTCCCACCTCCACAAGGTGTTATATCCCTAGACCTCAGTCTCTTCTCCTCTGTAAAATGAAGGGCTTTCATTTTTGCCATATTATTACCACCCCATGTACTATTATTTGGTTTCATGTTGTCTAATGGACTCATTTTTGTTTACTTGAATACACATAAAAAGGAAATGACGTCTCCTCTATAAATGGAGAAATGGCAGCACTCTCCATAAATAGAATGGATCAGGGCCAACCAGGCACAGGACCTTGAGTCTGTTGGCTTTTCGGGGACCAATGGAAATGTTATAATTGTAATTTCTTTTCAAATTAGGAGGAAAAAAATAAATATAATAGCAATGCATAAATAATAAGGCCTGGTGTGGTGGCTCACACCTGTAATCCCAGCACTTTGGGAGGCCAAGGGCATGGATCACTTGAGGTCAGGAGTTTGAGATCAGCCTGGCCAACATGGTGAAACCCTGTCTCTACTAAAAATACAAAAATTAGCCAGACATTGTGGTGGGCACCTGTAATCTCAGCTACTCAGGAGGCTGAGGCATGAGAATTGCTTGGACCTGGGAGGTGAAGGTCGCAGTGAGCCGAGATCATGCTGCTGCACTCCAGCCGGGGCAACAGAGTGAGACTTTGTCTCAAAAAAAAAAAACCAGAAAAAAAAACGCCGGGCATGGTGGCTCACGCCTGTAATCCTAGCACTTTGGGAGGCTGAGGCGGGTGGATCACTTGAAGTCAGGAGTTCAAAACCAGCCTGGCCAACATGGTGAAGCCCCGTCTCTACTAAAAATACAAAAAATTAGCCGGGCGTGATGGTGGACGCCTGTAATCTCAGCTACTCGGGAGGCTGAGGCAGGAGAATCGCTTGAACCCAGGAGGCGGAGGTTGCAGTGACCTGAGATCGCACCACTGCACTCCAGCCTGGGTGACAGAGCGAGACTGTCTAAAATAGTAATAATAATAATAATGAATCTAGCCAGGATTATATTCTTATTTATACCAATGCAATCATAAGGTATAATTTAAAAAAAGTTTTTTGGCTGGGCACGGTGGTTTATGCCTGTAATCCCAGCACTTTGGGAGGCCGAGGCCGGCGGGTCACCTGAGGTCAGGAGTTTGAGACCAGCCTGGCCAATATGGTGAAACCTCGTCTCTACTAAAAATACAAAAATTAGCTGAGGGTGGTGATGCACGCCTGTAATCTCAGCTACTCAGGATAGTTGGCTGAGGCAGGAGAATCGCTTGGACCCAGGAGACGGAGGTTGCAGCAAGCTGAGATCACACCACTGCACTCCAGACTGGGCAACAGAGTGAGACTCCATCTCAAAAAAAAATTTTTCTTTTTAGGCAGGGTCTCACTCTGTTGCTCAGGCTGGAGTGCAGTAGCACAATCACAGCTTACTGCAGCCTCGACCTCCTGGGCTCAAGCAATCCTCTTGCCTCAGCCTCCTGAGTAGCTGAGACTACAGGCACATGCCACCACACACGGTTAGTTTTTAAATTTTTTTTTTTTAGAGATAGGGTCTCACTATGGAGAAAGAGATACACCAAGGCGAAAGTGCTTAGGGCCCATGAAAGTCCAAATGCAGCCCTGGAATGAATGCACCTGTAAAATAAACGCAGCAAAAACAGAATGGTGTTACTAAATTCTAGCTGATTCTGCCTGCTGACATCTCTGTAGTAAAGCTTCCTCCTTCCGTGTTAAAAATGGAGTTAGCATGTGTTAGGTATTAAAGAATGAAGAGCATTAAACTGACACTTAGTCCTTGAGAAATCAAAGAGGATCAAAAGAAACTGAAAAAGAAAAAATGTTCTCAATCTGTGATTTCGTTGTTATTTAATACCACCTAAAATTGCTTGACATCCCTTTGGTGGATCCATCCCGTACTTGGCAGACACAGGATTTGATGATGTTGACAGTGACAATTATGTCTATTATATGATTGTGGTCCAGGTTTGATGTGAGTGTTTACTATATGCCAGGCCCTGGGTTGAAAAATTTAATATGCAAATCTCATTTTATCTTCACAGTGACATTGGAAACAAGGTACCATTATCTCTACTTAACAAATAAACTACAGCTTAAAGAGATTAAGTAACTTGCCCAAAGTCACTTAGAGAATGTCAGACCTTTAGGGCCAGGCACGATGGCTCACACCTGTAATCCCAGCACTTTGGGAGGCCAAGGCAGGTGGATCACCTGAGGTTAGGAGTTCGAGACCAGTCTGGACAACATGGTGAAACCCCATCTCTACTAAAAATAAAAAAATTAGCCTGCCGTGGTGGTGGGTGCCTGTAATCCCAGTTACCTGGGAGGTTGAGGCAGGAGAACTGCTTGAACCTGGGAGGTGGAGGTTGCAGTGAGCCGAGATTGCCCACTGCACTGCAGCCTGGGCAACAAGAGCAAAACTCTGTCCCCCACCAAAAAAGAAAGAAAATGTCAGAACCTTAAATCCAACTTTGGTTGACCTTAAATCCCATGTTTTTACTCACTAGGTTATAATTCCTATTTTTTGTTTCTTCTTTTCAATTAGTTTTCTTTTCAATTACTTCTTTGAAAAAAAGAATACAAAAATTGTACTTGTTTATAGTTTTGAATGGATACTTATTCTATTGAAAATTTCTATTCAAATTTTTGCCCAGCGGGGTGGCTTACGTCTGTAATCCCAGCACTTTGGGAGGCCAAGGCAGGCAGATCACTTGAGCTCAGGAGTTTGAGATCAGCCTGGCCAACGTGGTAAAACCCTGTCTCTACTAAAAATACAAAAATTAGCTGGGCGTAGTGGCATGAGCCTCTAATCCCAGCTACTCAGGAGGCTGAGGTGGGAGAATTGCTTGAATCGCTTGAATCTGGGAGGCAGAAGTTGCAGTGAGCTGAGATGGCACCACTGCCTTCCAGCCTGGGTGACAGAGCGAGACTCTTTCTCAAAAAAAAAAAAAAAGAAAAAAAAAAAGAAAAGAAAAGAAAAAAAATTTCTATTTAAATTTTGTAGTATGAAAAATTTACAGTAGAAAGTAAGTCTCCTTTCTACTCCATCCCTAGACACCTCTTCAAACTGATGAATCACTCTTATCCATTTCTCAAGCATCCTTCCAAGTTAGACTATAATTGTTCAAAGATAAGTTTCAGAAAAAGGTAAAATAATGACTCTCATAGATACAATATGGACACGCGTTAAATATTTCATTCTACTCTTTTATCAATGAGAGAACCAGACAAATGTTAGAATCAAAGAGATGTTAGAATCAAAAGAGATTCTGAAAACAGACACATTTATAGATCAAGAGTATTGAAATGAATACATAAATAAAGGCAAACTGGTTCTTCCATGGGGTGAGGGGAAGGAAGTTAATGAAGCCTCTGTAATAACTCAAAGACAGTGAAAGGCAGACAAAGTGAAAGGATATGTTATATGTAGACAAAACTGTTTTCCTCCCAAATCGATAACCACTCTATCAGATGTTTAGGTATCTTTCCAGGTTAGTATCTAACATGCAAACATAAATGTATATATGGTAGGGTTTTTGTTGTTGTTGTTGTTGTTGTTTGTTTTTTGTTTTTTTGAGATGGAGTCTCGCTCTGTCGCCAGGCTGGAGTGCAGTGGGGCAATCTCTGCTCACTGCAACCTCTACCTCCTGGGTCCCGGTTCAAGCAGTTCTCCTGCCTCAGCCTCCTGAGTAGCTGGGATTACAGGCACGTGCCACCACACCCAGCTAATTTTTGTATTTTTAGTAGAGATGGGTTTCACCATGTTGGCCAGGCTGGTCTTGAACTCCTGAACTCATGATCTGCCCTCCTCGGCCTCCCAAAGTGCTGGGATTACAAGCGTGAGCCACTGCGCCCAGCCTTGTTCTGTTTTTTGAGACAAGGTCCTGCTCTGTCAACCAGGCTGGAGTACGGTGACACGATTACGGCAGACTGCAGCCTCAACCTCCCAGGATCAAGTGATCCTCTCACCTCAGCCTCTCAAATAGCTGGGACTATAAGCACGTGCCACTGTACCTGGCTAAATTTTAAATTTTTTTAGAGCTAGGGTCTCACTGTGTTGCCTAGGCTGGTCTGGAACTCTTGGCCTCAAGCAATCCTCCTGCCTTGACCTCTCAAAGTGCTGGGATTATAGGCATGAGCCATTGTGCCCAGCCCATGCTGTTGTCTTTAAACACACAGGTATGGTGCCATGCCATCTACAGTGTCTGAAAAGCCTTTTTCCCCCCATTTATTAATATATTTCTTGACTTTGTTAGAAAGTCTCTAAGATCCTCTCTAACTCTGTAATTGAGCCTCCTCCAACCCAGACAGGGCTGTCAAAAAAGATGTTTATAGCCAGGCACAGTGGCCCACACTTGTAGTCCCAGTTACCCTGGAGGCTAAGGCAGGAGGATTGCTTGAGGCCAAGAGTTCAAGGCTGTAGGGTGCTTTGGTTATGCCTGTGTGCCTGTGAATAGCTGCTGCACTCCAGCCTGGGCAACACAGTGAGACCCCACCTCAAAAAAAAGTTTGTCTCATTCAAGGGTGGTAGATGACAATAATTCTCCGCCATGAAGTACCTGAGAGAGACTTGAGCAGCAACCAGGCACTGCCACACCTTCTAGGACAGGTGCACAACTATGCCTGCAAAGGCCACAGATGTTGTGGAGCATAAGAAACCCTGATCCTAACGAAAGGAAAGAATCAGAGGTAGGAGGTTAACAAGTGAAAAGAGACTCCAGAACACCTGTTACCTTACAAGACCAAATGACTAAAAAAAGCAGGTGATGCTGGCCAGGCCAGGAAAAATAGGAGGTGATGAAGACTGTGGCATACAGGGGTATGCATTCCTGGTGTAGAGGGGCAGCCCTGCTGAGCTCCAGCCAAGCTCTGCCCTGAGGGAATGTTGGCCTTGTATTGCCAAGAGCCTCATGATTTTTTTTTGTTTGTTTGTATGTTTTTGAGACAGGATTTTGATCTGTTCTCCAGGCTGGTGTGCAGTGGCACAATCGTGGCTCACTGCAGCTTGCAACTCCTGGGCTCAAGCAATCCTCCCACCTCAGCCTCCCAAGTAGCTAGAAATATAGGCATGTGCCTCCATGCCTGGCTAATTTTTTTATTAATTTTGTAGAGACAGGGTCTCCCTATATTACCCAGGCTGGTCTCGAACTCCTAGCCTCAAGCCATCTTCCCGCCTTGGCCTCCCAAAGCACTGGGAATATAGATTGGCATGAACCACCACACCTGGACTTAATTTTGCAAGAGAAGCCAGAAATAAATATTTTACTTTCTTTTAAAAAATGTTTTTCTTTTTAGGATAGCAAAGAAATAAACATTTTAATGCAAAAATCTTTTGGGTTAAAAAAGAGAGAATCTTTATTATTTAATTGAAATGTTATCTTTTTTTTTTTTTTTTTGAGACAGAGTCTCAGTCTCTCGCTCAGCATGATCTCTGCTCACTGCAACCTCTGCCTCCCAGGCTCAAGCGACTCTCCTGCCTCAGCCTCCCGAGTAGTTGGAATTACAGTCACGCACCACTACCACCCGGCTAATTTTTGTATTTTTAGTAGAGACGGGGTTTCACCATGTTGGTCAGGCTGGTCTCGAACATCTGACCTTAAATAATCCATCCGCCTTGGCCTCTCAAAGTGCTGGGATTACAGGCGTGAGCCACCGCGCCTGACCGAAATGTTATTCATTTTTAAAGAGGTAGTTCATTCACATCATTCCAAAAATGAAAGGAAATAGGATATAAAGTAAAAAATCCCCTCTATCTCCTCCAATTGATCAGCACGTTACCCTCTCCAGGGACCATCACTGTCCCTAGTATCTTGTATTCTTCCAGAAATGTTCTAAGCATATGAGGCAAATGTTATTTTTCCTTTATTCACACAGATTATAACATACTTTTCACAGGATACTATATTTTGTCTTTTCCCCTTAAAATTTATCTTAAGAGCCTTCTCTATCAATACGTAAACAGATTCCTCATTCTTGCTTACAGCTGCCTGATATTTATTTATTTTTATTTTATTTAAAAAATAGAAAAAATAAAAATAAAATAAATAGACACAGGGTCTCACTATGTTGCTCAAGCTGGCCTTGAACTCCTGGGCTCAAGGGATCCTCTTGCCTCGGACTCCCAAAGTGCTGGAATTACAGGCTTGAGCCACCGCTGGCATGCCTGATATTTCTTTGTATGAATGTACCATCATTATTTAGCCAGACCCTCTTTGTTAGACGTAGAGATTGCTTCCAAAGTTTTGCTATAATAAACAAGCCTATATTTATAGTATTTCACACATTGATAATATATCTATTGGATAAAATGCCTAGAGGCAAAACTGATAGGTCAAAGGAATTCATATTTATGATTTTGATAGATACTGACAATTTACTCATCATAGGGATTGTACACATTTACATTTCTTTCTTTCTTTTGTTTTTTTTGAGACGGAGTCTGGCTCTGTCACCCAGGCTGGAGTGCAATGGCGCAATCTCATTTACATTTCTATCAGTAATATATGAGAGTGACTGTTTTCCCACACTCTCCCAAAGACATGCATTATCAAACTTAAAAAAAAAATTCTTTTTCTTCTTTCTGTGCCTAATGCAGCCATGGCTCATGGTCCCAAGAAGCATCTGAACCACTACAGCAACTCCAAAACATTGGATGCTGCATAAATTGACCAGTGTGTTTGCTCCTTGTCTATCCACCAGTGTCCACAAGTTGAGAGAGTGTCTCCCCATCATCATTTAAGAACAGACTTAAGTATGCCCTGACAGGAGATGAAGTAAAGATTTGCATGCAGCCGTTCATTAAGATCGATGGCAAGGTCAGAACTGATATAACCTACCCTGCTGGATTCATGGATGTCATCAGCATTGGCAAGACAGGAGGGAATTTCTGTCTGATCTATGACACCAAGGGTTGCTTTGCTGTACATCATATTACACCTGAGGAGGCCAAGTACAAGTGGTGCAAAGTGAGAAAAATCTTTGTGGACACCAAAGGAATCCCTCATCTGGGGACTCATGATGCTCGCACCATCTGCTACCCTGATCCCCTCATCAAGGTGAATGATACCATTCAGATTGATTTGGAGACTGGCAAGATTACTGATTTCATCAAGTTCAACACTGGTAACCTGTGTATGGTGACTGGAGGTGCTAACCTGTGTATGAAGAATTGGTGTGATCACCAACAGAGAGAGGCACCCTGGATCTTTTGACGTGGTTCATGTGAAAGATGCCAGTGGCAACAGATTTGCCACTCGACCTTTCAACATTTTTGTTATTGGTAAGGGCAACAAACCATGGATTTTTCTTCCCTGAGGAAAGGGTATCCGCCTCACCATTGCTGAAGAGAGAGACAAGAGACTGGTGGCCAAACAGAGCAGTGGGTGAAATGGTCCCTGGGTGACATGTTAGATCTTTGTATGTAATTAAAAATAATGTGGCGTGATTAATTAACATTTTTTTGTCAATCTGGTGAAAAATGGTACTTTGGTGTGTTTTTCATGTGTATTTCTCCTATTATGAGCATAGTTGATCTTTTCACACATTTAGGAAGAATTAATATGTTCTTTTCATTGAATTATCTTTTACATGCTTTGTTTTCTATTTTTTTTTTTTTTTGAGATGGAGTCTTGCTCTGTTGTCCAGGCTGGAGTGCAGTGGTGTGATCTCAGCTCAGTGCAACCTCTACCCCCTGGGTTCAAGCAATTTTCCTGCCTCAGCCTCCCAAGTAGCTGGGACTACAGGCATGTGCTACCACACCCAGCTAATTTTTGTATTTTTAGTAGAGATGGGGTTTCGCCATGTTGGCCAGGCTGGTCTTGAACTCCTGACCTCAGGTGATCTGCCCACCTCGGCCTCCCAAAGTGCTGGGATTACAGGCGTGAGCCACCACCCACGGCCCTTCTTTTTTTTTTTTTTTTTTTTGAGACAGAGTCTTGCTCTGTCTCCAGGCTGGAGTGCAGTGGTGTGATTTCAGCTCACTGCAACCTCTGCCTTCTGGTTTCAAGCAATTCCCCTGCCTCAGCCTCCTGAGTAGGTGGGACTACAGGCATGTGCCACCACACCCAGCTAATTTTTGTATTTTTAGTAGAGATGGGGTTTCACCATGTTGGCCAAGCTGGTTTCAAACTCCTGACCTCAGATGATCCACCCACCTTGGCCTCCCAAGAGCTGTTGATATTTTTATTCATTTGTAGGTGCTCTTTATATATTATGGAGATTAATCCTTTGCTTGGAATAAGTTTCCTAGTTTGGTACTTCAGTTGCTTTTTTTTTTTTTTTTTTAAAGAGATGTGGTTTCACTTTGTCACTGAGGCTAGAGTGAGGTAGCATGATCATGGCTCACTGCAGTCTCAACCTCCCAGGCTCAAGTGATCCTCCCATGTTAGCCTCCAGAATAGCTAGGACTACAGGTATGCACCATTGCTCATGGCTAATTTTTTTTTTTTTTTTTTTTTTTTTTGAGATGGAGTCTCACTCTGTTGCCCAGGCTCTCTGCCCAGGAGTGCAGAGGCATGATCTCGGCTCACTGCAACCTCTGCCTCCTGGGTTCAAGCGAGTTTCGTGCCTCAGCCTCTTGAGTAGCTAGGATTACAGGTGTTTGCCAGCATGCCCGGCTAATTTTTGTATTTTCAGTAGAGACGGGTTTCACCGTATTGCCCAGGCTGGTCTCGAACTCCTGACCTTAAGTGATCCACCCACCTCGGCCTCCCAAAGTGCTGGGATTACAGGCGTGAGCCACTGCACCTGACCAAATTTTTAAAAGAAATTTTTGTAGAGCTAGGATTACAAGCATGAGCCGCTATGCCTGACCAGTTCTCTCATTTTTAAAAATGTTGCATTTATGGGGTTAAGGATATGCTACTCTAATATGACCAGAATATGTCATCCCAAAATACGCTTCTATCACTGGAAACTCTCATGAAGAGAAAAAGCAGGGACTTAAATCTGCATAACAAATCTTACCCTTGTTTATGGTGTTTTTCCTGGCCACCTCACTTTTCTTCTTTGCTTCAGCAGGCAAAGGTATTTAGGGCATCTCTTGGAGATTTACTCATTTCCCTCAGTATCTCCCATGTATTCATAAGGTGTATATGTTAATAAACTTGTTTTTCTCTTAATCTGTCTTTTGTTACAGGGGTCTGCCTCAAATAAGAACGATCACGGGTAGTGAAAAAGGTACTTTTGTTCCCCTATGACATCATATTTTAAAACATGTATAAGCCACATACAGCCTGCAAAATCAAACTTGTTTCTGAGCCACCAGTTTGCCACCTGTACTTGCTAATCGTAGGAAAATGGATGGGAAAACCAAGGTAGGGAGGCTATAAATTGCATGGGCCAGAGTCATGCAGCTGTGACCATGGAACTCACTATATCCTGGTTCAGGACAAGGGGATGCTTCTTGAATACCAGCTGTTCCTGATGGCAATCCAGCAGTGAGGTGGAACCCCGCTGCTCCCACCAAATGGCCCAATTTGGAAAAATTCATGGACGAGACTGAGGCTGAGCCTGTTGGGAAGAACCTGTAGAGCAGTAAGTAGACCAGGACTAAGCTCCCCTGAGTTCTAATCCACGACCTGGGGCAAGGCATTTCCCCTATCTGGGCACCTGTTTTCTTATCCCACCCGGTGGGATGTGGTGGGGAGTGGTTATATAACACTGAAGTTGACCCTTGAACATGGGCTCAAACTGTGCAGGTTCACTTACAGGTAGACTGCCTTCTGCCTCTGCCACTCCTGAGACTGCAAGACCAACCCTTCCTTTTCCGCCTCCTCCTGAGCCTTCTCAGCATGAAGACAACAAACATGGAAAACATGATGATCCACTTCCACTTAATGAATAGTAAATGTATTTCATCTTCCCCGTGATTTCCTTAATAACATTTTCTTTTCTCCAGCTTACTTTAAGAATACAGTATATAATCTCTATAACATACAAAATATATGTCAATCAACTTTCTGTTCTCAGTAAGGCTTCTGTTCAACAGTAGGCTATTAGTAGTTAAGTTCTGGGGGAGTGAAAAGTTATCTGTGGATTTTCAACTGAGCACGGGGGTCAATGCCCCTAACCCCTGCATTGTTCAAGCATCAACTGTAGATGATCTCAAAGCTCCCTTCCAGTTCTGAGATTAAGGGGGGCTAATTTGAATGTCCTGGGACAGCCACATTTTAGAACACTTCTATCATTGGATATTTTCTGCTTAAGGAAAACAACTTATATGTGCACATCTCACTTTGCAGGAATCAAAGTCTTCCAGGTAAAACCCCGCATGAAGTAGACAGGGCAGAGATTCTCACCAGTTTTTTTTTTTTTTTTTTTTTTTTTTGAGATGCAGTTTCATTCTTGTTGCCCAAGCGTGAGTGAAATGGTGCAATCTTGGCTCGCTGCAACCTCCACCTCCCAGGTTCAGGCGATTCTCCTGCCTCAGCCTCCCAAGTAGCTAGGACTACAGGTAGGCGCCCCCAGGACTGGCTAATTTTTTTGTATTTTTAGTAGAAACAGGGTTTCACCATGTTGGCCAGGCTGGTCTCAAACTCTTGACCTCAGATGATCTGCCCGCCTTGGCCTCCCAAAATGCTGGGATTACAGGTGTGAGCCACTGCGTCCGGCCTTCTCACCCTCATTTTTAACATGAAGAACTTAAGGCCCAGACAGACGTGGCAGTTAATAAGCAGGAAGTCAGTAGTTCTGGGTTTAAGTTCCATCTTAGAGAGTGTGTGACCTTGGGCCAGTAGTCACCTAGCCTCAGTTTCTTTACCTATAAAATGGAGACAAGGCTGGGTACAGTGGCTCATGCCTGTAATCCCAGCACTTTGGGAGGCCAAGGCAGGAGGATCAATTGAGTCCAGGGGTTTGAGAACAGCCTGAGCAACACGGTGAAACTCTGTGCCTACAAAAATACAAAAATTAGCCAGGCATGGTGGGACATGCCTGTAGTCCCAGCTACTTGGGGGACTGAGCTGTAAGGATCGCTTAAGCCTGTGAGGTTGAGGCTGTGGAGAGTAGTGATCATGTCACTGCACTCCAGCCTGGGTGACAGAGTAAGATTCTGTTTCAAAAAAAAAAAAAAAAAAATCTGGTAACAATAAAAGAACCTATTTTAGGAAGTTAGAGAGAAAATTAAGCAAGCATTATTGAATGGATCAATTATGATACTGCATGTCAAGCACTTAGCACAAACCTATGTTATGGAATAAATGTTTGTGTCCCTCAAAATTCACATGTTGAAGCTGTAACCTCCAGTGTGGTTGTATTTGGACATGGGGCCTCTAAAGAGTAATTAAGATTAAATGAAGTCATCAGGGTGGGGCCCCGATCGGACAGAATTCATGTCCATGTGAGAAGCGACACTGGAGAGCTCACTTTCTCTAATACCCACATTGCCTGCACAAGCACCTGAGGAAAGGCCATGTGAGGACATAGCAAGAAGGCAGCCGTCCACAAGCTGGGAAGAGAGCCCTCATCAGAAATCAAATCAGTTAGAATCTTAATCTTGGACTTCCAGCCTCCAGAACTGTGAGAAAATAAAACCTGTTGTTAAAGCCATTTGGCCTGTGGTATTTTGTGATGGCAGCCCAAGCTGCTGATACATCCTTGCACATCCAATATACATTAGTTATTGTTGTTATCTGTTGTTAACTGTTACTTCTCATGTCCAAAGTCCCACAACAAGGAAGTCAGTGAGTGGTTGAGCCCCACTGAGGAAGCAGGTCCTTCACTCATCAGGCCACCTTCCTGCTCTTGTGGCAAGAATACCCCCAGCTCCCCTCCTGGGACTCCCTGACTCCTTGATTGCCTCTATCCATCCCTCCACCTCAACCACAAGGGCAGGGCTCATGGTACAGGAGGGGTGTGTGTGTGTGTGTGTGTGTGAGACTAACCCAGAGGAAGGGGGGGTGTGGGGTAAGCACGAGGATCAAAAGAAGCAGGAAATTCTCTTCTGTCTCTGGTTCCTGGGAACTTCTTCTTTTTTTTTGCCTGCTCTTGTTGCCCAGGCTGGAGTGCAATGGCTCGATCTCAGCTCACTGCAACCTCCACCTCCCAGGTTCAAGTGATTCTCCTGCCTCAGCCTCCCGAGTAGCTGGGATCACATGCATGCACCACCACACCTGGCTAATTTTGTATTTTTAGTAGAGACAGGGGTTTCTCCATATTGGTCAGGCTGGTCTCGAACTCCCCACCTCAGATGATCTGCCTGCCTTGGCCTCCCAAAGTGCTGGGATTATAGGCACGAGCCACCGCACCTGGCCCAGGAACTTCTTTAAGCTCTAGGAAGATGGGGAGAGCTGGGGTAGTTCTGAGATTAACCGTCCCTACTCCAAATAGGAACAAGCCCAAGGAATGGGCATGGAAAGAAATCAACTGATCCTTCCTGATCCAAGTTCTTCCTTTGAAGATGCACTGAAGGTTCTTGGAGACATTTGAAAAATCTGAACCTCTTGCCCAGAACTCTAGAGGCATTATAAATAGATAACGTACTTTCACACCTACAAGGTGTCTGCTCACATACACCATCTCATTTTATCCTCATAAGAGACTGGCAAGCCTTACAGCTGGCAGAGCTCAGTCTTGGAAGAGACATACCTCATATGTGCACGTCACTTAAGAGGCCTTTCTCCTACCACCTTTTGTCATCACACAGATGTGTGTCTCTTCCTCTCAATGGTGAAGACGAGCCAGCCTAACCAATCAATGCCTGAATCCCATCGAGTACCCCATACAGGGCCTTGTATAAGTAGGTGCTCAATAAATTTTGTAGATGGATGAATAAATGCCAGTGACCAGATCAGGGAGAAGTAAAACAGGGTCTCCTACTGGAGAAAATAGTGTTGCTGTTGTTCTAAGGGAGCAAGCTCAGGCATCTGTTCCTACAGCCTGGTACATTCACTCTGAGGCAGGCACCTGACATCATTTTAATATTTATTATGTTATCATTATCATAACTGTCACTTATTGTCCACCATTCAAAGTTAAGTTCTTTGCAAATATCAACTCATTGTTTCTCACATCCACTGTTATGAGCTCCATTTAACAGATGAGGAAATGGAGGCACAGACAGGTTAAGTAATGTGCCCAAGGTTATTTAGCCAAAAATAGTGGAGCTGGGATTCAAACCTGATTGTTTATATCCTGGAATTACAATTTTCTTGTTTTGCTTTTTGAGACAGAGTTTCGCTCTTGTCGCCCAGGCTGGAGTGCAATGGCCCGGTCTCGGCTCACTGCAACCTCTGCCTCCCAGGTTCAAGTGATTCTCCTGCCTCAGCCTCCCCAGTAGCTGGGATTACAGGCGCACGCCATTACACCTGGCTAATTTTTGTGTTTTTAGTAGAGACGAGGTATCGCCATGTTAGCCAGGCTGGTCTCGAACTCCTGACCTCAGGTAATCCGCCTGCCTTGGCCTCCCAGAGTGCTGGGATTATAGGCATGAGCCACCATGCCAGGCCTCGGACTTAGAATTTTCTTTTCTTTTTTTCTTTGAGCGGAGTCTTGCTCTGTCCCCCAGGCTGGAGTGCAATGGCGTGATCTTGGCTCACTGCAACCTCTGCCTCCTGGGTTCAAGCGATTCTCCTGCCTCAGCCTCCTGACTAGCTGAGATTACAGGCACCCACCACCATGCCCGGCTAATTTTTGTATTTTTAGTAGAGACGAGGTTTCACCATATTGGTCAGGCTGGTCTCGAACTCCTGATCTCAGGTGATCCGCCTGCCTCGGCCTCCCAAAGTGCTGGGATTACACGCGTGAGCCACTGCGCCCGGCGACTTACAATATTCTAAGTTCCTCCACTTCCCTCAGCTTAGCCTCACAATGGTCCTGGCAAGCAGATAGGAGTTTCCGCCGACCACCCAAGGCCATAACTGCACATGGGGGCAGATGTGGAACTAGAACCCAGGTCTCCCTGGGGCTTGTTCTGACACACAAAGGTCTGCATTGTGAAAGGACATGAAAGGCACACCAGTGGGCTGCCCCACTGTGTGGGGACTTAGGACCCAGCTATATCCATGACTGTTAATTCACCTCGGGATGCAGCGTTCCTGTAAGAAAAGAAAAGGAGAGCTACGATACGTGGACAGAGGCTTTTGCTCCAGTTTCCATAGACACTGCCCCGTTTGCTCATGCTGTTCCCTCTTGTTAGAACATCTTCATCCCACGCTCTTACTTCTCGCTGACTCATCATGTTTCACAATACACTTGGATTTTTCTCTCTTCCGGGAAACCTCTGCCCCTCCCTGAAGAGGGATAAAGTGACCCTCCTCATACTCCCAGAGTACCAGGTGATTCTCTATAGCATTATCATTAAAAATCAGGGGCTGCATTCTCTCCCTCTGTCCCAGTAGTCTGGGAACTAACTCCTCAGGAGCAGGGACTCCCCTTTCTCATCCTGGTGTTTCCTATTGGCAATGCCTGCCACTCAGTAGTAGGCGCTTGTTGACTGAGACTATTGATCACAGGCAGGTTCGAATGTCTTTGTTCCCTCATCTCTACCCCTGTTAAGGGATTACGGAGTGTCCTATTCATTTCGGGCATATAGAAAATGCTGTTAAAGTTCATTGAATTGAATGAAACAATTAATCGTTCTGCAAAATCTGAGCAGAGAAGTCATTTGGTTTCAAAATACTTGGATAAAAACATTACGGTGGCTCACGCCTGTAATTCCAACACTTTGGGAGGCCGAGGCGGGTGGATTACTTGAAACCAGGAGCTCGAGACCCTGACTCTACTAAAAATACAAAAATGAGCCGGTCGTGGTGGCGCGCGCCTGTAAATCTCAGCTACTCAGGAGGCTGAGGCACGAGAACAGCTTGAACCGGGAGGCGGAGGTTGCAGTGAGCCGATATCGCCACTGAACTCCAGTCAGGGCGACAGTGAAACTCTGTCAGAAAAACAAGAAACAAAAAAACTGTGAGGTACTGAGATCACAAACTGGTGCTCAAAATATACTGATTTCCTTTCTCGTCTGGACTAAACGGGGGTAGGGAAGGGTGAGAAGGAGGGGATCGGCCCTCCCAACAAGTCTCATCTTCCCCAGATGCTGCTTGGTGCTCAGGGGCTGCAAGTACTCTGTCCTTGCACAGAGGGTTGGGGACTCCAGCTGTGCATGGGGGCACACATTAGGCCCACAGCTTGTAATGGACCAGTAGTAAAGTAAGGGAGGGGAAGCAGACTCTCTCTTGGAAAGGAGGCTCCTGAGTCCTTCTTGGGGCTTCCCCCACCAACTGTTTCCCAAACCAGCATACAGTAGGCACTTAGTAAATACTAAACCTAGTAAAGGACTGAATGATGGTAGACCGAACCCCCAAAGCAAAAGAGAAAGGGTCCAACAGCGCCTCCTTGCGGTGCTCTGCCCCAAGCCACGGGGAGAAACGTTGCAGCCCGCGCCGAACGCCGGGCAGCACAAAGGATCCCCGACTGCCGGGGAGCGGTGCTCGGAGGGCACAGGTCTACGCCATCCCCCACGCAGTTTCGGAGATGGAGCGCTGGGCCCATGGAGGGAAGGCGGCAGGCTCGGCGGCTCCGGCAGCTTGCTGGGGCAGGGGCTCAAGGCGGCAGTCCGATAGTGGAGGCCGCTGAGAACTGTCACGGAGCTGCGTCTGTACAGCGAGCATCCCTTATTTATTCAGGGCGAGTGTGTATTTGGGGCGGCGTGCAGGGGGCTGACAAAGACCGGAGAGCTCCCGGTGCGGCCGCCGGCGGAGCGAAGACTGGAACCCGTATGAGCGCCCCCCAGCGCCCCTGAGCGCTCGCCGCCGGTGCACGGCGCACCCCGCGGGAGGCAGGGATCAGCAAAGCCGTGCGCCCCGAGGCCCGCCCCCGTCTCCGCACAAAGACCGTGAGTCCCGGGTCCGAGCCTTCCGCGCGGGGATCGGGCGGTTGTCCGGCGGGTCGTCCTTCGACGGCCTCCTGGCCTCGCCGGAGCGGGTGCGGGGAGGCCCACGCAGCGACGGCTGGAGGAGGGGTGGGCGGGGCTGCCGGGGGTGGGGTCCCCGGGGCGGGGCGGGGCGCGCTGTGTCGCGGGTCGGAGCTCGGTCCTGCTGGAGGCCACGGGTGCCACACACTCGGTCCCGACATGATGGCGAGCATGCGAGTGGTGAAGGTAACCGCGTATAGGATGACCCCTTTCTCTTGGCTCCCCTCGCCTCCCGCATTCCCTCCTCCCTCCATCCCCTCCGCGGCTCTCCGAGCACATTTATTTATTTGTCTGGGCACCAGGGCTGGCTGAATCCCTGTCCTCCCCGCCCTCTACTCAGAGGAGGACTGGCCTGCAAGAGTGGCCAGAGCTGGGGTTTTGGGGGTTTGGAGGCCTCTGCTTGAGCCGTTCGCGTGGTGAAGATGAGCCGGCTCCCCCAAAACTGGTTTCAATTTCGCTTTTCCTGCCTGAAACTTGTGATAACAACTGGGTGCATCTCCAGTGCAGGAAAAGTCCTTGGCATCTTGGTGCCAGGCATTCTGCTACTGCTGGTGGTGGGTTATGAACACAGATGACCAGGATGAAGTCCTTGCCTTGGAATAAGCCCATAGCCCATCCCATAATTTGATGCCTGTATTACTAGAGTCCTGAGAAACACGGAATGCTGATTAGAATTTGGGACAAAGTTCCCTGAGTATTCTCTGGAGGAAAAGATGCGGAGGTGGACCTGGAAGGCCTCCTGGAGTAGGTGGCTTGCGTTCGTGAGTTCTACAAGTGTTGAATGCCTACATGTGCTGGCCCTGTTCTAGGAGGGGGGGGGGGGCGGGCAGAGATGAACACAAATCCGGCCCTTGTTGAATTTTGTTCCTATCAGGGACACAATTTGAAATAAGATCTGGAAGGATGGGGAGGGGGCAGTTTCCTCCAGAAGGTGGGAAAACCCAGGGTGTTTGGAGATGGATTAGGGAGGAAGGTGATCCTGGTGAAGTGAGTCTGGCACCCCAAGTCTTTCAGAAGTGCCCCTTCCAGTCTGCAGGGTGGAGGGGCAGGCTCTAGGAAGAGGGTGCCTGCTACCCTCAGCCTCTGAGAAGAAAATGGCCTCAGACTGGGATGCCCAGAGCAGGCTTGGCCTAGATACTAAATCTGGAGGTTGGCAGCAAAATGAGGCAGAGGGTCTTTCCAGCCAAGTGGAAGAGAGATGGGAGCCAGAATTTATTGCATTGGAACCATTACATGCCAAACGGTTTACATGGTTATTTCATCTAATTCGCACAGCAGTTCTGTGAGATAAGTAATATATACCCGCATTTTACAAATGAGGAAATTGAGGCACAGAGGAAATAACTTGCTTGTCCAGAGTCTTTCAGTAAGGAGCAATGGGACTGGAATATGAAACCAGGTCCACAGGCCTCCAGCCTGCAGGCTCTCTTAATGGCCTTTCTACTTTCATTTTCTGTTCCTCTGAGTCAGGTGATTTCCTAGTAGGCAGTAGGAAAGAACTGTGTGTTTTAGGTTGGGTTTCAACTTCCTCAGGCTTTGGGAAAGTTCTGGCAGAACTCATCCTAAACAGATAAAGTTCAAGTGTCTTTATCTTTCCAAGACCTGGAAAATGTCTATTCCAGATCTTCTCCGGTCAGCCCTGGGCTTTGTTCTTGCCAAAGAGTCACAGATGATAGAGAAACTCTTACAAGTGCAGATGCTTCTAGTTTGGGGTAAAGATAAATGAAGGGCCATTGACCCTGGGTGGAAGGCACCAGAAGCAGCTTATTGGTTGAACAGAAATAGAACATAGGCTGAGGGATAGGAGGGGGGCATGGGATGTGTTTATATTATATGTTGGGGGTGGGGGTAAGGCAGAGAAAGTTCAAATGGTCCACAGTGTTAAAGGACCCCTCCCCACTTGTGGACTGGGTTTGGAGAGCTTCAGTTTCTCAACCTCATCACTACTGACATTTTGGGTCACATAACTGTTATGTATCCATTGTATGTTTTTAGATTTGAGGTTACTACAAGGTTTGTAAATAATATCTTATAACCTGTTATTTTAAACTGATGACAAGTTAACACTGATTACATAAACAAACAAGCAAAATGAAAACTAATGAAGGCCAGGCGTGGTGTCCCACTCCTGTAATATCAGCACTTTGGGAGGCTGAGGTTCGCGGACTGCTTGAGCCTAGGAGTTCGAGACCAGCCTGGGTAACACAGCCAAACCCCATCTCTACAAAAAGTACCAAAATTAGCCGGGCATGGTAGCACACTGCTGTAGTCCTAGCTACTTGGGAGGCTGAGGTAGCAAGATCACCTGAGCCCAGGAGGTTGAGGCTGCAGTGAGCTGTGATTGTGCCACTGGACTCCAATCTGGGTGACAGAGTGAGACATTGTCTCAAAAAAAAAAAAAAAAAAAAAAAAAACAACTAATACAAACTGTATACTTTAACTTCGTCTTTCCGCTTACTAACTTTTTGTTGTTTCTATTTCTTTCCTTCTTTCTTTCTCTCTCCCTTTCTTTCCTTCCTTCCTTCCTTAAGATGGAGTTTCACTCTTGTTGCCCAGGCTGGAGTGCAATGGTGCCATCTCAGCTCACCGCAACCTCCGCCTCCCAGGCTCAAGTGATTCTCCTGCCTCAGCCTCCTGAGTAGCTGGGATTACAGGCAGGCACCATCACGCCTGGCTAATTTTGTATTTTTAGTAGAGACGGGGTTTCTCCATGTTGGTCAGGCTAGTCTCGAACTCCTGACCTCAGGTGATCCACCCACCTCAGCCTCCCAAAGTGCTGGGATTACATGAGCCACTGTGCCCGGCCATTTCTATTTCTTTCTTATTGTACTGTCTACCTCTTGAAAAATTGTTGTAGTTATTATATTTAATTGGTCATCTTTTCCTCTTTCTACTTAAGATATGAGTAGTGTATATACCATAAATACAGTGTTATACTAATCTGTGTTTTTCTTTCTTTTTTTTTTTGAGACGGAGTTTCGCTCTTGTTGCCCAGGCTGGAGTGCAATGGCACGATCTCAGCTCACTGCAACCTCCGCCTCGTGGGTTCAAGTGATTCTCTTACCTCAGCCTCCCGAGTAGCTGGGGTTACAGGCACCCGCCACCACGCCCAGCTAATTTTTGTATTTTTAGTAGAGATGTGGTTTCACCATGTTAGCCAGGCTGGTCTCGAACTCCTGACCTCAGGTGATCCACCGGCTTTGGCCTCCCACAGTGCTGGGATTACAGGCGTGAGCCACCATGCCCAGCCCAGATGATTTTTTATTGCTCATTAAAATTTTTTTAAATTTCTGATTGAAGAACTCCTTTTTAGCATTTCTTGTAGGACAGGTCTGGTGTCGATGGTATCTCTCAGCTTTTGTTTGTCTGGGAAAGTCTTTATTTCTCCTTCATGTTTGAAGGATATTTTCACTGGATATACTATTCTAGGGTAAAAGATTTTTTCCCTCAGCCGTATTTCATTTAAATATGTCATGCCACTCTCTCTTGGCCTGTAAGATTTCCACTGAAAAGTCGCTGCTGGACATATTGGAGCTCCATTGTATGTTATGTGTTTATTTTCTCTTGCTGCTGTTAGGACCCTTTCTTTAATCCCTGACATCTGGGAGATTGATTATTAAATGCCTTGAGGTAGTCTTCTTTGGGTTAAGTCTGCTTGGTGTTCTATAACCTTCTCATGTTTGGATATTGATATCTTTCTCTAGATTTGGGAAATTCTCTGCTACTATCCGTTTGAATAAACTTTCTAGCCCTGTCTCTCTCCCTACCTCCTATTTAAGGCCAGTAACTCTTAGATTTGCCCTTTTGAGGCCATTGTCTAGATCCTGTAGGCATACTTCATTCTTTGTTTATTCTTTTTTTTTATTTTTGAGACGGAGTCTCGCTCTGTTGCCCAGGATGGAGTGCAGTGGCACAATCTTGGCTCACTGCAAGCTCTGCCTCCTGGGTTCATACCATTCTCCTGCCTCAACCTCCTGAGTAGCTGGGACTACAGGCGCCCACCACCACGCCCGGCTAATTTTTTTTTTTTTTTTTGTATTTTTAGTAGAGATGAGGTTTCACCGTGTTAGCCAGGATGGTCTCGATCTCCTGATCTCGTGATCCACCTGCCTCGGCCTCCCAAAGTCTTTGTTTATTCTTTTATTATTTTGCTTCATCTGACTGTATTTTCAAATACCCTGTCTTTAAACACTCTAGTTCTTCTGCTTGATCAATTCTGCTGTTAAAAGACTGATGCGTTTCAGTATGTTAATTGCATTTTTTTCTTTCTTTCTTTTTTTTTTTTTTTTGAGACAGAGTTCCACTCTTGTTGCCCAGGCTGGAGTGCAATGGCATGCTCTCGGCTCACTGCAACCTCTGCCTCTCCAATTCTCCTGCCTGAGCCTCCCAAGTAGCTGGGATTACAGGCCTGCACCACCATGCCCAGCTAATTTTTGTATTTTTAGTAGAAACAGGGCCTCACCACGTTGGCCAGGCTGGTCTTGCACTCCTAACCTCAGGTGATCTGACTGCCTCGGCCTCCCAAAGTGCTGGGATTACAGGCATGAGCCACTGCACCCGGCCTCAATTGCATTTTTCGACTCCGGAATTTCTCCTTGATTCTTTTTAATTATTTCAATTTATTTGTTAAATTTGTTGATGGGATTCTGAATTCCTTCTCTGTGGAGGAAATATTGAATTTCTTTGAGTTTCCTCAAAACAGCTATTTTGATTTCTCTGTCTGAAAGGTCACATATCTCTGTTTCTCTGGAATTGGCCCTGTGTGCCTTATTTAGTTCGTTTGGTGAGGCTGTGTTTTCCTGGATCGTCTTGAAGCTTGTGGATGTTTGTTGGTGTCTGGGCACTAAGGAGTTAGGTATTTATTATAGTCTTTGTAGTCTGGGCTTGTTTGTACTCATCCTTCTTGGGAAGGCTTTCGAGGTATTGGAAGGGGCTTGGCTGTTGTGATCTAAGTTTTGGTCACTGCAGCCATGTCTACATAAGGGGGCACTCCAAGCCTAGTAACACTGTAGTTCTTGCAGACTTTTAGAGGTTACTACCTTTGTGGTTTTGGATAACATCAGGAAGAATTCTCTGGATTACCAGGTAGAGACTCTCATTTTCTTCCCTTACTTTCTCCCAAACAAATGGAGTCTTACTCTCCGTGCTGAGCTCCCTGGAGCTGGGTGAGGTGTGACACAAGCATCCCCATGGTCACCAGAATTGGGACTGCACTGGGTCAGGCCTGAAGCCAGCACAAGACTGGGTTTTGCTCAAGGCCCGCTGTAATCACTACCTGGCTATGCCCTACGTTCGCTCAAGGCCCTAGGGCTCTGCAATCAGCAGGTGGTGAAGCCAGCCAGGCTTGTGTTCTTCCCCTTAGGGTGGTTAGTTCACTGCTGGGCCCCAGAGAGGTCCACAGTTGCTGTCCATGGGCCAGGGCCTGGAGTCGGAAACCTTAGAAATCTCTCTAGTGCTCTGTGCTACTGCAGCTAAGCTGGCACTGAAACCACAGGACACAGTCCTTCCCACTCTTCCCTCCCTTTTCCCCAGATATAGGAGTCTCTCCCCTTGTCCACCACCACCACGGGTCTATGAGGAGTACTGCCAGGGTACTACTGCTGATGTTCGCCTAAGGCCCAAAGGCCCTTCAGTCAGCTTGTGGTGAATGTGACCAGGCCTGAGACTCACCCTGCAGGGCAGCGGTCTCCCCTCTTGTTCGGCCAGATAATTCTTTGTTAGGATGTTTATCAGCATCTCTGGCCTCTATCCACTCTCCCGATTTATGACAACGGAACAATGTTCCCAGATATTACCGAATGTCCCTGGCTGGGTAAAATCGCCCCTGGTTGAGAACCACTGGTTTGTACCAATTCATTGTTCCAGAGAAATGTGACCTGCCCTTGAGTGTCTTTATCTTCCCCAACAAGAAAAGGCCTGTAGTCCCACAAGATGGACTCTAAAAGAGGGGCAGCATTCCTTTGTCAAATACATTTGAGAAGTACTGCATGCTGTGGGCCCACAGCTTGGTCAATCACCATACACAATAGCATATTAAAGGCTGTGGGAAGTTCTCCAGTGAAGAAACCTCTTTAGCCGAGATTTACCAAATGTACTTGACCTTGGAACCCTTTTCCTGTACTACCTATTAACCTTCTGCAGGACATACTGTACTTATGTTTCCCATCTGGGCCCTCTGCCCTGGTGCTTCTCCCCTTCTCTGCTTTATGGATTCCTGTTCATTCTGCATGGCCCAGCTCACAGAGTGCACCCTCTGTGAAACCTTCCTTCTCCCCTCTCATCTCCTTCCTTACCGTATATCCATACACATTCACATAATCACATCCATGTTTCGTCCATTACTCTATTGAAATTCTTGAGGACTGGGTCCTGTCTCAGTTAAATGTCAGTAGAAGATGCTCAGTAATGGCTGTTGGGAGAATTCAGAAGGGATATTCAGGTGTTTGGGCCACAGTTTTGGGAAGATGAGTCACTCCTTGCCCCCTTGTTTCCCCACTTGGTGTGTAGAGTTCTTCTCTGCTATGGTCTTCCGGAGTCATTTCCCTTCTCCAGCCCTGATCTGGCAGAGTTTGAAGCGGTGGGGTCATGTCTTTGCTGCAGATGCTCAGTCGATGCTTACGGAAGGAAGAAAGGAAGAGAGGAAGGGAATTAGAACCTAGTGACTTTCTAGGAAGAAGGCTAGAGAGCAGAGGTTAAGTACCCTGCTTTCAGGAGAAAAGCCTCCTAAGAGCACTTACTCCCAAGTTTTAATATCTGGGAGAAGTGATCTATTTTTCCCTGCACCTAGTACCTAGGTGTACCAGAGTTGTGGTGAGGCCACAGTCAGAAAATTCACTTAAAGCACCAGCACCGGCTGGGCGCGGTAGCTCACGTCTGTAATCCCAGCACTTTGGGAGGCTGAGGCGGGCGGATCACGAGGTCAGGAGATCAAGACCATCCTGGATAACACGGTGAAACCCCGTCTCTACTAAAAATACAAAAAATTAGCGGGGCGTGGTGGCGGGCGTCTGTAGTCCCAGCTACTCGGGAGGCTGAGGCAGGAGAATGGCGTGAACCCAGGAGGCGGAGCTTGCAGGGAGCCGAGATTGCGCCACTGCATTCCAGCCTGGGCAACAGAGCGAGACTCTGTCTCAAAAAAAAAAAAAAAGAAAAAAGAAAAAGCACCAGCACCATGCCTGATACATACTAAGTGCTCAGTAAATGTAGGCTCTGACTTTACCGGCTTCTGCCCCTAAGATGGCCAGTTTTGAACTTGGGGCAGCTTGCTGCTGGGGCAGGGGGAGGGGGCTGAAATAAGGAGGACTAGGCCAACTGCCCACTCACTTGTGTCCCCTGCAGGAGCTGGAGGATCTTCAGAAGAAGCCTCCCCCATACCTGCGGAACCTGTCCAGCGATGATGCCAATGTCCTGGTGTGGCACGCTCTCCTCCTACCCGTGAGTATCCATGGGGACCATGGCTTTGGATTGGGGCCAAATTAGGCCAGGGACATGGGCAGGGAGGGTTAGGACTAGGCAAGAATTTTCCCTGCTTGAGATCCTTTTACTGGAGGTTATCATTGCTGGAGGGGGCTTCTCTCTGAATTGATTGCTTCTGAGATCCAGATACTTCTGAGGTTCACCTTCTGATAAAGATGCCAAAGGACTTTTGACTTAGTAGGAGACCCCTTCCTTAAACCGGTAGCCACCAAGCCCACCACAGAACTTCAGGAGACAAACAGCATCAAAAAGAAGAAGAAATAAAGATTTCTTGGACCTTTGTCAAGGGGTAGGGATAAACTTCCAGGCTCTCACAGTTGGGAGAATTTGCTCCCGCAAACCTAAATTGTATTTTGTTTTTCTGTAGTCTTATTTCAGAAAATTGTTACATATGAAAACACAAATAGCTCATTTCTACTGTTCTTATTTTTCTCTGTTTATTATTTGGTATTTTCTTGATAAAGTCTCTCTGAAAGCAGTATTCCAAAATAGTTTTCAGAGTGCAAGATCTCTCTTTTTTTCATCCGATTATTAGTGACTAAAGATACTTTGAGAAATTAATCTACACTTTTCATTACTTGGAAATAAAATTTAAGACATTGAACTTTTTGTTAGTCAAAGCTCTTTGGAATATCAAAGGAACAATTCATCTTATCATTTAGGATTTGGACTTGTTTTTTTTTTTGAGACAGAGTCTTACTGTGTCACCCAGGCTGGAGTGCAGTGATGCGATGTTCGTTTCCTGCAACCTCCACTCTGGGGTTCAAGCGATTCTCCTGCCTCAGCCTCCTGAGTAGCTGTGACTACAGGCACGTGCCACTATGCCTGGCTAATTTTTGTGTTTTTAGTGGAGACAGGATTTTGCTATGTTGGCCAGGCTGGTCTCAAACTCCTGGCCTCAAGTGATCTGCCCACCTCGGCCTCCTAAAGTGCTGGGATTACAGGTGGAGCCACCACACCCGGCAGGATTTACTTTTTATTGACAATGCAGTGGCCTAGGTTGTGTCGTCTTCTCTTTAAACTGACCTATAGTCCAGAAAAGTAGAGAAAGGCCTGAGTCAGGTCAACATGGGAACCTCTGTCAAGTCCCTTGGGTTACTGTGTTGAAACGATCCACTTACCTGGCTTAGAGTGAGGACACCTGTTCTAGGCCTCAGGTGCCGGGAGAAGATGCTCAAAGGAGCTCCAGGGACTGATTATATCTCCAAGGAGACCAACTTTGAGATGATGAAAGCAGGGGTGATAGGAAAACCTAGGAAAGGTCTCGTTTGGCAGAGTACTATGAAATCAGAGGACCTCAATAGTTGGCAAGACCAAGGTGGTTAAGTGCGCCCCAGGAACTGGCCACAGACCTTCCAGCCATATAGGAGTCCTGAAGAAACATGATACTTGGGAGGAATCCCAGAGCTGGAGGACCAAAGCTTGATGTAAGTCATCAGCTAAGGGGGCCTGAAGGTGCCTGGTGAGGCCATAAAGGAGGGGATGGTTGACTGGCAGAGGAAGGAGAACCAGGAAAGGTCTTTTGGAATAGCACACAAATTCCTCCTCAAAGGCTCAGTCTCAGTTTATGTGTTCACCAAAGTGGCCCCACTTGTCACATCTTGGTCATGGAAGGATTCAGCTCGATGAGTCTTTCGAAGCTAATAGTAAAATTCTCATTCCTTGAGAGTTTCCTGTGGACCAAGTGCTGTTTTAAGCACACGACATATGAGGTCATATTGAATCCTCTCAACCATCCAGTGAGGAAGGTTGTCTTCCTCTTAAAATTGCAGAGATGGAAACCAAGGAGGTTAAGTAACTGGTCTGGGGTCACTCAGAATAAGGTGGCAGGAGTGGAATTCAGCGGACTCCAGGGTCTTCTCTTTTAACCACTCCATGAAAAATGAATAGTTTTCAAAATTTTTTAAAAAGTAGCAGGCCGGGCACGGTGGCTTACACCTGTAATCCCAGCACTTTGAGAGGCTGAGGTGGGTGGATCACTGGAGGTCAGAAGTTTGAGACCAGCCTGGCCAACATGGTGAAACCCTGTCTCTAGTAAAAATACAAAAATTAGCTGGGCATGGTTGTGGGCACCTATAATCCCAGCTACTCAGGAGGCTGAGGCACGAGAATCACTTGAACCCGGGAGTTGGAGGTTGTAGTGAGCTGAGATTGGGCCATCGCACTCCAGCCTGGATGACAAGAGCAAAACTCTGTCTCAAAAAAACAAAACAAAATAAAGTAGCAAAATCCTTTATTTAACCTAGAACTTAGAAGGTAGTGGGACTTTCTCAACTGACTGTAAGATACAGCATGGAATCCTCTGGTCCAGCTTCTCCATTTTACAGACGAGGAAACTGATCCTCAGAGAAAGCTCAGTCATACAGCAAGCCCGAGGCAGAGCTGGGACAGGTCCCCGGAGCTCTCAGCTCCATGACTCTGCTACCTCCTTCCTCTGTTAAGTCCTACGAAGCCCAGAAAGAAGCCCCTTCAGGCAGGACACACTGATACCCCTGTCTTAGTCCATTAGTGTTGCTGTAAAGGAATACCCGAGGCTGAGTAATATATAAAGAAAAGAGGTTAATTTGGCTCAAGCTTCTGCAGGCTGTACAAGAAGCATGGCGCTGGGCATGGTGGCTCACGTCTATAATCCCATGTCTTTGGGAGGCCGAGGAGGGCGGATCACCTGAGGTCAGAAGTTCAAGACCAGCCTGACCAACATGGAGAAACCCTGTCTCTACCAAAAATACAAAATTAGCTGGGTGTGGTGGTGCATGCCTATAATCCCAACTAGTTGGGAGGCTGAGGCAGGAGAATCGCTTGAACCTAGGAGGCAGAGGTTGCGGTGAGCCGAGATCACGCCATTGCACTCCAGCCTGGGCAGCAAAGTGAAACTCCATCTCAAAAAAAAAAAAAAAAAGAAGCATGGCACCAGCATCTCCTTCTGATGAGGCCTCAGGAAGCTTCCACTCATGGTGGAAGGCAAAGGGGAGCCACGTGTACAGATCACATGCAAGAGAAGAAGTGAAAGAGAGAGAGAGCGAGCAGGTGCCAGGATCTTCTAAACAACCAGCTTTTTCAGTAAGTAATAGAGTAAGAACTCTCTTATGACTGTGAGGTTGGCACGGAGCCATTCCACGGAGCCATTCGTGGGAGGTCTGCCCCCAGGACCCATACGCCTCCTGGTAGGCCCCACCTCCAACATTGGGGATCAAATTCTTTTCTTTTCTTTCCTTTTTTTTTTTTTTGGTGACAGAGTCTCACTCTGGAGTGCAGAGCAAGACTCACTGCAACCTCTGCCTCCTGGATTCAAGCAATTCTCATGCCTCAGCCTCCTGAGTAGCTGGGACTACAGGCACATGCTACCACGCCCAGCTACCTTTTTGTATTTTAGTGGAGGCGGGGTTTTATCATGTTGCCCAGGCTGATCTCAAACTCCTGAGCCCAGGCAATCCATCTGCCTCAGCCTCCCAAAGTGCTAGGATTACAGGCGCGAGCCACCGCCACGTAGGTCTTGGGGATCAAATTTCAACCTGAGATTTGAGGAGACAAAACATCCAACCACAGCACCCTCCCATCCTGCTCTGAGGCCTCAGCTGTTGGCCTTCTCTGACTGATAGGCACAGCCTTTTCTCCTTACTGAGACCATAAAAAATGAGATATTTTCTTTATCTTCCTACTTTTTTTTACTCCATCTCTCTTTTTTTTTTTTTTTTTTTTTTTGAGACGGAGTTTTGCTCTTGTTGCCCAGGCTGGAGTGCAAGGGTGTGATCTCTGCTCACCACAACGTCAGCCTCCCAGGTTCAACTTCTGCCTCTCGGTTCTTGCCTCAGCCTCCCGTGTAGCGGATATTACAGGCATGCACCACCACACCCGGCTAATTTTGCATTTTTAACAGAGACAGGGTTTCTCCATGTTGGTCAGGTTTGTCTTGAACTCCCGACCTCAGGGGATCTGCCCACTTTGGACTCCCAAAGTGCTGGGATTACAAACGTGAGCCATCGTGCCCGGCCTAGTTAGATCACATGGCTAGTGAGTGTCAGAGCCGAATCACACCCAGGCAGGGTGGCTCCAAGTGCTGGGATTACAAACGTGAGGCACCGCACCTGACCTAGTTAGATCACATGGCTAGTGAGTGTCAGAGTTGAATCACACCCAGGCAGGGTGGCTCCGGAGTCTGTGTGACCCCCATACTCTGTTGCACAGGCTAATGCATGTCAAACCCTTAGCACAGGACAGCACAGACAGGTGCTCAGAAAAGTGTTCAGGTGGCTCAAAGTCTAGAGGGTCTTCTGCTGGCTCCTTGCAGCTCCCAACCCCTAGGTCACTCCAGCCCCTGAGTTTGTTTGTTTTTAATCATAGTAAAATACACATAACAAAATTTACTATCTTAACCATTTTTAAGTATATAGTTCAGTGTCATTAAATAGGATTAAATAGGATTACAGCTGGGCATGGTGGCTCACGCTCGTAATCCCAGTAATCTGGAGGCCAGAGCAAAAGGATTGCTCAAGTCCAGGAGTTCAAGACCAGCCCTGGCACAGTGAGACCCTATCAAAAAAATTTTTTTAATTAGCCAGATATGGTGGTGGGCCCCTGTAGTACCAGCTACTCAGGAGGCTGAGGTGGGAGGATCACTTGAGCCCAGAAGTTTGAGATTACAGTGAGCAATGATAATGCCAGTGCACTCCAGCCTGGGTGACAGAGCGAGACCCTGCTTCAGTAAACAAACAAACACACATTGTTGCACAACCATCACCACCGTTCATCTCTAGAACTTTTTGTCTACCTGTACTGAAACTCTGTACCCCTTCAGTAACTCCCCATTCCTTTCTTTCCCCAGCACCTGGTGACCACTTTTGTATTTTGTTTCTATGAATTTGACTATTCTGGGTACTGCACATAAGTGGTATCTTGCAAATCTGTCCTTTTTTTGTC